>NC_000002.12:88414528-88719911 GCF_000001405.40 Homo sapiens
CCCAAAGTGCTGGGATTATAGGTGTGAGCCACCACCCCCAGCCATAATTTTCTTTTCTTTAATTTAAAAAACTACACAGCTGGGCATGGTGGCTCACAGCTGTAATCCTAGCATTTTGGAAGGCCGAGACAGATGGATCACTTGAGGTCAGGAGTTCGAAACCAGCCTGGCCAATATGGTGAAACCCCGTCTCTACTAAAAATACAAAAAAATTATCCAAGCATGGTGGTGCATGCCTGTAATCCCAGCTACTCAGGAGGCTGAGGCAGGAGAATCACTTGAATCCAGAAAGTGGAGGTTGAAGTGAGCCAAGATCATGCCACTGCACTCCAGCCTGGGCGACAGAGCAAGACTCTGTCTCAAAAAATAAAGAATATGGAATGCTTCACGAATTTGCATGTCATGCTTGTGGAGAGCCCACACTAAACTTCTCTGTATCATTCCAATTTTAGTATATGTGCTGCTGAAGCGAGTACAAAATTTTATATAATTTTTATGTGTCAATAAAGAGTACTCATCTGATTTCTTCCAACCATTTAACAATGTAAAAATCATTAACTCAGGCTATGCAAAAACAGGCAGTGGATGGGATCTGGCCCAAGCGCTGTGGTTTACTAACTCCTGATCTAGACCTACCCTGCCTTCTTAAATCTCTTCTGGAGGGATCCCATTAAGTTGGGGAAGATGGAGTTTCCCCAAGTTTGTGCGGCGGTCTGTTTTTCCAACTTGCTAGGGCCTAGATCCTGTCTTCTAGATGTTTTGACTTTTTTTTTTTTTTTTTTTTGAGACAGAGTCTCACTCTGTTGCCCAGGCTGAAGTGCAGTGGCATGATTTCAGCTCACTGCAGCCTCCGCCTCCCGGGTTCAAGCAATTCTCATGTCTCAGCCTACCAAGTAGCCGGGACTACAGGCATGTGCCACGATGCCTGGGTAATTTTTGTATTTTTAGTGGAGACAGGGTTTCACTATGTTAACCAGGCTGGTCTCGAACTCCTGACCTCAGGTGATTTGCCCACCTCAGCCTCCCAAAGTGCTAGGATTACACGCGTGAGCCACTGTGCCCAGTCAAGCTGTTCTTTCTGTGTCACCTGTCAGGCTCTGACAATCAGCTACCGTGTTCCAGCATCATTTGAACCCTTTTAATAGGACTCCTCTTCCACTCAGCGATGCCTGTTCTGAAGCATGGATAAAACGCAACAGAATACACACTTAAATTAGTTGGTTGAATTTTTATGGCATGTAAAATGGCTGATTTTTTTTTTAAATAAACAAAAAAAGAAGAAAGAATATACACTTAAAAGTGGCTTATAAAGAAGCTTTAAATTCTGGATCTTGAAGCTCTCAACAGGGCACTAGTTGTTCTGCTCTGGATACTTCCAGCTGCATTTTGCAGAGGGTGCGGATATGTTTGCCCAGAAACAGGCTTGCAGAGGCTAATTCTGGCTTCAAGAGTTGCTTTCTCCTGACCAAGAGGATTGAGGAAAGAAAGCCCCCTGCCCTCTTTATCAGGGATTTCCTGTGGGTGGAATGAAAGACTGCTTTAGGGTACTTTGGGAATAGATTTTTATCTGCTTTGGCAGTCTCTCAAATGAAAGACCAGAAAACACACCTTGAATGTCAGAAAAAGGAGTTTCCTGCAGAGAGCTTTGCAAATCTTTTGTAATTCCAGTGGAGTCCTGGGGATTGTGCCCAGTGCCTTAGAGCAGAAATTTCAAACCTGCCGGGTGTGGGTGAGCACCGGCCTTCCAGGTACCTCCCCAAGCCAAAAAGTCAATACCAGGAAAGGAAGAGACGGATTTTGCCTTGTTTTTGCCTTGTCTTGGGGTGAGCCCAACAGTGAGAGGGAAACCCTAGTACAGATGCAAACAAAAGGGCCCACGACATCCTATAGCCCAGTCCTGGAGAGGAGGCAAAGAAAAAGGCAAGGCCCAAAATGCACTAGTAATAGGGCCTTCCTTGACCAAGGAGGATGCAGATTTACTGGGGGCTTCTTCCAGAGTAACAAGTACAAATTCCTGTGCCGTGGGGTGGAGCTCATGCTACATTCCCTCTCTCTCTGCAGGCGAAGGTACTTATGCCTCAGGTCCATACCAAAAGAGGGTGGAGGTAGGGAGAAGGGAAGGTCAAGGCAGACCCTCCTCTTATTAAAGTGAACTGAAGTGTAGACCGAAGCCATGAGCCTTAGAGAGAAGCAGCTAAATGCAGGCACTGGTACTGGTCTGACCAGACCTGAGCCCTTCTCTGCAAGGTTTTTCCAGGAGTTAGGGGATTTTGTTTGTTTGGTTGGGCTGGCTGGTTGTTGGTTAGTTGTTCCAGTAGTAGGAAATGTTTAGAGCCTCAAAAACAAGCCGAATTTCTTTCGCAGTCCTTTTTCCTTGCAAAAGCCCGGCAGGCAATCAGAGGTAGGAGTTCATTATTCTGACAGGAACCAATTATCAACAGTTAGCAGAGGACAGGCAAAACCCCAGAGGGAAAAGGGTCCTTTCTCCCTTGAACACTGAATAAATTGAATTCAAGAGATAGTTTAACCTAGTAAGTATTCCTAAATTGTTGTTAGGATGCAAAGGTGAGGCCCCATGAGATAGCAAATAAATACGCTTTTCATTTTTCAGAAGATGAACCTGATGCCTAGAGTTCAAGAAAGATTTGCAACCACTGAGTGACAGAACTAGCTGCATTGGGATTGATAAGCAGAGAAACAAAAAAGAAAATACACTCCCCGTAGTAAACTGTAAACATGAAACAGAGCAGAACAGCAAAGAGGAAGAAAAATAGTAAGCTGACAGAAGTTAGATCAAACCTATGTGTTGGGACAATAAATGTGGGTATGAAAAGCTCACCCATGGGCCAGATGCGGTGGCTCACACCTGTAATCCCAGTACTTTGGGAGGCTGAGGGGAGTGGATCATTTGAGGTCAGGAGTTCGAGGCCAGCTTGGCCAAAATGGTGAAACCACATCTCTATTAAAAATACAAAAATTAGCCAGGCGTGGTAGTGCACACCGGTAATCTCAGCTACTTTGGAGGCTGAGGCAGGAGAATCACTTGAGGAGAATTGCTTGAACCTGGGAGGCAGAGGTTGCAGTGAGCCAAAATTGTGCCACTGCACTCCAGCCTGGGCAACTCCATCTCAAAATATACACACAAGCAAACAAGAAAAAGTTCACCCATGAAACAGAAAAATTCTTAGAATGCCTCAGACACAAACAGTTTTTCAGCATATGCTTTATGCTTTGTTTCCTTATACTCTTACTAGTCAATTACATTAACAGATTTTCTGATGTTGAATCATCCCTTAATAACTAGAATCCACTCTATTTTGCCATGATATGTGATATTTTGATACATTAATCAATTCAACCTGATAATCATTTAAAACTGTTTTGAACCATGAAAAGTCTGAGATTTTTAACCCACTTGCAAGCTAACAAGTTAGCCTGCTATAGTGTCATGCATATTGACAAAATACGAGACTCCTGGGTCAGAGGCAAAGGACTTCATTACTCACAGCATAGCAAGTGGCATAAACATCATGTTCCCTTGGATTCCCTTGCCCCACAAGTACCACAGGAACAGAGTGAAGGGGCCGGAACGGATGCTATACACACAGCAGGGCTTGTGCCACAGCTAAGCAACTCCAAGCTTAGGGAGACTAAATCTTTTATAAAGAGAAGTTAACAAAGCTACTAGAGGGAAACATTATTTGTATCACACTAGGCAGTAAGCAAACCTGTGTTCTGCTCAGGATAGAGGTTCTATCACTATCTTCCGAAGTTGTTGATTGTACAAACATCTTCGAAAATATAGTCTGGGGCCGGGCACGGTGGCTCACGCCTGTAATCCCAGCACTTCGGGAGGCCGAGGCGGCTGGATCACCTGAGGTCAGGAGTTCGATACCAGCCTGACCAAAGTGGTGAAACCCTGTCTCTACTAAAAAAATACAAAAATTAGCCAGGTACGGTGGTAGGTGCCTGTAATCCCAGCTACTCGGGAGACTGAGGCAGGAGAATCACTTGAACCCGGGAGGTGGAGGTTGCAGTGAACTAAGATTGCGCCATCACACTCCAGCCTGGGGGACAAGAGCGAGACTTTGTCTCAAAAAAAAAAAAAAAAAGAAAATATAGTCCGGAACAAAAGAGCAGTTAGTACCTCTGTTTGTAAGACATGCAGAAACACAAGAGACCCACAGAGTGTCTCCCAACAGAATTTTGTGTACATTGGCATATATTTGTAAGTGAAATTTATCTATAGTTTTTTTTTTTTTTTTTTTTTGGAGAGCTATTCAGTTTGAGAGGAATCAGTATTTTGCTAGCTCCATAGAAAATATTAATAAATTATCATATTTGTACACATTTAAAGAAAACATTGGGATAATATAGTCTTCAAAGCATTATAGAGCTTACTTATATAATTGTCTTGGTCTAGTACCTTTCTTGGGTATACATTTTTGATCACCATTTGAATTTCTTCAGTGGGTATTGATCTTTCAGAACTCCTGCCTCATCAGTCTGTGTTTTTGTTTTTTTGTTTTGTTTTGTTTTGTTTGTTTGTTTGTTTGTTTGTTTGAGATGGAGTCTTGCTCTGTCACCCAGGCTGGGGTGCAATGTCGTGATCTCGGCTCACTGCAACCTCCGCCTCCCCGGTTCAAGCAATTCTCCTGCCTCAGCCTCCTGAGCAGCTGGGACTACAGGCACCCACCACCGTGCCCACCACCACGCCCAGCTAATTTTTGTAGTTTTAGTAGACATGGGGTTTCACCATGTTGGCCAGGCTGGTCCTGAACTCCTGACCTCAGGTGATCTGCCTGGCTCGGCCTCCCAAAGGGTTGGGATTACAGGCATGAGCCACCATGCCCGGCTGAGGTTGTAATAATTTACTAAGTAGACTCATGCAACCCTGGATCCAACTTTAGCCCACGCTAAATAATGTTAAGATATCAGAAACATTTGGCATATGACAGATGCAAGATGGATGCGAGATTCCTTTCATATCCACATTTAGCTTTCCAGTTAAGCAAGTGTAAAACAGTGAAGGGCTTGAATCATAGTAATATGTTATAGACTTAATCTGGTAATAACTAGCAATTCCCCTTCTAGATGTGGTCTTTCTATTGGAGAAAATCAAAATAGCCTTTCGTATTTGATATGGAAGTATTTATGTGACAATGCTGTATTTTTCTTAATTTAAGAAACAGAGGAAATTGGAGGTAGTTTGCATTCATCAGGTAGGGGTAGCTATAGACCTTTACTGCTCTGCCTGGAGGGTATGCTAAATCTCAAAGTGCATGCCACAGGTTTTATCTGCTGATAACTTTACCATTTATTACCCCACAGGTCATTACTAGTTCTCTCCAATAGTGACACAATAATAATGGAGAGCAAGAAGTAGATATCCATACATGTCTTTATAAAATAAAATATGAGAAAGCAGAAAATAAATCTTCAAAACTTACAGGGCTGCTTACCTAGTGAAGTTTCTATAGGTCACATAATCTGAAGTTTGACAAAATATGCCCTCTAATGTGACAGATTCCAATCATCTGCACCCCCTACAATGAAGAAAGAAGTACAGTGCTTGATGGGTCAACATATGCAGTAATCCCCCATCCATGGTTTCGCTTTCCATAGTTTCAATCACTTCAGGTCAATTGAGGTCCAAAAATAGTTGAGTACAAACTGGCTGCAGGGCTCCCACCTATAATCCTAGGTACTCGGGAGGTGGAGGCAGAAGGATTGCTTGAGGCCAGGAGTTCAAGATAAGCCTTGGCCGGGTGTGATAGCTCACACCTGTAATCCCAACACTTTGGGAAACACAGGCGAGCAAATCACCTGAGGTCAGAAGTTCGGGACCAGCCTGGCCAACATGGCAAAACCCCACCTCTACTAAAAAATACAAAAAAATTAGCCGGGCATGGTGGTGGATGCCCGTAATCCCAGCTACTTGGGAGGCTGAGGCAGGAGAATCACTTGAATCTGGAAGGTGGAGGTTTCAATGAGCCAAGATCGTGCCACTACACTCTAGCCTGGGCGACAGAGTGAGATTCCATCTCAAAAAAAAAAAAAAAAACACAAAAAAAACAAAAACAAAACAAAACAAAACCAGCCTGGACAACATAGCTGAGACCTTGTTTCTAAAATAAATAAATAAATAATGTTTTTAAAAACAGGTGAGTACACACTAGGCATGGTGGCTCATGCCTGTAATCCCAACACTTTGGGAGGCCAAGGCAGTCGGATGACTTGTGGTCAGGAGTTCGAGACCAGCCTGGCCAACATAGTGAAACTCTGTCTCTACTAAAAATACAAAAAAATAGCCAGGGGTGGTGGCGGGTGTCTGTAATCCCAGCTACTCGGGAGGCTGAGGCAGGAGAATCATTTGAACCTGGGAAGCAGAGGTTGCAGTGGGCAGAGATTGTGGCACAACACTCCAGCCTGGGCAACAGAGCAAGACTCTGTCTCAAATAAATAAATAAATAATAGGTGAGTATAGTACAATAAGATATTTAGAGAGAGGGGGAGGGAGAGATTACATTTGCATAACTTTATTACAACATATTGTTATAATTGTTCTATTTTATTATTGTTGTTAATCTTGTACTGTGCCTAATTTATAAAATAAACTTTATCATAGGTATGTATGTATGTATAAGAAAAAGCATAGTGGCCGGGTGTGGTGGCTCACACCTGTAATCCCAGCACTTTGGGAGGCCGAGGCAGGCAGATCACCTGAGGTCAGGAGTTCAAGGCCAGCCTGGCCAACATGGTGAAACCCTGTCTCTACTAAAATACAAAATTAGCCAGGCATGATGGCGGGTGCCTGTAATCCCAGCTACTCAGAAGGCTGAGATGGGAGAATCGCTTAAACACAGGAGATGGTGGTTGCAGTGAGCTGAGATCGTGCCACTGCACTCCAGCCTGGGAGGCTGAGCGAGATTCTGTCTCAAAAAAAAAAAAAAAAGAAAAAAAGAAAAAACATAGTAGTATATATAAGATTCAGAACTATCTGTGGTTTTAGGGATCCACTAGGGGTCTTGGAACATATCCCCTGTAGATAAGGGATTACTGTAGTTATTTGTTTGTCCTGCCCCAAGGATGAATCTATAATCTGACATCCTTGAGTGAAGTCCAGAGAAAGAGGAAACTCTCTAGCTTACCCTAAATTGTATAATAAGTAGCTCTGCCACCTATCTCAATATATACTTCGTGCTTCACGTGTCTACAGCAGGTAAGAAGGCTTTATGGAGTCCATGGCAAGCTTTAGCAGAATAATTATGGAAGTTACTAAAATTTTAGAATGAAAGCATGCCTCTTTCAATATATAATTCTTCTCCTTTTAAGATGCAATTCTTTTTTTCTTTTTGAGACAGAGTCTTGCTCTGTGGCTCAGGCTGGAGTGCAGTGGCGTGATAGCTCACTGCAACCTCCACCTCCTGGGTTCAAGCGATTCTCCTGCCTCAGCCTCCCACGTACCTGGGATTACAGGCATGCGCCACCATGCCCAGCTAATTTTTGTATTTTTAGTAGAGACGGGGTTTCACCATGTTGGCCAGGCTGGTCTTGAACTCCTAACCTCAGGTGATCTGCCCGCCTCAGCCTCCCAAAGTGCTGGGATAACAGGCATGAGCCACCGTGCCCAGCCTAGATTTAGATTTGTGTTCTGCATTTCATGCCTGTACCAGAAATACCACCTATGTACTTTACTGAATGAATATCATACACTGTGACGGTAAACCATACAACATACAACATTACCTTCCACAAAGAAATTCACTTCATAGGCCGGGCACAGTGGCTCATGCCTGTAATCCCAGCACTTTGGGAGGCCGAGGCAGGCAGATCATGAGGTCAGGAGATCGAGACTAGCCTGGGTAACATGGTAAAATCCCATCACTACTAAAAATACAAAAAAATTAGCCGGGCTTGGTGGCACGCACCTGTAATCTCAGCTACTCATGAGGCTGAGGCAGGAGAATGGCTTGAACCCGGGAGGTGGAGGTTGCAGTGAGCCAAGATGGCGCCACTGCACTCCAGCCTGGATGACAGAGTGAGACTCCATCTAAAAAAGAAAAGAAAAAAAAAAAAAAAAAAGAAATTCACTTCATAATAAACAAAGTAAGCAAATGAGATGACACCCAAAGGATTTATTGGTCCTCCCATGTTCCCCATCAGTCAGAAAGAGCTGCTCTTGTAGAATGCTATTCAACACTCGGTTTAAGAAACTAACCTGCTGGTGTAGAATGGAAGTACGTTTTAAAAAGAAAAGAAAAAGAAAAAAGAAATTAACTTGGAGTCAACATCTTGAAGGTTGGAATATTATCTTACAAGATGCCAGCAAAAGTAATGGCGCTCTTTCTCACAAAGCAAAAATAAAATGACCAGAGAACAAAGGGGTGGAGCTTGGGAATCATACCTCTCATAATTATACCAAATGAGAGACTTAACAATGTTTGCTTCCCATTCCAAAAGCTCTGGGCTCTGATGATTTAGAAGAAGGACGGATTTTGCTTATATTAAGGACACAATAATGATTCAAACTGAATTGGGAGCTAAGACAGCCCCTTGTCCATTTTGAGGTCTCAAAGAAAGGAAGGAAGAGAGGAATGGGAGAAGAGAAAAGGAGCAAATGGAGAGTGAGAAAGATGGAGAGGAGTGGGAGAGGCAGGGAGATCAAGATTTTCTTATAGTTCTGGAGGTTGGTTTTTTATTGTTGTTGTTTTCTTTTTTCTTTTTCTTTTTCTTTTTTTTTTTTTTTTTGAGACGGAGTATTTCTCTGTCACCCAGGGTGGAGTGCAGTGGTGTGATCTCAGCTCACTGCAACCTCTGCCTCCTGGGTTCAAGCGATTCTCCCGCAGCCTCCTGAGTAGCTGGGATTACAGGCATTGCCACCATGGCCAGCTAACTTTCGTATTTTTGTAGAGATGGGGTTTCACCATGTTGGCCAGGCTGGTCTTGAACTCCTGCCTGAGTTCCACAGGTGATCCACCTGCCTCGGCCTCTGAGTGCTGAGATTACAGGCATAAGCCACAACGCCCAGCCAAGCTCTGGAGGTTGGAAGTCTAAGACCAGGGTGCCTATATGGTTGGGTTCTGGTGAGGGTCTTTTCCTGGCTTGCAATAGCCGACATCTGGCTACATCCTCAGACCACAGAGAGAGATAGAAAGAGCAAGAGTATCTCTTCTTATAAGAACACTAATCCTGTCAGGAGGTCCCCATCCTCATGATCTCATCTATACCTAATTATCTCCCAAAGCCCCCATTTCCAAATCCCAACACATTGAGGGTTAGGGCTTCAACATACGAATTTTGGGGAAAAGATATCTGGCCCATAGTGCCATCTTAATTAAGTGATAAAATCCACCAATAACAGGACAAATTGATATCACATGTCTTCTAATATGATGCAATAAGAACAAGATTACTTCTGTGAAATTCCTGCTAAAAATACATAACCTGAATTAGTTCATGAGAAAAATATGAAACAAATCCAAATTGAAATACATTCTGCAAAAGAACTGACCTGTTGTCCTCAAAAATGTCACTCATGAAAGACATGGAAACTGAAGAACGGCCCCAAATTGATGAAGACTTAAGAGATGTGACAACTAAATATTATGTGTGATCCTGGGTTGGATCCTAGACCAGAAAGAAAACGTTGGTTACAAAGGACATTATTAAGACAACTAGCATTGGGGTATGGTGGCTCACGCCTGTAATCTCAGCACCTTGTGAAGCTGAAGAGGGTGGGGGCCTTGAGCTTCAAGCTCCTTGATTTCAGGAGTTTGAGACCAGCCTGGGCAACATGGTGAAACCCCGTCTCTACAAAAATTAGCGGGGCATGGCGGCGTGTACCGGTAGTCCCAGTTACTCGGGGGCTGAGGTGGGAGGATTGCTTGAGCCTGCGAGGTCGAGGCTGTAGTGAGCCTAGATTGCAACACTGCCCTCCAGTCTGGGTGACAGAGCAAACCCTGTTTCAAAAAGAAAAAAAAAAAAAGAGAGAGAGAGAGAGAACTAGCAAAATTTGAAAAGGGTCTATGGATTAGTTGTAGTACTTTATCATTATGAATTTCTTGGTTTTGGTAGTTGTATTGTGATTATGTGGCAGAGTATGTTTCTTTGAGGAAAATATACATACTGAAGTATTTATAGGTAATGAAGTGTCATATCTGCAAAGTTCTCTGAAATGATTCTGGGAGAGAGAGAGGTTAAATGTTAATGGAAAATCTGGGTGAAGAATATACAGGAATCTTTGCACTATTCCATGCAACTTTTTTATATACGTGAAATTATTTCAAAATAGATAGTTAGAAACAAACATTGACCTATATAGTGTGTTGGGAAAAAAAGTAACCCCCCCCAAAACAAACAAACAAACAAAAAGATGAGTTTAAACCAGATTAGGGGGTAGTAAGTAAGCTTGAGTTTGACCAGAAGACAAACACCGCAATTGGTATTGTGTATTATGAAGGCGCTCAACTATGAGCCAACAACAGAGTGGGAATACTGGATGCAGTGTTCCTGCTGTAACCCAAGACCCTCAGAAAGGGCCATCATTCTCACATCTTGATAGCACCCCCAGCTGACAGTGGAAGCATACATAAATTGTCTTTGGAGAAAAGCCAGGATTCTCACAGATTTAGATCAACCAAATATGAATTCACAATAAAGGAAATTGACACATAAAGACACAAGTCATAATAAATGACAATAAGCTGAAATCATCAATAGATTTAGACTTCTATAGACTTCAAATATTGGAATTATCAGATATAGAGTATAAAATATGTACAAAAGGTTTATAAAATAAAAGATGGAATTGTAAGGCTAAGTGAACAATAAGAGACTATCCAAGATGCCAACGCCAAGTTGAAAAAGAAACAAATAGAAGTTTTTGAAATTTAAAATGGTATTGCTGAAATTTAAGAATCAATGGAAGATAAGTTGGAGTCCAGGGATAAAAGAAGAGAGAAATAGTGACTTGGAAGGTGGAGATAAAAATATTATGGGTCAGGTAACTCAGAGAGACAAGGATTTGAAACATATGATAGAGTGGTTAAATATATGGAATGAGAAATGTAACATATATGTAATCATAGTCTCAGAAGCAGAGAATGGAGGAGAGGTAATATGTAAATAAATTATGACTAAGAAGTTTTCAGAACAGTTAAAAGTCATGAGTCCACAAAGGAGGACAACATATACCAAGCAAGGTAAACAAAAATAAATTCACATCTATATATGTTTTAGTGAAACTGTAGAATACCAAAGGCAAAGATAACATCTTCAAAGCAGCCAGAGAGAGAAGACCATTCCTCTCAAAGAGATGAGAGTTATTCAGACAGCTGTTAACAAAGGCCAGAAGATATGGAATAACATCTCCAAATGGTTGAAAGAAATAAAAGTCAACCTAGATTTCTGTGTCCTGAAATTTTACTGTCTTTCAATATAAGGGCAAAATTAAGCATTTCTATGCTAATAAAATCTTAGGGAGTTTATGGCCAAGAGAACTTCACCAAAAGAACCATTATTAAAAGAAGAGGCTGGATGCGGTGGCTCACGTCTGTAATCCCAGCACTTTGGGAGGCTGAGGAGGGTGGATCACGAGGTCAGGAGATGGAGACCATCCTGGCTAACACGGTGAAACTCCATCTCTACTAAAAATACAAAAAATTAGCCGGGCATGGTGGTGGGCGCCTGTGGTCCCAGCTACTTGGGAGGCTGAGGCAGGAGAATGGCGTGAACCCGGGAGGCGGAGCTTGCAGTGAGCCGAGATTGTGCCACTGCACTCCAGCCTGGGTGACAGAGCAAGACTCCGTCTCAAAAAAAAAAAAAAAAAAATCAAAGCAAAGTTGTTTTTTTTTAAAAATACAGCTGTATGGCCAGGAGAAGTGGCTCACACCTATGATCCAGCACTTTGAGAGGCTGAGGCAGGAGTACTATTTGAGGCCAGGAGTTGAAAACCAGCTGTGGTAACATAGTGAGATCCCATCTCTATTAAAAAAAAAAAAAAATTAAAAGACAGAGAAAAGGCCGGGCTTAGTGGCTCACAGCTGTAATTCCAGCACTTTGGGAGGCCGAGGTGGGCGGATCATGAGGTCAAGAGATCGAGACCATCCTGCCCAATATGGTGAAAACCTGTCTTTACTAAAAATACAAAAATTAGCTAGGCGTGGTGGCATGTGCCTGTAGTCCCAGCTACTCGGGAGGCTGAGGCAGGAGAATTGCTTGAACCCGGCAGGAGGATGTGCAGTGAGCTGAGATTGTGCCACTGCACTCCAGCCAGGTGACAGAAAGAGACTCCGTCACAAAAAAAAAAAAAAAAAAAAAAAAAGACAGGGTGAAAAGTATACCTATAAGATTTACTTCAGCAAGAAGGGAATGATACCTGAAGAAATGCAAAAAGAGATAGAACACAGGCCGGGCATGGTGACTCATGCCTGTAATCTCAGCACTTTGGGAGGCTGAGGCAGGCAGATCATCTGAGGTCAGGAGTTCCAGACCAGCCCGGCTAACATGGCAAAATCCCATCTCTACTAAAAATATAAAACTTAGCCAGATGTGGTGGCACTCACCTGTGGCTACTTGGGAGGCAGAAGACACAAGAATCGCTTGAACCCAGAGGAGCAGAGGTTGCAGTGAGCCAATAACAGACCACTGCACTCTAGTCTGGGTGACAGAGCAAGAATCCATCTCAAAAAAAAAAAGGGGATAATGGGATAGTGAGCAAAGAAAGTAATGAACACTTAGGTAAATCTAAACAAATATTGCCCTCATAAAATAATAAAAATACTGTTTAAGGACAAGGGCACTACTTGTTCTCTTCCCAACCCCAATACTCACAGCTTCACCATCAAAATCTGCCTTGTAAGCCATTAGGACTTATCCCATGTGCCCTGGCTCTATTTAGCCAGTCATCAAGAAATCTGAGATTTCTCCATCATCCCAAATCACCTGGACTCACCCTTGTAAACTTCTGTACTGCTTTTTATCTGACATTATCTCCTTAAACCTCCAACACTTCCTCCACCATTCTATTTTTGTTTGTTTGAGACAGGGTCTCTATTGTCCAGGCTGAGTGCAGTGGCACAATCTCAGCTAATCAGAGCCTCCACCTCCCAGGCTCAAACTATCTTCCCACCTCAGCCTCCTGAGTAGCTGCGACTACAGGCATGCACCACCAAGAAGCCCGGCTAATTTTTTTTTTTTTTTTTTTTTAGAGACAGGGTCTTGCTATGTTGCCCAGACTGATCTTGAACTCCTAAGCTCAAGAGATCCTCCCGCCTCGGCCTTCCAGGGTGCTGGGGTTTGTAATCCACAGCACCTGGCTTTTCCACCATTCTTACTTGTTTCCTACTTTCAGTTGATAACTTGGGGAGCCCTCTCTTCCTCTCACACCCCATATCAAATGCATCCGCAACTGTTGTATCAACAGTTATATCAGGTCTCTGGGGTGATATTTGGCCAAGAGGGGTAATCTGGAGCAATCCATGGCTGGGTGAAATTTGGGAACCCCAGGTGCCAGTCTGCCCCACTCCCTGCATGCCTTGTTGCCATGCCTCAGAAAATTGAGGAAATCAAGCACTTTCTGCTCACTGCCTGGCGAAAGGATGCCAAATCTGTCAAGATCAAGAAAAAGAAGGACAGGCCGGGCGTGGTGGCTCATGCCTGTAATCTGAGCACTTTGGGAGGCTGAGGAGGGTGGATCACGAAGTCAGGAGTTCAAGACCAGACTGGCCAATATGGTGAAACCTCATCTCTGCTAAATATACAAAAATTAGCCGGGCATGGTGGCACATGCCTGTAGTCCCAGCTACTCGGGAGGCTGAGTCAGGAGAATTGCTTGAACTCGGGAGGCAGAGGTTGCAGCGAGCCGAGATCGTACCACTGCACTTCAGCCCAGGGGCAGTGTTAGACTCCGTCTCAATAAATAAATAAATAAATAAATAAATAAATAAATAAATAAATAAAAGAAGGACAATGCGAAATTTGAAGTTCAATTTAGCAGATACCTGTCCACCACGGTCATAGGGAAAAAGAGAAGGCAGAGAAACTGAAGCAGTCCCTGCCCCCTAATTTGGCAGTGAAGGAGCTGAAATGAACCATACACACTGATTTGAACTGTATTAAAATACTAACACACACACACAAAAAACAAACAACTATATCAGTTCTTCCTTTAAAATACATCCAGGTACAGGTGTGGTGGCTCACGCCTGTAATCCCAGCACTTTGGGAGGCCGAGGTGGGTGGATCACTTGAGGTCGGGAGTTTGACCAGTGTGGCCAACATGGTAAAACCCCGTCTCCACTAAAAATACTAAAAATTAGCTGGGCATGAGGGCAGGCGCCTGTAGTCCCAGCTACTGGGGAAGTTGAGGCAGGAGAATTGCTTGAACTCAGGGGGCGGAGGTTGCAGTGAGCCATCATCACGCCACTGCACTCCAGCCTGGGCAACAAGAGCGAAACTCCATTTCAATAAACAAACAAATAAATAAATAAATCCAGACTCTGACCAGAATCTCTTCTTCCCTTCCACTGCTACCACCTTGATCCAAACGACCGCTATCTCCTCACAGCCTCCTGCCTGATTTGCCTATCTCAGCCCTCTCTCCTGTACCACTCATTCTCAGACTCCGTAAGCCTGATTTATTCTTCTAAAGCTCAAGTCAGATCCTTCCTCTCCATCTTTTTTGTTTGTTTGTTTGTTTGTTTGTTTGTTTTTGATTCGGAGTCTCACTATGTCGTCTGGGCTGGGACGCGGTGGTGTGATCTCGGCTCGCTGCAACCTCTGCCTCCTGGGTTCAAGCAATTCTCCTGCCTCAGCGTCCTGAGTAGCTGGGTTGGTTAATTTTTGTATTTTTGGTAGAGACGGGATTTCACCATGTTAGCCAGGCTGGTCTCTAACTCCTCACCTCGTGATCCGCCCACCTCGGCCTCCCAAAGTTCTGGGATTACAGGCGTGAGCCATGGTGCCCGGCCTTTTTTTTTTTTTTTTTTTTTTTTTTTTTTTGAGACGGAGTCGTGCTCTGTCACCCAGGCTGGAGTGCAGTGGCGCAATCTTGGCTCACTGTAAGCTCCGCCTTCCGGGTTCACGCCATTCTCCTGCCTCAGCCTCCTGAGTAGCTGGGACTACAGGGGCCCGCCACCATGCCTGGCTAATTTTTTTTGTATTTTTAGTAGAGACAGGGTTTTACCGTGTTAGCCAGGATGGTCTCGCTCTCCTGACCTCGTGATCCGCCTGCCTTGGCCTCCCAAAGTGCTGGGATTACAGGCGTGAGCCACCGCGCCCGGCCCTAATTTTTGTATTTTTCTCAGTAGAGACGGGGTTTCACCATGTTGGCCAGGATGGTCTGGATCTCCTGACCTCGTGATCCGCCCGCCTCGGCCTCCCGAAGTGCTGGGATTACAGGCATGAGCCACAGCGCCCGGCCTTTCCTCTCCCCCACTTAAGAAACATCCTACTGTTGCTTATCATCTCAGAGTAAAAGCCACAGTGCTCACAATAGCGATGAGGCTTTACACCTTCCGTCTTCCCGCACACCCTCTCTGAGCTCATCCCTATCACGTGCTTGTCATGCTCCACCCACCCAAGCATTCTAAGCATTCTTCCATCTGTGGGCCTTTGCATTTGCTCCACCCTCTGCCTTAACCCTCTGCCCTGATAACCCAGCGAGAATTGTACATGAGCTGACATATTTATGCTGCATCAAGGTCACTGTCATCTTACCATATCAAACTGAAAATGTCACTGCTATCTGGACAGTAAGACATGTTTTATTGAGTAAATGATTTTCTCTGTTTCTATGCTTCCGCACTAGTGGTTTGTTTAGTAATAAATATGTGTGACCAGGCCGGGCGCAGTGGCTCACACCTGTAATCCTAGCATTTTGGGAGGCCGAGGCGGGCGGATTGCCTGAGCTCAGGAGTTCGAGACCAGCCTGGGCAACACGATGAAAGACTGTCTCTACTAAAATACAAAGAATTAGCCGGACATGGCGGCATGTGCCTGTAGTCCCAGCTACTCGGAAGGCTGAGGCAGAAGAATTGCTTGAACCGGGGAGGCGGAGGTTGCAGGGAGCCGAGATCTGCCACTGCACTCCAGCCTGGGCAACAAGAGTGAGACTCCATCTCCAAAAAGTAAAAATAAAAATAAATAAATATGTGTGACATTTTATCTGACAAAATAAAAAAAAAGGAAATAAATAAAAACTTGAGTTGTTTTTTCTGGCCTGTTCACTGCCCCTTCCCACCGCAGCACGCTGCCCATGTTTGACCCATCTGGAATGCCTTCTCCTTATCCATTTGGGAGCTTCAGGGAGGCCTTCCACAAAGCCCCAGACCTCAGGCCAAAATCTTAGGGAGTTTATGGCCAAGAGAATTTCACCAAAAGAACCGTTATTAAAAGAAGAAGCCAGGTGCGGTGGCTCACGCCTGTAATCCCAGCACTTTGGGAGGCCTTGTTCTATCTGTAACAACACTCTGAATATTTCCTTTATGGAATCATAGAGTTATTTATACAGTTATTTGCTTAATGGCTATCTCTCCTTTTGGAAATACTTTCATTTGTATTTTAAAATTTTAAATTGTAGTAATTTATTTATTTATGTATTTCTTTATTTATTTTGAGACAGAGTCTCACTCTGTTGCCCAGGCTGGAGTGCAATGGTGCCATTTCACCTCACCACAACCTCCATCTCCTGGATTCAAGCAATTCTCCTGCCTCAGCCTCCTGAGTAGCGGGGATTACAGGCGTGCACTACCACACCTGGCTAATTTTTGTATTTTTGGTAGAGACGGGGTTTCACCATGTTGGCCAGGCTGGCCTTGAACTCCTGACCTCAGGTGATCCGCCGGCCTCAGCCTACGAAAGTGCTGGGATTACAGGCGTGAGCCACTGCGCCGGGCCAAATTGTAGTAATTTATTTTTGAATAGGAAAATATTTACATCATTCACACTGTCAATGATGTACCAAAGGCTGTGCATTGAAGCCTCCTTCCCACTCTTCTCCCAGCCCCTCCACTCACCTCTCCAGGATGTCCATATAACTAGATTCTTGTGTTTCTACAAATAATATTTTATGCATATGTAAACAAACATACACCTATTCTTCCTCTTCCCCACCACCTTTTTTTTTTTTTGCACAAATGGTACTAAATTATATACATTGGTCTTTTTGCTGTCTCCCCTCTCCTGTTGCCTCATGCCTTGTATTCATCTTACTCAGTTATTTATTTAATTCATTTTAGCAACATCTCAAGGGAATAAAGATAAATCCCCATTTCATTTGTCATGTTTAACTAGAAGTTAAATGGAATTTTTTTGTTCTCACTTTTTTTTTTTTTCCTGGACAATCCCTACTGCAGAACTCATTTCTTTTTGTAATCGCTCGTGGGCAGTGTAAAGGAAGGATCTATGTGTTTATCTTCTACCCAACCACTTAAGATTGGCAAAGATGGCCAGGTGTGGTGGCTCACGCCTGTAATCCCAGCACTTTGGGAGGCCGAGGTGGGCGGATCCCTTAAGCCCAGGAGTTCAGGACCAGCTTGGCCAACATGGTGAAACCTCATCTCTACTAAAAATAGAAAAAAATTCCAGGCGTGGTGGTACACGCCTGTAGTCCTAGCTACCCGGGAGGCTGAGATGGGATCACCTGAGCCCGGGAGGTTAAGGCTGCAGTGATTGAGCCATGGTTGCGTCACCGCACTCCAGCCTGGGTGACAGAGAAAGGCCCTGTCTCAGCCGGGCGTGGTGGCTCACGCCTGTAATCCCAGCACTTTGGGAGGCTGAGGCCGGGGATCACTTGAGGTCAGGAGTTTGAGGCCACCCTGGCAAACTTGGTGAAATCCCGTCTCTCCTAAATATACAAAAACATTAGTTGGACTTGGTCATGCACACCTGTAATCCCAGCTACTTGGGAGGCCGAGGCAAGAGAATCGCTTGAACCCAGGAGGCAGAGATTGCAGTGAGCTGAGATTGCGCCACTGCACTTCAGCCTGGGTGAGGCGACAGAGTGAGACTCTATCTCAAAAAAATAAAATAAAATAAAATAAAAGGAAGACCTTGTTTCAAAAATAATAATAATTTTAAAATGAAAAAAATTAGCCAGGCATGGTGGTACACACCTGTAGTCCTAGCTAATCGGGAGGCTAAGGTGGGAGGATTGCTTGAGCTCAGGAGGTCAAGACTACAGTAAGCAGTGATCATGCCAGTGCACTCCAGCCTGGGCAACAGAGCAAGACCTTGTCTCAAAAAAATTTTTTTTGGGGCCAGACACAGTGGCTCACGCCCGTAATCTCAGCACTTTCGGAGGCTGAGGCGGGCAGATCACCTGAGATCAGGAGCTCAAAACCAGCCTGGCCAACATAGTGAAACCCCCTCTCTACAAAAATTAGCTGGGCATGATGGCGGGTGCTTGTAATCCCAGCAACTTGAGAGTCTGAGGCAGGAGAATCACCTGAACCCAGGAGGCGGTGAGCTGAGAGCTCGCCATTGCACTCCAGCCTGGGCGACAAGAGCAAAACACCATGTCAAAAAAAAAAAATTGTTAATTTTGGGCCAGGCACAGTGGCTCACGCCTATAATCCCAGCACTTTGGGAAGCCCAGTCGGGCGGATCGCCTGAGGTCAGGAGTTCAAAACCAGCCTGTTTAACATGATGACACCCCGTCTCTACTAAAAATACAAAAATTAGCTGGGCGTGGTGGTGAGTCCCTGTAATTCCAGCTACTTGGGAGGCTGAGGCAGGAGAATCGCCTGAACCTGGAAGGTGGACGTTGCAGTGAGCCAAGACCATGTCACTGTATTCCAGCCTGGGTGACAGAGTGAGGCTCCATCTCAAAAATAAATAAATAAATAAATAAAAACAAAAACAACCAAAAAAAAAGATTTTGTTAATATTGCAGTGATCTAGAAATTTTGAGTTAAAAAGTCATTAATTTTTGAAAAATTCTCAGCCATTATTATGTCAAATATTTCTTCTGTTCCTTTCTCACTTTCTTCTCTTTTTGGTATTCCTACTACATGTAAGTTATACCTTTCGTAATTGTTCCACAGTTCTTGGATCTTGCATAGTCTGTTCTATCTTTTTCATCATATCTTCCCTTTTCATTTCAGTTTTAGAAGTTCTATTGACATATCTTTTTTTTTTTTTTGACACAGAGTCTCACTCTGTCGCCCAGGCTGGAGTGCAGTGGCATGATCTCGGCTCACTGCAACCCCACCTCCTGGGTTCAAGCAATTCTTCTGCCTCAGCCTCCCGAGTAGGTGGGAGTACAGGTGCACCCCACCACGCCCAGCTAATTTTTGTGCTTTTAGTAGAGACAGGGTTTCACCATATTGGCCAGGCTGGTCTCTAACTCCTGACCTTGTGATCCACTGCCTCGGCCTCCCAAAGTGCTGGGATTACAGGCGTGAGCCACTGCACCCAGCCGACATATCTTTAAGCTCACGGATTCTTCCCTTGGTCATGTCCAGTCTACAGATGAGTAGATGAGCCCATCAAATGCATTCTACCTTTCTCTGTCTCTCTCTCTCTTTTTTTTTTTTTTTTTTTGAGAAGGACTCTCACTCTGTCACCCAGGCTGGAGTGCAGTGGCATGATCTCTGCTCACTGAAACCTGTGCCTCCTGGGTTCAAGCGATTCTCCTGCCTCAGCCTCCCGAGTCACTGGGACTACAGGCAGGCACATTCCACCACACCCGGCTAATTTTTTTTATTTTTTTTATTTTTAGTAGAGATGGGGTTTCACCTTCTTAGCCAAGATGGTCTTGATCTCCTGACCTCGTGATCTGCCCACCTCGGCCTCCCAAAGTGCTGGGATTACAGCTGTGAGCCACTACGCCCGGCCTCTACCTTTCTCTTTTTTTATTTTTTTATTTTTTTTCTTACTATCCCTCCCCCATCCCCCTACCTTTCTCTTGCAGTGTTTTTAATTTCCAGCATTTCCTTCTGATTCTTTCTTAGAGTTTCCATCTTTCTGCTTGCATTACTTATCTGTTCTTGCATGGTGTTCACTTTTTCCATTAGAGGCCTTAGCATGTTAATCATAGTTATTTTAAATTGCAGGTCTGATCATTCCAAAATCTCTGTCATATCTGAGTCTGGTTCTGATGCTTGCTTTATGTCTCCAAATTTCATTTTTTGCCATTTAGCATGCCTTATACAATTTTTTGTTGAAACCTAGACGTGATGCTTCACATTAAAGAAACTGAGGTAGACAGGCCTTTAGGGTAATGCTTTATGATTATTTGGCTAGGAGTTAGGCTGTGTTTACTTTTTATTGTAGCTGTATGTGTTAGAGGTTAAAATTATTTTCCGATGTCCTTGTTGAGCTAGGAGTTAGGCTGTGTTTGCTGTTGTTGTAGCTGTATGTGTTATGGGTTAAAATTATTTTCCAATGTCCTTGTTTTTGTATCCCCTGTTTGCTTTTCTTTCTTTTCTTTCTCTCTCTTTCTTTTCTTTTCCTTCCTTCCTTCCTTCTTTCCTTCCTCCCTCCCTCCCTCCCTCCCTCTCTCTCTCTCTTTCTTTCTTTCTTTCTTTCTTCCTTTCTTCCTTTCTTCCTTTCTTCCTTTCTTTTTTTTCTTTTTTCAGTCTCACTCTGTCACCCAGGCTGGAGTGCAGTGGCATGATCTTGGCTCACTGAAACCTCCACCTCCACCTCCCGGGTCTAAGCAATTCTTCTGCCTCAGCCTCCTGAGTAGCTGGGATTACAGGTGTGCACCACCACACCCGGCTAATTTTTGTATTTTTAATAGAGATGGGGTTTCGCCATGTTGGCCAGGCTGGTCTCAAACTCCTGGCCTCAAGTGATCCACCCACCTCGGTCTTCCAAAGTGCTGGGGTTACAGATGTGAGCCACAGTGCCTGGCCATGTATCCCCTGTTTTCTTTGGGTTTCTCTAGTGACAACTTCTGAAAATAGAGTCTGAGCCTTGCCGTTCTTTTAAATGTAATCCACTGTTATACAGGAGGCCGATTAACATAGTGGTAAGGTGTTGGGGAGGAGGAAGTATTCTATAATCCTATGAGTAGGTCTTTTGGCAAGCCTGTGCCTCTGGGCTGTGACCTTCATAAGTGCTTCTCAGCATTTTTTTCTTTTTCTTTTTTTTTTTTTTTTTTTAGATGGAGTTTGACTCTTGTTTCCCAGGCTGGAGTGCAATGGCATGATCTCAGCTCACCACAACCTCCGCCTCCCGGGTTCAAGCGATTCTCCTGCCTCAGCTTCCCCAGTAGCTGGGATTACAGGCATGCGGCACCACGCCCAGCTAATTTTGTACTTTTAGTGGAGACGGGGTTTCTCCATGTTGGTCAGGCTGGTCTCAAACTCCCGACCTCAGGTGATCCACCTGCCTCAGCCTCCCAAAGTGCTGGGATTACAGGCGTGAGTTTTTAACTCTTTAAGTTTGTCCACAGGCTGAGCCTCCTGCAATCTGTCAATTACAGTTTAAGTTTTTCTATCAGTACAGGCTTCAGCTACTGGTAAGATGTTCTCTGTGCTTCTCGGTAACCACCTCTTTCTCTGGTATTTGGGATGGCAGTTTGCCCTGTGACCTCAATTCTCTGATGAATCTAAGAAAAGTTGTTAGTTTGTTCAGTTTTTTTCTTGTCGTAAGCACAAAAGTGATAACTTCCAAGCTTTTTCACATGTCAGACCAGAAACTAGAAGCCCCTTAATTAATATTTCTACCTCAGTGATTCATAACTTAAATTTCTAGTCTAGGTTTTTCCTCTGAGCTTCTGATCTATCTACACTTCCACTCAAATATCTCAGAGGTAACTCAGTGCAATGTGTCAAGACCAAATTTATGATCTTCTCCTCCCCAAAACAACTAATTTTTCAATTTCCCCTCCTCAGAAATGGCCCTCCTCCCAGCTTAATTCCCAGGCCACAGAATACATCTCTGATGGCTTCCTCACCATATCCAATGCCTTACCAAGTCTTATTGATTTTAATTCCTTGATATCTTTCAAAAGAATCCATGCCTCTTTCTGTTGTCACTATCCTGGTTCAAGTCACTTACCAACAACTGTAATAACTTCCTACACTTGTCCACCCCATCCCTGAAGACTCCCCTACCTCACCCACCCATTCAAAATGCAAGTCTGATGATGTGCCACCATGTTGTTCCTGTGTCCCCCAGCCCTCTGTGACAGAGACTTTGTATAAGTGCTGCTCCCTCTGTTTGGAAACGCCCTTTCCCTTCCTGTCTCCTGGTTCACCCATGACCACTTCTTCAGATCTCAATTCAAGCTGCCTGCCCTCAGGGAAACCTTTTCTGACTCCCCAGGCTAGATTCCTGTCCCTCCTTTTATACACTCACAGAAGCCTGCCTGGCCCCTTCATGGCACTTATGCTGCTCTGTAATGACATATTCATTTGTGAATTTATTTAGTGGAAGTCTGTCTCCCCAGTTAGAGTGTAAACTCCAAGAGAGAAGGAAACAAGTCTATCTTACTCACCATTTATCTCCAGCCCCTAACATAAGGGCTCGTACAAAGTAGCTGCTATGAAAGTTTTATTAAATGACTAAATTAAACCTGTCTTCCATATCCTGATACCACCCAGATGTACATAGCCAGCCTGGTCCCCTCTCCTAATCTCGATCTATAGGTTGCAGCTCCTGGTACAAAGTTCCTCCTGGTGATCCACAAAGAATCCTACCTCCTCTGCAGGGCCCGGACCTGGTGAACACCACCACCTTTTACCTGTTGCTTCAGGCAGAACCTGATGGTCATCTCAAACCCTTCCTTCTCCCTCAACTACCACGTTCGGAAACCACAAAGTCTGTTCCCTCCTATCTCCTCAGTATCTCCCAAACCTGCCCATTGTTTTCTTCCACAGCATCCCTACCCTACTTTAGACCACTGTCACCTCTTGCTTATATTTCTACAGTAGCTTCCAGAATGGTCTCCTTAGGAAATCTTGTCCCTTCAAAGGATTATTGACAAAGAACTCTATTTGAAACACAAATTTCATTCTTATTTTATTGTTTATTTATTTTATTTTTTGAGACAGGGTCTCACTCTGTCACTCAGGTTGGACTGCTGTGGTGCGATCATGGCTCACTGCAGCCTTGATCTCCCTGGCTAAAGCGATCCTCCCACCTCAGCCTCCTCGGTAGCTGGGACTACAGGTCTGTGCCACCAGGCTTGGCTAATTTTTTGTATTTTTTTTTTTTTTGTATAGGCGGTATTTCGCCATGTTGCCCAGACAGGTCTCAAAGTCCTGGGCTCAAGCAATCTGCCTGTCTCCGCCTCCCAAAGTGCTAGGATTACAGGCTTGAGCCACCACACACAACCCAAATTTCATTCTTAAAATGAATTTATTTTTTTTCTTTTCTTTTTTTTTTTTTCTGAGACAGAGTCTTGTTTCGCTGCCGAGGCTGGAGTGCAGTGGCACGATCTCAGCTCACTGCAAACTCCACCTCCTGGGTTCAACTGATTCTCTTGCCTCAGCCTCCTGAGTAGCTGAGACTATAGGCACACGCCAACACACCTGGCTAATTTTTTTGTATTTTTGGTAGAGACAGGGTTTCACCATGTTGGCTAGGCTGGTCTCGAACTCCTGACCTCAAGTGATCCACCCGCCTTGGCTTCCCAAAATGCTGGGATTACAGGCATGAGCCACCGTGCCCAGCCTAAAATGAATTTCATTCTTAAAATTAGATGACTGGGTGTGGTGGCTTGGTGTGGTGGTCTGTAATCCCAGCACTTTGGGAGACCAAGGCTGATGGGTTGTTTCAGTTCAAGACCAGCCTGAGCAACATAGTGAGACCACCTCTCCCCCCGTTTTTTGTTTGTTTGTTTTTGTTTTTGTTTTTTTGAGATAGAGCCTTCCTCTGTCGCCCAGGCTGGAGTGCAGTGGCATGATCTCGGCTCACTGCAACCTCCGCCTCCTGGGTTCAAGCGATTCTCCTGCCTCAACCTCCCGAGTAGCTGGGACTACAGGCATGTGCCACCATGCACTGCTAATTTTTGTATTTTTAGTAGAGATTGGGGTTTCACCATATTGGCCAGGCTGGTCTCGAACTCCTGACCTCAGGTAATCTGCCCACCTTGGCCTCCCAAAGTTCTAGGATTACAGGTGTGAGCCACCACGTACCAGCCCTACCTCTCCTTTAAAAACAAATTTTTTTTTTTGAGACAGAGTCTTGCTCTGTCGCCAGGCTGGAATGCAGTGGTGCAATCTCGGCTCACTGCAACCTCTGACTCCCTAGTTCAAGCAATTCTCCTGCCTCAGCCTCCCGAGTAGCTGGGATTATAGGCGAATGCCACCACACCCAGGTAATTTTTGTATTTTTAGTAGAGATGGGGTTTCACCATGTTGTCCAGGATGGTCTTGATCTCCTGACCTCATGATCTGCCCACCTTGATCTCCCAGAGTGCTGGGATTACAGGCGTGAGCCACTATACCCAGCCAGGAAAAAAAAAAAAAAAAATTTTAAAGAAAAAAAATTAGATTCTCACTCCCATTCTATTCTGTTCTATCCCATTCTATTTACTTAATGGGCTTTGCAGACCATAGAGCCACCTCCCAGCCTCCACTTCCGTTCCCTGTCTGAGACTCTGCTGTGGGCTGGCCTGCCTCCCTGGGCAGCTTCTTCCAATTCTCCACAGGAGCTGTGTTCTTTCATGTCCCGGCCTCTGCATGGCTTCTTCTACCCACACTTAGTCCTTCCCCTTAGCACCCTTTGTCTGGCTAACCCCTACTCAGGTCAGGGTGTGGGGACTCTCCCAGAGAGTCCCACTGCCCCCCACACTTCCCTGATCAAGGCACTTGTCACCCTGCTGCCAGCCCCTCTTTGCTCCCACTGGAATATAAGTGCCATCCTTACTGGGGCATTGCTTTTGGCTGTGTCTCCCAGTAGGTATAGTAAGCATTTAGTAAAAATCACTGAGCTAATGAAGGAACACTAAATTCAGAAACATCAGAATGAATCGTGATGCTGCCTCTCTAGGGAAATCCTGGCATGTAAGCTGTTAAAAAGGAGGATTACTGCCACACAAGTGCTATCCCCACAACTGCTTCAGTAATGGCAAAACCCTATCATGGTAGGACACATGTGTTCTCACTAGTTCCTGAATCAAGAAAGGTTCATCTAGCGGAACATCAGCGCATAATCTGAGCAGGCTATGGAAGAGGCTGGGGCCCATGGCTGACTTTACTATGATGTGTGGCTGGCATCGTTGGCTGCATGGCAGTTAATCCCATTGTAGGAAAGGTTTTTAAAAGCTTTACTTCAGTGGCAATCTTCTGGCTCTTACCACCAGTCTGTGGGAAAAGGTGCACTGTAACAGCTGCTGTGAATGTTTTCTTACTTTCCCAAAACCTAGCAAAGGGGGAGAGGAGAACTTGAAAGTCTTCTACCTAAGCGAATGCTGGGGGGCAACTGAAGGGTTGATGATCAAAGACTCCAGGTGTTTGGCGGAGGCTCTCAAGTATAGGAGGACACAGGGTAGGTATGAAAATGGGAAGGGGGAAGTAGTGTGTCAGGAAATGGAGATGGCTGAGTTCTAAATCCAGGCTAAACACAGCCAAAATTCTTGAGATTTTACCCATCTTATAAAACTAAAGGAGAAAGATAACTTTGTCTGTTTCCTCTACCCAAGAATGCCAGTCTGGCAAGTGGGGTGTATCATAAACAAAAGTCATGGGAACATGGATGCCCTGAGCATCAGTTTCTCCAAAAGAGGAGGAGGAACTAAGTACCTTTCTCTCAGGATCAATACCACAGTGATCTCACTTAGACAGAGGCTTTTTCACAAACTAGGATGATGGCCAGGCACAGTGGCTCATGCATGTAATCCCAGTATTTTTGGAAGCCGAGGCAGGTGGACCATTTGAAGCTGGGAGTTTGAGACCAGACTGGCCAACATGGGGAAACCCTGTCTCTACTAAAAATACAAAAATTAGCCGGGCCTGGTGGCAGGTGCCTGTAATCCCAGCTACTTGGGAGGCTGAGGCAAGAGAATCACTTGAACCCAGGAGGCAGAGGTTGCAGTGAGCCAAGATCATGCCACTGCACTCCAGCCTGGGTGACAGAGCCAGACCCTGTCTCAAAAAACACACATGGATGGGATTGCCCTTGAGTGTGGCTGGGTGAATCACATCATGGCCCTCACAGGTCCCTCATGCCCTGCTGGCTTCTCACCTCCAGAAATCATCCTATTTATAATATTTGTATTTTGTTTTGAATCAAAGGCTTAGTTAAGGCAGAAAAAAAAAAATCTATAAAATGCAGCCTGAAGTGAGTTGGTGGGGGTGGGGAGGGGCTAGGATGTTCAGGGACAGCTGTTCTGGAAAACAGGCCTTACAGTTGAAGCCAGGCCAGGCACGGCACTCATGCCTATAATCCCGACACTTTGGGAGGCTGAGGTGGGTGAATTGCTTGAGCCAAGGAGTTCAAGACCAGCCTGGGCAACATAGTGAGACCCTATCTCTATTTTAAAAAAAAGAAAAGAGTTGAAGCCAGAGAAGACATGTGGCATTGAGCTCTTGTGGCAGAAGGAAGAATGGCAAAGACCCTTAAAAAGACAAGTTTGGGATGTTTGAGGGGCTACAGATGGTGAGTGGTTGGGAGCGTGTAAGGCAGAGGCAGGAGGGGCAGGAGCTATGGTTCATGCAGGGCCACAGAAGAACCTGGGAGTTTGCTCACCAGTAGACCATTCCAAAAGGTTTTAAGCAGGAAAACAATATAATCGTCTCTATATGTATAAATATCACACTGGCTTCCGAGTGGCGACTGACCTTGGAATAGTAGAAAGGAACGAAATGTGAACAGGAAGGAGCCAAGAGTTGCGGCTGGGAGCCCAGGGAGGAGGCTGCCATGGTCCTCCAGCCAACAGAGGCGGTGATGGCGGCTGAATCCCTGAGATGTCATGGAGCAGTTCTTGTTTCAGGCTTGAATGTGGGGTGTGAGACAGAAATAGAGGAAGCAAAATAAGAGTTAGTAGGTGTTTGGGATGTTGATTAACTGACTTACCTGGTAACTGCAGTTGTTGATGAATGAGTGGACTTCTCTTTCCCGTGAGATTTCCATCCTGGCGGCTATTTGCCAAGACTGCTACTCTGTTCTTACCTTTCCGTAATACAAGGCTAACACACTCACTGCCCAGCGTTGTTGGACAAACAAAATGGAAAATGGATAATACTGATGTCAATCTTTCTGAGAAGAGACAAGTGGAGTAGACACAGAGGCCCTTCTTGTTGTTTCGGTTAGGCCAACACACAGATGAATGTTACCCCTCCCATCAAGCCTGTGGAGTAGATAGTGCTATCATCATTTCACTGAGGGGAAGACTGAGGCCCAGGACTGAGTTTGTATAACTGGGGTATGGCCACAGTGCTTGTGAGTGGGCTCAGGTGTGCAGAGTTGAAGGTGAGTGGTGGTAGAGTAGGGTCAGTTGACATAATCCTTAGAGATGGGAGGGAAAAGAGGACACAAGGCTTGTTAATGCCCTGCTTTCTAATTCCAGTACAGAACAGAGGGACCCCTGCACTGTGGTTTACTGAATGAGTTTCAAGGAAGTAAAGGGGGGTGGGGGG
This sequence comes from Homo sapiens, assembly GCF_000001405.40. Classification (NCBI taxonomy): domain Eukaryota; kingdom Metazoa; phylum Chordata; class Mammalia; order Primates; family Hominidae; genus Homo; species Homo sapiens. The sequence goes on from NC_000002.12 coordinate 88,442,065, forward strand.
AGTGGGGAGACTCCAACACACTCCAACAAAGGAGGTAGCCTTGAACCTCCTTTGAAGTGCAATGCAAAGAAGTCAGTCTCTCCACACAGGACTGGGGTTGAAAGCTGAGAGCCAGGAGTGTAGACACTGATACTGATGCTGATGCTGACTGGTTAGCTTGAATAGAATGTGCCTGGAGGCTGGAAGGGCTGAGGGAACTGACTCTAAGCATGTGCAAAGGCCTGAGGCCGTGAAGCAAGTTCCGCATGACTTGACCCAGTCGCTTCTACAGAAGCACTGTGGCTTTGTACACCCGAAACCATCCTGGTCTGTCTTCTCCCAGCAGAAGCTGCAGCCTCTCGGCCAGACCTGGGGAGCTGTCCTCTACTCTTCCAGGAGGTTAAACCATTTTGTCTCCCATCAGAGCCTCATAGCTAGGTGGGGAAGCTCAGAGCAGCCCCAGGGATCCTCTCTGTCCTGGGTACATCTGTTACTGCCCTGCGTCATGCTTGCTAAGGGTCTGTCTCTTTTTCTGGGTAGTGAGCAACTTAAGTCAGAGAATGGGTCTTAGTCATCTTAGTATCCTCAAAGCCCAGCCCGATGCATGGTGCCCACAGGAGATTTGCTGAGTCAGTGGATACACTTCTTGTGAGGCTCAGGCTCCCAACCAGCATCCCCATCATCTGGCTTTCCTGGGCAGCTTCAGAGCATGAGACCTGAGCCACTGACCTGGCTGCTAGCTGATCCTGAGGAGGAGGACATGCCAAGAAACAGCGACTTCCCTTCCCGTCTTCACAAAAAGGAGCCCCAGATCCAAAATCCAACCTCAGGAAGCATACAGAAAAAAATGCCTGGAAGGAAACATTACTGAATTGGGGCGGCAGGAGCCTGGGTTCCAGGCCCAAGTCTGGAACCAACAAACTGTATGGCTTTTGGCAAGTCACTTAACCTCTCTGTGCCTCTCCCTTCTCCACTTTGAAACAGAGAGGCACTATTGTAGGTTAAGGTCAGGAGGACTCTGACATCACACGGCCTAATTTTGAATCCCTGTTACACCACTTACCTGCAGCAACCACTTAGATCTGTGACCATGGCCCGGTTATACAAACTCCCCAGACCTTAGTATTCTATTGATGAGATGGATAATAACAGTATCTATTTCATAGAGTTGTTGGGATGTTAGTACAGATAGTTTATATTTAATATGTGCTGTAGGGTAGTGCCTGGCACCTGATAAGTGAGTTGTCATTATTGTAATGTTATTATTGTAATGTTGTCTTTTTAAAAATGATGACTGCTATTCATGCCTCCCAGGGTTTTGGTGATGATCTCCTGACATCATGAATAAAAAAGTAGGGAGGAATTCAGTAGGTATCTGGTCTTCTGTGGCCTTTTTTTGTTTTAAAATCTCACAAGAAATTCCTTCTTTTTTCAGCGGAGCCAGCACCCAGCACACACCCCAGCTGACAGCTTTCCATGACAAAGGCAAGACCACCAGGTCTCTAGCCCTGAAGCCAGCAAGTCTCCAGTCTCAGGAAAACATGGGAAGGAGGGGAGGGTTCATTAACAACCTCAAGGTTTCACTACTAGAGCAGCCAAAGAAAATAAAAACCCATTAGACCCTGAGGATTTAGGATCTTTCCAAGTCTGGAAAGTCTCTGGAGGGAAGAGAAGCAGTTTGGGCCTTCGCTCTGAGGTTCAGAGCAAAGCTTGCCCCATTTTGTCCTGGGAGGGACTTGGGGACTTGTGAGCGCCCTCGGGGGATGGAGAGGGTGGTGGGGGGGAGGGGTACAAAGGCACACAGTTCTGAAGCCTCTGGCCTCCCAGACTGCTGTTTTTCCAGTAAGTTCAAGAATGGGATGAAGAATCTAAAAGTGTCAAGAAAGAAATCTGAAACCTGCTTATTAATTCCTCACCTCCTTTGCCGTCTTACTCTGAATGGTTCACTAGGTCCTAAAGGCTGGAAGGCAGCTACTTAAAGTTATAAATGCGCTGCTAAATGTCCTATTATACACAGAACCTCTACAACAGAGAATTATCCAGCCCCAAATATCAGTACTGCTGATGATTGAGAAACCCTGGTCTAGTTAGAGGCAGGTTTCCAGCTATTTCCTTGGAAATGATGGGCTGCATGCAGTCCCCCTGAGGACCACACCCCAGGATGCAGAGCTCTCCTTGAGGCATGAGGCCTCAAAGCACATTTCTTTCTGTAGTAGGTTTTTTGCTGCACTGAAATTCAATTTAATCTAAGTAACAGAACTGTTCATCTATTAGAAATAAACGGGCCGGGCGCGGTGGCTCACCCCTGTAATCTCAGCACTTTGGGAGGCCGAGGCGTGTGAATCACTGGCAGTCAGGAGTTCGAGACCAGCCTGACCAACATGGCAAAACCCTATCTCTACTAAAAATACAAAAATTAGCCGGGCGTGGTGGCATGCGCCCTAGTCCCAGATACTTAGGATGCCAAGGGAGAATTGCTCGAACCCACGAGGCGGAGGTTGCAGTGATGCAGTTAGCCAAGACTGCAACACTGCACTCCAGCCTGGGCAACAGAGTGAGACTCAAAAAAAAAAAAAACAAAAAGCCAAAATGCTCATATGCCTAAAGATCCTCTGAAGAGTAATTGTTTTATTCCAGCCCTTTCAGATGTGGGTAGGTGGAATGAGAAAACCAGTCGTTCACTCTCCCCACAGTGGTTTGTTGCCACGCTGCTCACATCTCTAGTTCTTTAGGACAAAGAAGCTGAAGACAGGAAAGCAGTAATACCCAGGAAGCCAGAAGTGATCCCACTTTAAGTTTATTTCATGTGATTCTTCTTCTCAGCATGCAGTGAACTTTCTTGGGAAAAACTTTTCTTTGCTGCCCCAGTTTACATTATAAATTAATTTACAAATATAGAGTTGTGCTAGAAACAATATTTATATAAGTCCATGATATTTTCATATACAAAAATATCCATAGAAACCGTTTTTTTGTACACATACTGTGGGAGTAGGTAGTCTTTGGTTGTCTTTCTGCATAATGTTAAAAAAGTAATGGTGATGTCATTTGTACCTCAATAAGCTGTTTAGAAAAATAATTTTCTGTATGTATATTTCAAAATAAAAAATTTTTAAAGTAATGCTGTGAGAGTCTCGGGGTGAAAAAATACCCAGGGAATTTTAAATTTTTTTACAATGTGCTTCTGTTCCTGTTTCTAAAAAAGTTAAAACCCCAAACTAGCCATGCTCACATCCAAAAACGTGGTACAAAGGCAACTCATAGGACGATGAATTCATTTTTGTGGAACACCGTTCCCATAAATTTGACAACTACCTGCATTTTAATGAACACTTTTTGAATAAAAAATTTGTTTTTTGAGACAGGGTCTCACTTTGTCACCCAGGCTGTCATACAGTAGCATGATCTCAGCTCACTGCAGCCTCAACTCCCCAGGTTCAAGTGATCCTCCCACCTCAGCCCCCCAAGTAGCTGGCACTACAGGTGCACACCACCACACCTAGCTAATTTTTGTTATTTTTTGTAGAGATGGGGTTTCACCATGTTGCCCAGGCTGGTCTCAAACTCCTGGGCTCAAGTGCTCTGCCCGCTTAGGCTTCCCAAAGGGTTGGGATTACAGGTTTGAGCCACTGCGCCGGCCCTGAATAAATTCTGTCATTCGGCAACTAGTGGATGAGTGTACTGGGCACTCTACTGGGCACTAGAAGGTTGCCCATAAAAATTATTCAAATGATACCTCTGAGAAGAGAGTGCTAAAATAAATAAGATTAAATATATCTTTTTAAAAACTGACCACAAACGGTTTATTGTATTAAAAACTATAAAATCCCATTTCTTCATTGTTTTAAAAATATTTTGTAGACACAGAGTGTTGCTGTGCTGCTCAGGCTGGTCTCAAACTCCTGGACTCAAGCGATCCTCCCACCTCAGTCTCCTAAGTGTTGGGATTACAGGTGTGAACCATTGCACCTGGTCTAAAATTCCATTTAAGAGTTTTTTTTTGGCTAGGTGTGATGGCTCATGCCTTTAATCCCAGTGCTTTGGGAGGCAGAAGTGGGCAGATCGCTTGAGCCCAGGAGTTCAAGACCAGCCTGGGCAACATAGCGAAACCCCATCTCTACACAAAATACAAAAAAACTAGCTAGGTGTGGTGGTGTGCACCTGTAGTCCGAGCTACTCGGGAGGCTGAGATAGGAGGATGGCTTGAACCCAGGAGATTGAGGCTGCAGTGAGCTTTGTGTTTTTTTTTGAAACCCCCATAAAAAAAATTTAAAAAAAATTTAAAAAATTATTTTAAAATAAAAAAATTTAAATTTAAAAATTTACAAATTAAAAAGTTAAAATATTAATTCAAAAATTTAAAAAATTAGCTGGGCATAGTGCACACCTGTGAGCCCAGCTACTGGGGTGGGTTGGGGGAGCTGAGAAGGGGCCACTGTTTGAACCTGGGAAGGTTGAGTCTGCAATGAGCCAAAATCTCACTACTGCACTTCAGCCTGGTTAAGAGAGGCAGACCGTCTCAAAAAACAAAACAAACAAAACAAAACAACAACAACAAAAAACCCACACACACACACAAAAGCTATTTTTAATAAAATTCTAATAATACTTTGTTAGAAAAGGAAACATCCAGGATATAAGCTAAAAGGGAGAGGATGCCAGGCTAACCATTACAAACTAGGACAATTGTCACCCCAGATTTTGGACTATGGCAGCAGGATTCAGACAGAGGTGCCACCCAGGGGAACACACCAGATGACTTTTATTTTCAACTAGAATCTTTGGTCAAATGAGATCTAGCTCCATTCCTTCCCTCTATATACTTATAACTGGCTATGGAGGCTGGTTTCTTGGTTTTGCAGGAAGTAGAATACAGAAGTTACAAGCACCAGCTCTGGAACCAGATTGTCTGGGTCTGATCCTGGCTCCAGTTTACTATCAGTCTCACCTTGGAAAGTGGTCACAACTTTTTTTTAGCCACCTGTGCACATTTGAGCTTGCAATCCTGGTATACAGTGATGACTAAAATAGACAAAGTGACCTAACATCCTGAAGTTTCACTTCCCTTACATGGAAAATGGGGGGTAGTAACAATACCCACCACCCAAGGTTTCTGAGAGGATTAAATGAATACATGACAAGTGCCGAGAACAGTGCCTGGCACACAAGGCTGCTTGTGCCATTTTATTGCCATTAGAATATACCATGTACCAGACAGAGGTGATTTGTGAGCTGCCTATGCATAGCTCAAGGATTTGTGGTGTTGCCTAGGACAGTATGATAAACAACCAAAAAAAAATCTTCAGAGGCAAATGACACAAAGTTGGAGGTTTCCTATAAAAATTCAGATATCTGGCTCTTCTATAAAAATCAGAATGCTGGCTGGGCGCAGTGGCTCACACCTGTAATCCCAGCACTTTGGGAGGCCGAGGCGGGTGGATCACCTGAGGTCAGGAGTTTGAGACCAGCCTGGCCAACAAGGCGAAACCCTATCTCTACTAAAAATACAAAACATTAGCTGGATGTGGTGGCAGGCACCTGTAATCCCAGCTACCCGGAAGACTAAGGCAGGAGAATTGCTTGAACCCAGGAGGCGGAGGTTGCAGCACCACTGCACTCCAGCCTGGGCGACAGAGCCAGACTGTGTCAAAAAAAACCAAAAAAACAAAATCAGAATGCTGCCAGAGGAGAGAAAGAACCAGCTGTTCCCAGCAGCCTTCTACTAGTCAGTCCCAACTACCCTCTACTGCTTCAGTTGCCAACTGATGTTAGTTTTCTCACCCAGTAACTTCGTTGGCTTGTGTTTTTTTAGCCATCTGTACACACTTGAGCTTGCAATCCTGGCATACAGTGATAAACAAAATAGACATGGTCCCCGCCCTCACGGGGCTCACAGGCTACCTATCACAGAAGACAGTGAAACGGATTTCTCTCTGGAGAGGCCCACATGCAGAGAAACCTGTAAAAGCTCGCTGGGTTGTAGCAAGAGTTATCTACTACACCCTCATTACTCCAAGTGTGGTCAAAGGACCACGAGATCACCCAGGAACTCGACAGAAACGCAGAACTCAGGTCCTACCCCAGACCTACTGACTTGGAATCTGCATTCTAATCAGCATGTGTGCACGCCTCAGGTGTGCATACTCAAGTCTGAGAGTCTGCTCTACACCTCGGAGCCCTCTCGGGGGTAGATGAGGCTGTTCACCATGCTAAAGTTGTGGAAAGGGCTGCTGAAGGGGCTGCTTTGCCCCCCGCTGGTGCTGGCAGGGAAAGGGCTGTAATAGGAAGATCTCTGGCCGGTGCTATTGCTGGTGCTATTGCTCAGTTGCAAGGTGTCTGCTGAGGCCTCTGAGATGGAGGTCGGGGAGAACACGCCGCTGGAGGGCAGCTGGGCCCCCTGGATCCCTAGGTGGCGGCTGCCAGGGAGAGCCCGCTGGGTACTCACACTGCTGCTGACACTCAAGGAGCTGAGGCTGCTGAAGAAAGTGTTGAGACAAGGGGTGGAGGTGAGCATGGGTCCTCCAGGAGATGAGGCAGTACTCTTGGTGCCCTCCGGAGGCTCTGGGGAGTGGGAAGGCCTCAGCAGAGTGGAGGGGCTCTCTTCTTCTGGCTTCCCACCCACTCCAGACCCCAATCCTGAGGAGAGCCCTTCTTCGGACTTTGATGTCCCAGCAGCCACTGTGGAGCCATTGCTGGCCTCAGAGCGGCGCTTTCGCTTCCGACGGAAGTTCCCATTGTCAAACATTTTCTCGCAGTTCGGATCAAGAGTCCAATAATTACCCTTTCCTGAGAAGATGAGAAAGACCAAGTTAGAGAAGGACCTATTCAATGCCTGTGTACTCAGCTTCATTTCTGGGAGGAGAGCAGACTCTCATTAGATGCTGACAAAGATGCTCAATTCACTCTAATATTCAAACCAATCCTCTTTCGGGGAAAATGTTACTCTTTGCTTCAGAGAAAAATCCAGAACAAAGATGTTCTGGCCACCTTTACCTCCTCCTGGTGGTGTCTACTACTTAAATCTGAAGACCTAATTCCATTTCTGAGACACTTATAATTAAATCATGTAACACCTTCACTAATTCTAGATCCAAATTGTATGACCTTGCAAAGTCATGGAATTCTGATGCTACTTAAAGTTGAGCGTTAGACTGGGCCAACATAGTGAGATCTCGTGTCTACAAAAAAAAAAAAAAATTGAGCCTCCGTTTCTTTATTTATAAAATAGAGATAAGGATAGTACTAATTTAGTGGATTGACTGTGAGGATTAACTATTTCAGCATAGTAGCTGGCACAGAGTAAGCAGTGCAAAAACAGCACTTAACAATTATTATTCGTTGAAAGTGCATAATTCCCCACCTCTGAGAAAAATGCCCCACCAGACAAAGGCAATTTCAAAATGACAAAAAAAATTATTACTGAGCAACTGTTTTAACCATGCATTGGATGGCATAAATTTTGAGTATGAGGAAGCTCCTGGAATCTACATCCCCTCCTCATTTTGGGCAGGACCTGCCCCTACAAATCCTGCAAATGTTTCACCCATTGGGTAAATAAATTTCAGACACCAGGGCCTCATTTTTCTGCATGTAATGCTAGTTTTGTTCTATTTGCCACAAGTGAGGTAGAAAAGATCTATCATCTTGGAGGATTTTATCTCCCAAAAGCTTTTTTCACTTCTGGCAAAAGAATCCGATGTTTTAAAGTACTGTAGAATGCTTATCTTGTGGTAAGTGCTTTACACGGATAACCTCAGCTACTCCTCACAGCTTTATGGCGATAGGCAATATAACTCCTTCCACTTTTCAGATAGGAGAACTGGGGTGCAGACTGGTTAGTAACTTGTCATATTCCTAAGTTAGCCATGATAGTCAGGATGTAAACAGGCTGGCTCCAGACTCAGCATTTAAAAAAAAAATTATTTATTTATTTATATTCTCTGAGACTGGGTCTCCCTCTGTCACCCAGGCTGGAGTACAGTGGCGTAACCTTGGTTCACTGCAGCCTTGACCTCCTGGCCTCAAGCGATCCTCCCACCTCAGCCTCCCAGAGTAGCTGGTATGACAGGAGTATACCACTATGAATGGCTAAAAGACTCAGCATTCTTGCTGGGCGCTGGCTCACGCCTATAATCCTAGCACTTTGGGAGGCCGAAACGGGTGGGTCACTTGAAGCTTAGCAGTTCGAGACCAGCCTGGATAACATGGGAAAAGCCCATCTCTACATAAAATACAAATTAGCCGGGCACTGTGGCATGCTCCCGTAGTCCCAGCTACTTGGGAGGCTAAGGCAGCAAAATTGTTTGAGCTGGTGAGGCAGAGGTTGCAGTGAGATTGCGCCACTGCACTCTAGCCTGGGCGACAGGAGTGAAATTGTCTCAAAAAAAAAAAAAAAAAACCTCAGCATTCTTAACTAACCACTGGGCTAAGCCGCCTCCACTTGAACCACGTTCTGCAAATAGTTATAGGGAAAAAAATTACATAACTAGAATTTCAATAATATCTCCACCTATCTGGATATGTATATTGTGCCACGTTGGTACCAACTTTTTTGATAAAAAACTAGCCATAGACCCCTGACCTTTTAGAGTGAAGTCTAGAGCAGTTTACACGACAATTTACATGATAATCTTGGGTGGTACAGAAGCCAAATCCAGAGGATGCATCTTCTAGAACTGCATACCCTGCCCAATACAGTAGCCACTAGCCACGCATTATTATTGGGCACTTGAAATATGGCTAGTCAAATTGAGATGTAGTGTAAAATACACAAGGGATTTTGAAGACTTAGTACCGAGAAAATAACAAAGAATCTCATTAGTAATTTTAATATTTGTTATATGTTGAAACAATATTTTGGATTATTTAGTTTGTATCGTATTTCCATTGGAGAGTGCTGGTCTACAGTGACTTCAGGGATGAGCTCATTCTGAGCTCCAGAATAGTCACATAATTTACACAAAATCCTGGATCTCTGTAATGTGCAACTAAAATGGTTTCATCTCTTTTCTCTTTTTCCTATCACAATCCCCTTTCCTTTCCTTGTTCTGGGTTCCTTCTGAAAACCTCAAGTAGGATTCTCTGTTTCTCTCTTCTTGTTAATCATTTCTCCACCTCTACCTCTCAGAGAAGGTTAACACTCACTCCACTGTAACACAGACCTCCTCACTCCAGGAGCAATTGGGCTTAGACCAGAACGCAGCAAATATGGGATATTCATTTCTAAATTTCTAACTAGTTAAGGTACCCAAACTGCAATTTGCAGAACCTCTCTGCTTAAAGTTCTCCCATCCCAGACCCCCGTCTCATGATGCCCGTGCCACTATCTCTAGAGGTAGGCATCGTACTTGCTCTATTCAGGACACAGCGAACCTCTCTGGAACCCGATGAGGAGGAAGTGCACCTAGGGACAGCCGGGCTGGACCCCAGTTCTCCCACCGCGTCTTCTGCGAAACGTGATGGAAATCCCAGCTCACACGGATCCCTTTATAACCATCCCTTATCTGAGAGCTCCCTTGTAAGTAGACCCTCCCTTCAAAAGGCCTAAGGAACACCACCCAGGGGTAGCCTTCTGTTCTGGGATACAGATTTTTTTCGTTTCTCTAATTGGCCCGCCTCTGCGAATGTGGATGTAAAGGTCAAGCTCCTTTCTCACTGAGTCTTCCTTCCGAAGATCTCCTGCTCCTTCCCTTTGTCCTCTGGGTTGGGTGGTTATTCCTCCATCCGCTCCCACCCGCAGCCTGGACAAGAAGACTCCTGGCAGATCTTCCAGCCGCACACCGACCCCTGCGCCGGCCCTTGCGACCCGCGTCCGCCCTCCCCGGCTGGGAAGCACCTGCCAGCGGCCCTCACCTGGGTCGTCCTCGTCGCGGGGCACCTTCTTGAAGCAGTCGTTGAGCGACAGGTTGTGGCGGATGGAGTTCTGCCAGCCGGCCTTGCTGCGCTGGTAGAAGGGGAAGCTATCGGCGACGAACTGGTAGATGTGGCTGAGAGTGAGTTTGCGCTCGGGCGCGCTCTGAATGGCCATGGCGATGAGCGCCGAATACGAGTAGGGCGGCCGCACCATCTTCATCAGGTCCTCGCGGCTGGCCATGGACAGCCAGCCCAGCTCCCCGGGCCCCGCGGGCGCGGCGGGCGAGGCGGGCGCGGCGGGCGCGGGCTGCGCGAAGGGCCGCTGAGAGCAGCCGAAGGTGCCGGCGGCAGGCGGTGGCTGCAGAAAGGGCCCGGCCGCGGCCCCGGGGGGCGGCGGCGGCGGCGGAGCGCCCAGGTACGCGGCGGCGGCTGCGGCGGCGGCGGAGGGCGGGCCTCCCACGCCGGGCCCGTTGAGCCACAGGTAGGGGTTGGCGGCGGCGGCCGGCGGCGCGGCGTAGTCGGCCAGCCCGTAAGGCGCCCTGGCTGCCGGGGGGGCGCCCGGGGCGGCGGCGGTGGCGGCGGGCGGGGGCAGGCCGGGCTGCGAATACACTCCGAAGTTGTCGCCGCAGTAGAGGGCCATGTCGGCGGCCGTGGGCGGCTGCGGCGCGGCCGCGGCGAGGGGCGAGCGGGGCTGGTCTCGCCGCTCGGGCGAGAGCATCCCTTTGGGGGCCAACCCTGCGGCTCCGCCTTCACCCGCGCTGGGCGCCCGGTGCTCCGGGCCGGGGTCGGGCGGGTGCTAGCGGAGCGCCTGCTAGCCGGCCTCTTATAACCGAGCCCGGCGCGGCTCCTCCTGGGCCGGCCCGGAGCGGGGCGGTGGCCGCGGGCCTGGGCTCTCCACGCCCCCGCCACGCCCCACCTGCCCGCGCGCCCAAACCCGGAGCCCGCCCGCCCCGCCCCTACCGCCCCTCTGCCCGGGCCCGGGAGCGTCTGGGAGGCCGGCGCCTCCAGGTTTCGGGCAAAAAGCAGCACCCCATTCCTAGCCCACGTTTCTTAACATCATAATAAGTAAAGCCACGAATATTAAAGAGAAGATAACCCGAACAGTACGAATGATTTCTAAAAAGTTAACTTGGGGTGGCCGCTCGGGCCACCTGCCTAGTCATCCTTTTGGCTTTTCTACCTCTTTCCTCCTAACCTTTTGTGATCGAGTCGCGGAATTCACGTCCAGTCTCAACCGATCGGCTTCCAGTCGAAAATAATCGATGTGATTTACAACGCTTTGGGGTATACGGTAGAGGTTATTAACAGGCCCGCTTGGCGTGTCCCCTTCTCCTCGGGGATTCTGTGATTGGAGGAACGGAAATCAGTGTTGAGTTTTTCTAACCAAACTGTAGGTTCGCTCACATTCGGGAAGCATTTATTCGTTTTCTGTGCGGTTTGTACGGGCTTTCGTTGTGATTTGTTATCTTCAAAAACATAAAGGTGAATGTTTTCAAAGACATTTAAATAAGTACCTTCGGAATTAGCATTTTAAACCCGAAAGTTTCAAAGTTTTAAGTAATTTAAACTGTGCAAGAAGCGCTCATTTACAAAAACAGCCTCATCTAACGGGCAGGTCTATGACTTGCCCTCTACTTTTGCTAAGTTTTTTAATGCGTCTCCCTGCCTGGGAAACAAATAAAACCTGTAAAATACTGTGGCGACCTCACGTTCCACGTAATCATCCTCGATTGGCTGGAAACAACAATATGAAAATTGTTTATTTTACTATTAAAAGTATTCCTAAATGTGTTCTTAATACGTGACAGGTCTGAGGTTTTCATTTAACCGAGAGGGAGAGGGCAAACGTTTTTTTCTATTTGCCAATTGCCGACTGGCAGTTCAGAATATTTAATCATTCGGAAACTTCCCTTCTCCTCCAAGGCATTTATTTTCATGATGAAATTAGTTATGTATTTTGGAGGATTTTTTTTTCTTCTGGTGTGTCACCTCTTGAAAATGAAATCCAAAAATATTTAATCAGCAAATTTGGATACCTAAAATGCAAATTACACTTCACATGTCACTATTTAGTCGTCTTTTCTGGGACCAGAAATAAATTATTGTCAACACTTTAAAGCACTGTTTCTATTCAGTCTCCTGGCAAATGCTGTAGAAAAGAATAGTGTTTGTCTTAATTGTCTTATTTTGGTTCAAGGATCTAAAATGTTTTCATAATTTAGATAAGCCCAGTGTTGTTTGTTTTTTTCTTCCTAAATGGCCTAAAATGAAATGAATTTTTTTTTAAATAAGGATGACAACTATGAAAGGAAATTGGAAATTGGAAAACTTTTTTTTTTTTTTGAGACGAAGTCTTGCTCTGTTGTCCAGGGTGCAATGGCGCGATCTCGGGCTCACCGCAACTTCCACCTACGGAGTTCAAGCGATTCTCCTGCCTCAGCCTCCTGAGTAGCTGGGATTACAGGCGCCCGCCACCACACCCAGCTAATTTTTGTATTTTTAGTAGAGATGGGGTTTCACCATGTTGGCCAGGCTGATCTGGAACTCCTGACCTCCGATGATCCACCCGCCTCGGTTTCTCAAAGTGCTGGGATTACAGGCGTGAGCCACGGCACCCAGCTTGGAAAACATTTTAAAATAAGTTATAATACAAAAATTTAATATTTGTTCTTAAATGTAAAGGTCTAAACTAAAAAGAAATTCCAAAAGAAAAGCTGGGAACCTAGATGGCAATAAATTATGAAAAATTTGAAACCGTCTCCCTTTAGTAATTTATGTCCTTAAAAATATAATAATTTATCTTATCTTTTAGCAGATTGCTTGCCCATACATACTTTGTAGTTTTTCTTTAGAGTCAAATTCTTAGCTCAATAGCTCCAAATTATTCTGAGTGAGAGACCATGATGTCAGATTATTCTTTCTTGTTTTGATTAAAGTTTCTCCCTGCGTGGGGTATTTTGTTTCTTAACTGTATGTTAGTGTGTGTGTGTGTGTGTGTGTGTGTGTGTGTGTGTGTGTGTGTGTGTGTGTATACCTTAGTTTTATTTAAAAATGGCAGAGCCACCTAGCGACTCTTCACCTGTGTTACAGCATACATCTCTGTAGTGATCTGTGGGGTGGACGCCCCCTCTAGGGGTTTGGAAGTTACATTTTCATATCTATTTTCAGTCACGTATTAATTAGATATATTTTTATTGGTCATAGCCTAAATTATTGAATATCAAAATCAAAATAATGTTTTTCATCTCTGTTTTTTTAATTAAACAAAAAAAGCATTTGATGAGCTTAAATAAACAGATAAAAACTGTGTTTAAAATGCAAGTTCTCTGTAATAATGTTTTGTTAAATTGCCTTTTACAATATAATCAAGGCAATTGATTAAGACACCTATGCCAGTGTAAAATAAGAATAACCTCACCAACAAGGTGCAACCCTGTCTCTACTAAAAATACAAAAATTAGCCAGGCGTGGTGGCAGGCACCTGTAGTCCCAGCTACTCGGGAGGCTGAGACAGGAGAATTGCTTGAACCCGGGAGGCAGAGGTTGCAGTGAGCCGAGATCGCGCCATTGCACTCCAGCCTGGGCGACCCAGCGGGACTCCGTCTCAAAAAATAGACAGTTGCAGATCGGGCAGGGGGCTCACGGCTGTAATCCCAGTACTTTGCGAGGCCAGGGTGGGCGGATCACTTGAGGTCAGGAGTTAGAGTTAGAGACCAGCCTGACCAACATGTTGAAACCCATCTCTACTAAAATACAAAAATTAGCCAGGTGTGGTGGTGGGCGTCTGTAATTCTAGCTACTGGGGAGGCTGAGGCAGGAGAATCGCTTGAACCTGGAAGGTGGAGGTTGCGGTGAGCCGAGGTAGCGCCATTGCACTCCACCCTGGGCGATGGAGCGAGACTCCGTCGCAAAAAAAAAAAAAAAAAAAAAAGAATAGTAGACAGTTGCATGTTTTCTTCACTGGAAAATAAAACATTTTGGGAAATTATTCAACCCAAAGAAAATATTTATTTTCCACTGCTGATTGGCAACATTCTTGTTGCTTCTTTGAAATGGCAGAGCAGCAATAGTGAATTATAATGGAATGTAGTCATTTTTAATAAATACTGTAATGGAATGTAAAATGTATTACAATCATTAATTTCCAGCATCCTAGAAATATTGGCACATTAGTGTTTGTTAATATTTTTACATATTTCCAAAGGAAGAAAACAGTAATACAAATTGAGAATAGCCTCAGTGCTCTTAACTTTGAATGGCTGCCAACTTGGACCAACATCATGCTGGGCGCAGAGTCAGTCCTTCCTGTCTCAGCACCGTGATTTACTCATATCTGTGAAAAAAAACCCCACAAATAGCAATCTACCCGTGTCTTCTGTCTAGCTTTCTACCTTGCACTAGTTAGTATACCTCTCTGACATCATCAAATATGTAAATCAGAAGCTCTTTGAAGATGAATCTTTGTGTGTAATTATTATTATTATTATATATTTTTTGAGACGGAGTCTCACTCTCTCACCCAGGCGCGGAGTGCAGCTCGGCTCACTGCAAGCTCCACCTCTCAGGTTCAAGTGATTCTCTTGCTTCAGCCTCGAGAGTAGCTGGGATTACAGGCGCCCGCCACCACACCCGGCTAATTTTTTATATTGTTTTTAGTAGAGACGGGGTGTTACCACATTGCCCGGGCAGGTCTCAAACTCTGGACCTCAAGTGATCCGCCTGCCCGGGCCTCCCAAAGTGCTGGGATTACAGGCGTGAGCCGCTGCACCCGGCCTTATAATTTACTTTTTAAAAACACCTTGCACACTATAGAATAAGCAAATATCAATTTTTGAAATATCAATATCTGTTGAATTAATAAGTGGCTACTTACAAATGCCTCATTGGAACAAAAATGAGCCTATTCAAGGAAGTGTAAAAGTACACACCCACAAAACAAACAAATCCCAAAATGGGACCTGGGAAAAATTTCTATAGCAAAAAAGAGTAGAAGCATTATCCAATTTTGGAGAAAATGCCCCACTCTGAAAATAATTTACTAGAGTGGTGGGAAGATTTTAGAAAATGTCTGCTTTTTGTTTTCAGTACAGCGTAAGAAAGTTTGGCCTTTATGAAACAAGACGTTAAGATAAGATGAAAAACAAGCAAACTTTGGTACAAGTAGAGATGAAAAAGGAGGTGAGAAAAGAATGCAAGAAAACTTGAATTGTGATAGAATACAGCTTTCAGAGTAAGAGACCAAAATATGTAAAGTTAATTAGTGCATTTATTGTTTTGAGGAAAGGATGCTTTATTTAAGGAAAGATGTTGCGATAACTGAAGCTGGATCCACTACCTGATGCCTTATTTGGTGTCTTTTTTTTTTTTTTTTTTTGAGACAGAGTGTCATCCCATCACTTAAGCTGGAGTGCAGTGGCACGATCTTGACTCACTGCAACCTCCGCCTCCCAGGTTCAAGCGATTCTCCTGCCTCAGCCTCCCAAGTAGCTGGAATTACAGGCGCCCACCACCATGCCCAGCTAATTTTTGTATTTTTAGTAGAGATAAGGTTATACCATGTTGGCCAGGCTGGTCTCTAACGCCTGACCTCAAGTGATCTGCTTGCCTCAACCTCCCAAAGTGCTGGGATTATAGATAGAAGTAAGCCTCTGCACCTGGCCTGGTGTCATTTTTTTCCAACTTCTTTTTTTTCTTTTGAAACTAAGTTTTGCTCTGGTTGCCCAGGCTGGAGTGCAATGGCGTGATCTCGGCTCACCACAACCTCCGCCTCCCGGGCTCAAGCCGTTCTCCTGCCTCAGCCTCTTGAGTAACTAGGATTACAGGTGCCTGCCACCACGCCCGGCTAATTTTTTGTATTTTTAGTAGCGACTGGGTGTCACTATGTTGGTCAGGCTCGTTTTGAACTCCTGACCTCATGATCTGCCTGCCTTGGCCTCCCAAAGTGCTGGTACTACAGACGTGAGCCACCACACCCAGCCTATTTTTTTCCAACTTCTGACCACTCGGTTCTCATTTTAAAGTTGGTAGTGTCATTAGAGAGGGGCAAACTGAACAGCCTCTCTCCCGTTCCTTTGATACCTCAAAGGCTGTGACTTGCAGACTGAAACAGAACTCAGAAGGACTATTTATTTGCTCCTTTAACAAATATTTACACTTTACTTACCGAGTCTAGTGTTCGTGGGAAACTGAGGCAGCCCTTTCCCCCCATGAAGGCAAGCTTTCCACTAATGTGGCATTTGTTTTCTGTTCCACGAGTCCCTTTCCCTTCCAAGCTCTTTATGTTGACATTAACCAAACTACCCCTGCCAGTTACCCCACTCAGCCACCTGGGAGTTGGAAAGACTGGAGTGAGCTACAAATACAGAGTGGACAAAAATGAAACCCAGGGCGTGCAGAAGCAGGGGTATGGCCCAGGAACCACCCAGCCATATACCAGCCGACACCGGAGACCTATGGCCCTTTTTCCACTGCAAACATTAGCCATATGAAGTCTAGCAAAAAGGATGAATCCTGAGCATTCTAGAAGCCTAAGCGTCTGAGGATCCCATGGAAGTTCCATACACTTAATCCAGGAAAATAAGAGAAAAAAATGATCAGCCAAAATATTGATGCTCCAGCAATTCCTGTGCCTGAGCAAAGGTTGTTAATCTGCGGTTCCTCTGCTTGAACCTGAAGCCCCTTCCCCTTGTGAGTCTCCCTCCTCTCATATCTCTGGAATGCTTCCTGGCCCCTTGGCTCCAGCTGATTAACCTCATTCTTGAGCTTCCTCAGCTAACTTCTCACACTCCTCCTTCTGCTTTTGCCCCAGCCTCCCAGTGAGTCTTCAGCTTTCCTCCAAGATCCGAGATCCAAGATCTTTTCTGAAAGCTCTGCCCAGACTGAAAAATGGCTCCCCCAGGATCCTCCCATGGTGTCCTCCCCTGCAGGGATCTCCACTGAAGGCTGCATTTCCCTCCACTCCTCCCACCTCAGGGCCAGAAGGCAGATTGGTATCATCTGTGCTCACTAATGCCCCTGCCTGAACATTCTTTCTCCTCTCTCTTACCAAAAACTCCTTCAAGTCTTTTAGCTGTTCTGCCTTCTCTCCCTCCTCCTTCTTCATTAGACTTCACTCTCTGGTCCACACTCTTCCAGTCTCCCCCAAGCCCTCCATCATGATGGGGTGACCCAGCATCCTCCGATGACTCATCAATTGACCCAGCCCCCCATTTTCAATAATCAACACTTCTGCAGTTTAGCCACCCACTATCCCAGATGTTCTCCGAGAATGGGGATTGTTTCTTTTTGCTCATATATTTTTAGAGCTAACAGTTATGACACATGTACTAAAAACCTGGCACTGTGCTGGGCACCCTACATGCATTGTCCCATTTAATTCTCACAGTGATCCTATGGGATAAGAACTGTTATTCCACATTTTACAGAAAAAGCAACAGACATAAAGAGATTAAGTAACTTCACTAGGGTCCCCCAACTTATAAGTATGCAGCTGGGGTTCAAACCTAGGCAGTCTGTCT
The DNA here is from genome assembly GCF_000001405.40 of Homo sapiens. Lineage (NCBI taxonomy): Eukaryota > Metazoa > Chordata > Mammalia > Primates > Hominidae > Homo > Homo sapiens. The sequence goes on from NC_000002.12 coordinate 88,459,413, forward strand.
GGAGAGTACATGCTATTAGAACGCAGCTTGAACTGTCTCACCCATGATTTCCCCAGGCTCAGTCCACTGCCTGACTTTAATGCATCTTCAACTGTTGTTTGTTGCTTGAATAAATTAAAAAGCATTAAATGGTATTTTTTAAAACGATATAAAAAATTTTTGCACACAGACGTGTGCAGGGCGAAGAACATGTGGAGATACAGGAAGACAACCCTCTGCAAGCCGAGAGAGGCCCTCAGGGAAAACCAATCTGCCAACACCTTGATCTTGGACTTCTAGCCCCAAGAACTATGAGGAAATGCATTTCTGTTCTTTTTTTTTTTTTTTTTTTTTGTGAGATAGAGTCTGGCTCTGTTGCCCAGGCTGGGGTGCAATGGCACGATCTTGGCTTATTGCAACCTCTGCCTCCTGGGTTCAAGCAATTCTCCTGCCTCAGCCTCCCAGGTAGCTGGGATTACAGGCATCTGCCACAACACCCAGCTAATTTTTGTATTTTTAATAGAGATGGGGTTTTACCATGTTGGCCAGGCTGGTCCTGAACTCCTGACCTCTGGTGATCTGTCCACCTCGGCCTCCCAAAGTGCTGGTATTACAGGCGTAAGCCACCGTGCCTGGCCACATTTCTGTTCTTTAAGCCATCCAGTCTATGTGATACTTTGTTGTGGCAGCCCTAGCAAACTATTATATAGGTGGGTTTCCATTCCTTCCTCTCTTTTAAAAATTTTAATTACTGTTTTTTTTTTCTTTAGAGACGGAGTCTTGCTCTGTTGCCCAGGCTTGAGTACAGTGGTGAGATATAGCTCAATGTAGCCTCAGACTCCTGGGCTCAAGCCATCCTGCCACCTAAGCCTCCCAAGTAGCTAGGACTACAGGCACATGCCACCATGCCTGGCTAATTTTTTATTTTTATTTTTGTAGAACTGGAGTCTCACTATGTTGCCCAGGCTGATCTGAAACTCCTGGCCTCAAGCCATCCTCCTTCCTTGGGCTCCCAAAGTGCTGGGATTATAGGTGTGAGCCACCATGCCTGGGCCGTCGGCAGAATTCCCTGTAAACCTGCTTTCCTCCTTTGTTCCTGATCTCTATGGAGGGTCTCTTGTTGATCTAGTTATCTAAGCCAGAGAATTTAGGGTCTTCTACCTCAGTGACCAAGTTGTGCCATGATAGCACTTTACTCTCTGTCCCACTGGCAGCATTGAGGTTCATCCACCTTCATTCCCTTCTGGATTACTGCTATCAGTCCCTTGTTGGCCTCCCTGCCTCCTCTTGTGCCTTCCAATCCTCTCTCTACACCACCCTCATAATGATCCGCTAAGAGGGCAGATCCAGTCATGAGCCTCCCGTGCTTCCAACTCTCAGCGGCTCCCACTGCATGACACATGTGATCCTAGCAGAGGCAGCTCATTTAGCCAGCCTTGTCCACACTCTGTGCTGGCCTCATACTCTTCTAAAGCTCACTGTTTTGCCAAATCAGGCATCGTATCATTCATTCTGATATCCTCTTCATGAGTTTTGCTGATTCTCTAAGCCACTTATGCTATTAATTACTTAATGTTTTTCTTTTAATAGATTCAATTTTTAAACTTAAATTCCATTTCCTCCCCCCTCTTTTTTTTTTTTTTTTTTTTGCAGATGAGGTCTCTGTCACCCAGGCTGGAGTGCAGTGGCACGATCTTGGCTCACTGGAACCTCTACCTCCTGAGTTTGAGCGAGCCTCCCACCTCAGCTTCCAGAGTAGCTGGGACCACAGGTGTGCGCCACTATACCTGGCTAAGTTTTGGTATTTTTGGTAGAGACAGAGTTTTGCTATGTTACCCAGGACAGTCTTGAACTCCTGAACACAAGCGATCTGCCTGCAACAGCCTCCCAAAGTGCTGGGATTAGAGGCGTGAGCCACCACACCTGACCCCATTTTTTGAAAAAGAAACCATACAGCATTACTGTAAGTTAAAAATTTGAAAAGATCATTTGCCATAAACAGAAGGTAAACAATATACATAGATCATTAATTGTACTGATAAAATTGTTTCCTGGCTGGGCACTGTGGCTCATCGCCTGTAATCCCAGCACTTTGGGAGGTGGAGGCGGGCAGATCACTTGAGGTAAGGAGTTCGAGACCAGCCTGGCCAACATGGTGAAACTTCAGCTCCACTAAAAATACAAAAATTAGCTGGGTGTAGTGGCGCACGCCTGTAATCCCAGCTACTTGGGAGGCCGAGTCATGAGAATCACTTGAACCTGGGAGGCGGAGGTTGCAGTGAGCTGAGATCGCTCCATTACACTCCAGCCTGGGCGATAAGAGCAAAACTCTGTCTCAAAAAAAAAAAAAAATTGTTTCCTTATGTAATGTTTCAAATGTTTTAAAATGTAAGCATAAATACTGTAATACAAGTTAATTTCATTGATTACTAAAAATCCAACCTAAAAAATAGATCTTCAATAAGAATAGAACTATTATGATCAGTATAGAAACAAAGTGATATTAAATTTAATGAGGATTATTTTCAAATTATGTTATAAATTAGTAAAACAAATTCCATTTTATGAACTTTTTAAAACCAGCATGCCAAGCACCATGGCTCACACCTGTGATCCTAACACTTTGGGAGGCCGAGGTGGGCAGATTGCCTGAGCTTGGGAGTTTGAGACCAGCCTGGGCAACACGTTGAAACCTCATCTCTACTAAAATACAAAAAAAATTAGCCAGGTGTGGTGGCACACGCCTGTAGTCCCAGCTACTCGAGAGGCTGAGGCACAAGAATTGCTTGAACCTGGGAGGCAGAGGTTGCAGTGAGCTGAGATCGTGCCTCTGCCCTCTAGCCTGGGGGACAGAGCAAGACTTTGTCTCAAAAAGCAAAAAAACAAAAAAACCAGCATGAAGAATTGCAGCTCTCATGTGTCTATATGGGAATGGAAAAAGGTATTTAATTGCCCCATTTGATAGGTTTGGCTAACTTTTTATTTTATTTTTATTTTTTATTTTGAGACAGAGTCTCCCTCTGTCACCCAGGCTGGAGTGTAGTGGCGCCATCTCAGCTCACTGCAGCCTCGAACTCCCTGGCTCAAGTGATCCTCCCACCTCAGCCTCCCAAGTAGCTGGGACCACAGGCACATGCCACCACTCCCGACTAATCTTTTTATTTTTTTGTATTTAAATAGAGGCAGGGTCTCACTATGTTGCCCAGGCTAATCTTGAACTCCTGGGCTCAAGCGATACTCCCACTTAGGCCTCCCAAAGTGCTGGGAGTATAGGCATGAGCCACTGTGCCTGGCCTTGCTACCTTTTATTCAATAAATATTTGCTTCCAAAAGCCATCTTAAGTAATCCTAGGATCTGTTGTGAATTTATGTAGATATTAGGTTGGCGTAAAAGTAACTGAAGTTTTTGCCATTACTGTTAATGGCAAAAACCGCAATTACTTTTGCACCAACCTAAGTATAATCCCAGATAATATCCAAAAAGGAATAGAGAAACGATTTCTTGTCCCTGACTACTGTTACTGGACAATGATTATGACAATCTTTTGTCTTGGCCGGGCGCAGTGGCCCACACCTATAATCCTAGCACTTTGGGAGGCCGAGGTGGGCGGATTACTTGAGACCAGCCTGGCCAATATAGTGAAACCCTGTCTCTACTAAAAATACAAAAATTAGCCTGGCGTGGTGGCGCGTGGCTGTAATCCCAGCTACTCAAGAAACTGAGGCACAAGCTGAAACTGGGAGATGGAGGTTGCAGTAAGCTGAGATCATGCTACTGCACTCCAGCCTCAATGACAGAGTGAGACTGCCTCACTCTTTCTTTCTTTCTTTCTTTCATAGAAAGAGAAAGGAAAGAAAGAAAGAAAGAAAGAAAGAAAGAAAGAAAGAAAGAAAGAAAGAGAAAGAAAGAAAGAAAGAAAGAAAGAAAGAAAGAAAGAAAGAAAGAAAGAAAGGAGGGAGGGAGGGAGGGAGGGAGGGAGGGAGGGAGGAAGGAAGGAAGGAAAGAGAAAGAAAGGAGGGAGGGAGAGACTGTCTCATGAAAGAAACAAGGAAGGAAGGAAAGAAAGGAATGGATTATAGAAAGAAAAAAAGAAAGAAAGAAAAGGAAAGAGACTGTCTCACGAAATAAAGAGAAAGAAAAGAAAGAAATAAAAGGGAAAGAAGGAAAGGAAGGAAACCTTTTGTCAGCTGTGTCAAATGGTTTTCATGCCCTGCAAAATGTTTTCAGTAAGCATTTCAGGTGAGTTTATGACCAGGTTCATTTATGAATACAAGAAATATCTATTGAGCATGCCAGACCCTGGCTCTAGCTGTAGGTATAGGTGATAAACAATGAATCCAGGCTGGGTGCGGTAGCTCACACCTATAATCCTAGCACTTTGGGAGGCCAAGGCGGGTGGATCATGAGGTCAGGAGTTCAAGACCAGCCTGGCCAAGATGGTCTCTATTAAAAATACAAAAATTAGCTGGGCGTGGTGGTGGGTGACTGTAATCCCAGCTACTCGGGAGGCTGAGGCACAGAGTTGCTTGAACCAGGGAGGCGGAGGTTGCAATGAGCCTTGATCGCACCACTGCACTCCAGCCTGGGAGACAGAACGAGACTCCATCTCAAAAAAAAAAAAAAAAAAAAAAGAAGATAAACAATGAATCCCTGCTCCCACAGAGCTTCAGACAAGAAGATTCCCAGTCTGCATGACCCAGGGGACCAAGGGACTCAGTGGCCCCGGCCACCCCCTGCCCAGGCTTAACAATTTCGAAGGTCACTTTATCATGCCTGGGAAAACTGAAATAAGCTTGTCTTTTAAGGCTAAATTAGGCTTTCAAATGAGCAGAACTTATCTACAAGATATGCTAATTTGCAAATCCTCACCCAGTCATGCACATGATCTTTATGAAGATAGAATTTCTTCTGGAAAGACTGAATTCTTCCCCTCTCTTACAGAAAGGCATGGGCCGGGTGCGGTGGCTCATGTCTGTAATCTCAGCACTTTGGGATGCGGAGGTGGGAGGATCACTTGAGCCTTGGAGGTGGAGGCTACAGTGAGCCATGATTATACCATTGCACACTCCAGCGTAGGTGATAGAGCAAGACCCTGTCTCAAAAAAATCAAATCAAATCAAATCAAATCAGTGGCTTCATTAGTTTGCTGGCCTACGTTATATATAAAATATCTTTGTATAAGCAACAGATATATTTTATTGACTTCCCATACCTCTTCTTAACCAGCTTCCAATTGAATCCAGACTCATTCTTCTAGTCCCAGCTCTCACAGCCTTTGTATCCTACAGCCTTCTGCTTTGTTTCTACTTTTAAAAATTGGTGATTGCCTTTCATATAATAGGGACCCATAGATGTTTTTGATGACGATGATGATGACTATGACAACAGCTAAGATACCACTGCTGCTGCTGCTGTTGTCGACCGCGATAATATTGGTGACAGCCTTGATTGTATGGCTGCTTCCTGATTCTAGATCTACGTGGATCAACCCCACTAGCCAGGGTTGAGATTGCAGCTGAACTGACCTAATTTTCCAGCCAGTGCTTCCCAGTCCTAGTGTGGAGTCCTTCAGGGGGTTTGTTAAAATGCAGATTCCTTGGCACCGCCCAAGAGCCAAGTCTCCAAGAGAGTCTGTATCTCTAGGGTGGGATGCCTGCAGGCTATGTACTTTTTACCTCCTCCTTCCTCCCCCTGAGTGATTCTGACGCTGTCGAGTTTGGGAGCTTAATTAACTATTTAGAACCTTTAAAATGAAAAGAAATGTTGCTTTATTGACATAAATGATAAACTAGTAATTCCCAAGTTGGGGAGATCTGAGAGGCTCATCAGAATCAAAGTTGTTTTTTTTTTTTGTTTTGTTTTTTTTTTTTTTGGTCTGAGACAGGTTCTTTCTGTGTTGCCCAGGATGGAGTGCAGTGGCACATACACCGCTCACTGCAGCCTTGACCTCCGCGGCTCAAGCGATCCTCCCACCTCATTCTCCCAAGTAGCTGGGACCACAGGTGTGAGCTACCACACCGGGCTAATTTAAAAATTTTTCTGTAGTGACAAGGACTCCCTGTGTTGCCCAGGCTGGCCTCAAACTTCTGGACTCAAGCGATCCTCTTGTCTCAGCCTCCCAAAGTGTTGGGATTACAGGCATGAGCCACCATGCGCAGCATACACTTTTTCAATGTTGAGTATAATCAAAGTTTACTAAACTTATAGGTGAAAAAGGTATTTTATTGTTTTAACTTCCTCTTGTTTAATTATGAGTAAGTTTCTGTATCTTCTCATAATTTATTCTTTTTCTGTGATCAATGTCCTTTGCATGTTTTTATTGGGTTGTTTGAAGTTTTTGTTTTTATTTTTTTGGGGGACGGAGTCTCACTCTGTCACCTAGGCTGGAGTGCAGTGGCACGATCTCAGCTCACTGCAACCTCCACCTCCCAGGTTCAAGCAATTCTCCTGCCTCAGGCTCCCAAGTAGCCATCATGCCCAGCTAATTTTTGTATTTTTTTAGTAGAAGTGGGGTTTCACCATGTTGGCCAGGCTGGTCTCGACCTCCTGACCTTGTGATCCACCCACCTCGGCCTCCCAAAGTGCTGGGATTACAGGCGTGAGCCACCGCACCCAGCTAGCGTTGTTTGAATTTTTGTTACGCATTGACAAGAATCTTTGCATTAGCCCTGTGATGGGCAAACTACATGGCTTCTGTAAGCTTTCCTTTTCTCATCTGGAGAATAAGAACAATAATGCTAATGCTAATAGTAATTGTAACTTATATTGGCCACTTACTGCAGGTACTTTTCTAAGCAATTCTCTCATGTCAGGGCTGCTAGTTCATATAGTGCCTTGGCACAAATAAGAAAAAGGCACCTTTTCCTTGGGCTGGTACCACCATGTGGTGGGGCACAGGGCTGGAGAGCAGGCACTGGATTTCGGCCTTACTTATTCCCTTAGTAGTTTGCCTTCCTTCAGGCGCAACCTGCCCAATCATTCACAGCAGCCCTGTCTCATTTAATTTTTATAAACAATCCTATAAAGAAGGGACTATTATCCTCATTTTAGTTCACTTCTCCAGTACCACACAGTAAATTTGTGGCAAATTCAGAGCCTATGATTAATTGTTGTGCTGTATGGCACCTACACAAAGGGTTGAAATTTGAAGTCAGTATCAATCAGGACAGTCCTCATGAAGCACTCAGCACAGTGCCTGATGGGTAGTAAACGCTTAATAAAATGTATGGGATATTAGCCTTTAGTCTGTCATGCGTTGCAAATATTGTTTTCTAGTTTCATCATTTGGCATTTGATTTTGCTTGTGGTGTTTGCTAACCCACACAATTTTTTTTTTCTTCTAGACGGAGTCTCGCTCTGTCGCCCAGGCTGGAGTGAAGTGGCACAATCTTGGCTCACTGCAACCTCCACCTCCTGGGTTCAAGCGATTCTCCTGCCTCAGCCTCCCAAGTAGCTGGGATTACAGGCGTGTGCCACCATGCCTGGCTAATTTTTTGTATTTTTATTACAGATGAGGTTTCACCAGGCTGGTCTCGAACTCCTGACCTCGTGATCTGCCCGCCTCGGCCTCCCAAAGTGCTGGGATTACAGGCGTGAACCACAGCGCCCAGCCCTACACAATTTTTATATAATCAAATTTCTTTATCTTTTCCGTTATGACTTTTGTTATGACTTTTGTTTTGGTTGGCATTGTAAAGACAAAATCATTGAATAAGATAACCTCTCTTGTGTTAATTAAGGAACAGGCAAACTTAGAAAGACCCCAAAATACAAGATGACAGTGGGCTTCTCTCATGGAACAGTCTAGACTAGGGAGGTGGTTCTGCTCCTCCGGGCTCCTAGGAACCCAGGCACCTTCTCTGTTAAGATTCTCTCACCTCTTGTCCTCAACCCCACCACAGCAGCTGGCTTCCTAGTACCAAATGTATGCTCCTACCCCTGGGAAAGCAGAGGGATAGGGGCCGGGCGCAGTGGCTCACGCCTGTAATCCCAGCATTGTGGGAGGCCGAGGCAGGTGGGCCACCTGGGGTCAGGAGTTTGAGACTAGCCCGGCCAACATGGTGAAACCCATCTCTATTAAAAATACAAAAACTAGGCCGGGCGCGGTGGCTCACGCCTGTAATCCCAGCACTTTGGGAGGCCAAGGCGGCGGATCACAAGGTCCGGAGATCGATACCACGGTGAAACCCTGTCCCTACTAAAAATACAAAAAAAAAAAAAAAAAATTAGCCAGGCGTGGTGGTGGGCGCCTGTAGTCCCAGCTACTCGGGAGGCTGAGGCAGGAGAATGGCATGAACCCGGGAGGTGGAGCTTGCAGTGAGCCGAGATCGCGCCATTGCACTTCAGCCTGGGCGACAGAGCGAGACTCTCTCAAAAAAAAAAAAAAAAAAAATTAGCTGGATGTGGTCGTGGGCGCGTAATCCCAGCTACTCGGGAGGCTGAGGCAGGAGAAGTGCTTGAACCTGGGAGGCAGAGGTTGCAGTGAATGGAGATCGTGCGACTGCACTCTATCCTGGGCAACAGAGCAAGACTCCGTCTCAAAAAAAAAAAAAAGAAAAGAAAAAAGTGAAAGGATAGGAAGTGGAAAATAAGCATTAATAATTTCCCTCAAAGAAAGTGACATGGATTTCTCCTTAAATTCATCGGAACTTAGTCACATGGCCCCACCTGGTTGCAAAGGACCCTGGGAAGTGCAGTCTTAAACTGGGCCTGCTGTGCCCTGCTGAAAGGCGTACTGCGGCAGCCATGCCAGGGAAGCAGAGAATACTAGGGCACAATTGACCGTCAGTACCACACCTCTCCAAACCCTGCGTATGTGAAATTACTCCCTCCCTGAACGTCCTTCTGGATCTTTTCCTTAGCTACAAGAATTACAGTTTTTGTAGATGCAGATTCTGCTTTTTGTTGTTTTTTGCCCCAAGCTTTTTTGTTGGGGATAATAATAAGAGACAATTCAGAGTTAGAAAAGAGAGGCCAGGCGTGGTGGCTCACACCTGTAATCCCAGCACTTTGGGAGGCCCAGGCAGGTGGATCACCTGAGGTCAGGAGTTTGAGACCAGCCTGGCCAACATGGTGAAACCCCTGTCTCAACTAAAAATACAAAATTAGCCGCGTGTGGTGATGCATGCCTGTAGTCCCAGCTACTCGGGAGGCTGAGCCAGGGGAATCGCTTGAACCTAGGAGGCCGAGGCTGCTGAAGTGAACCGAGATCGCACCACTGCACTCCAGCCTGGGCAAGACAGAGCAAGACTCCGTCTCAATAAAAAAAGAAAGAAAAGAGAGAGAAAGAATACTCTTTTCCTCCTGAGGGTCTTGGGAAATTCCCCTTCTTTGGTCTGACCACCTTTCCAGCCTTTCAGCCAGTTAGTTGCTGCTGCTCCTCCGAGGCTCACAGCCTCATCCTCAGGCAGCCCTGGCTCTTCCTCACCTCCCCAAAGTAGCTGAGGGATCCTTGATAATAGTCTCATGTTAATCTTTATTCATAGCTCATTCACAGTTGGTAACTAGGATGTGTTTCTGTGACTATTTGGTTGAGGCTTGCCTGAGAGGGTTGTGGACTGTGGACTTCCAGGGCAGAGGCTGTGTCTCTTTTGCTCACTTCTAGGGATAGAACCCAGTCCTGGGTACAGAGTAGGTACTCAATAAATATTTCCTCCACAAATGAATGAATTGTGAGAGAGGAAGGCAGAGAGCCCTGAGAGAATGAAAGAGGCTAACACAAAATTAGTTGATGTCTTAGGATGCCATGGGTACCCTGTCAGGGCTGAGAGCGGGGGGCTGAGAATTGGGGATGGGGTGGATATAGCCTGGGCAGATCTGGTGGAAACCGATGTACTGAATACTACAGTCTGCAGCCATCCATAGACAGGGCAAAACCTCTTCAGGGCAGAGGGGTGTTGGTAAGAAATGCCCACTCTACTATATTCCACTCTACTCTGTTCCACTCTACTGTAGTCTATTCCATTCTACCCAACTCCACCCTACTTTACTCTACTGTACTCCACTCTACTCTGTTCCACTCTGCTGTACTCTACTCCACTCTACCCTACTCTACTGTCCCCCACTCTACTATCCTGTCCTCTCCTCTCCTCTACTCTGCTCTACTGCATTCTATTGTACTTTACTCTACTGTAATCTACTGTCTTCTACTCTACTGCACCCCCCCTCTACTATACTGTACTGTACTCTACTCGACTCTACTGTATTATATTATATTCTACTGTACTGTACAATACTCCACTCTGCTATACTTTACTCCACTCTGTTCTACTGTACTGTACTTTACTGTCCTCTACTCCACTCTACCCTACTCTACTCTACTCTACTCTGCTGTACTCCACTCCACTCTACTGTACTATACTCTACTGTATTCTACTCTAATCTACTGTACCCTACCACCTTCTACTGTTTTCTACTCTACTGTACTCCACCGTACTCTACTGTACTCCACTCAACCCTACTCTACTGTACTGTACTCTAGTCTACTTAACTCTACTGTACTCTACCCTACTCTAGTGTGCCCTACTCTACTGTACTGTACTCTAGTCTACTCAACTCTACTGTACTCTACCCTACTCTAGTGTGCTCTACTCTACTATACTTCACTCTACTCTACTGTACTTCACTCTATACTGTACTGTACTGTATCCTACTCTACCCTACTCTATTGTACTCGACTGTAGTCTACTCTACTGTGATCTATTGTACTATACTTTACTGTATGCCACTCTACTCTGTGTGGGTAGAGGCCTCTGTCCCTTTAGAAGATGCATGGATGCTTAATAAATAATTGTTGAATTAATGAAATGTTACATGTTGGACTTTTCCTAGCCTTTCTATGAAATAAAATTACGGTTCCATGACTTCATTCATTTTTCTGGAACAAAGCTAAATCTTCTGTCAGATATTTATTTCGAGAATTTACTCTTACTTAATCTGAAAGTGACACTAACGTTTAACGAAAATATAAATTAGAAGTGGTGGTAAAACAAAAGTAATTAAGATGCCATGATTTCCCTATTGTCATTACACTTTGACATTATTATTGAGTGTTGTCAGGTGTCCTAGTCAATAAAATATAGCATATTGACTATCAAAATTAAACTGCTGAGGCACTGTTTCATTTTGGACAGATACGAGCTATATTATTTCTAATGTGTCCATTTATATCTATTGCTGACCAATGAAGAGTTTTTGCATTTAATCAACTCCAGACATTCAAGCACTTTATAATAGACCATCTTCCTGTTTGCTGTTTAGATTTTCTCCTGTTAAATAATTTCGAGAAGGTGAAAAAAAAAAAATGAAACAAAACAGAATGGATGAGCTAGCAGTTCTTCCTTCCAATCCTCAGTCTATTCCTTTGCATAACCAATGCACTGTTGACTTTTGCAAAAATTAATAGGAGAGCAAGGTTTGGTTCTAACTTTCCCATATTAATGCACCTATTAGATTTTTTTTTAATTTTTGAGACAGGGTCTCACTCTGTCGCCCAGGCTGGAGTACAGTGGCACAATCTTGGCTCACTGAAACCTCCACCTCCCAGGTTCAAGTGATTCTCCTGCTTCAGACTCCCAAGTAGCTGCGATTACAGGCATGTGCCACCACACCTGGATAATTTTTGTATTTTAGTAAAGACAGTGTTTCATCATGTTGGCCAGTCTGGTCTCGAACTCCTGGCCTCAAGTGATCCACCTGTCTCGGCCTCCCAAAGTGCTGAGATTACAGGTGTGAGCCACCGTGCCTAGCCTACCTGCTAAATTTTATTGCTTGAAATTAGTTCACTTTTATTGTTGACACTCTTTACGAAGAGTACTTGGAGGAAAGTCTTTTGAAAAGAAGACTTGTAATATTTGTTATACCTGATGACGCTTTTGTACTATTTGTTCAGTAGTAAGTCTCTGGCAGAGTATTTGAATGGCAGCCACTTCAAAATAGGCAAATTGTTCCCCCTACTGAGCATGTGAAAATGCATTCAGTATCTCTGTATTTTCAAATCTTGTCTGGCAAAAACATTAGATCTGAAAAGAGGAGTAATTTCAAGATTAAAGAAAGCATTGGGCAAAGACTAGGAGGACCAAGGCTAGTAGTGCCAGCCTCAGATGATTTGCACATGAAAGCCGCCTTTCCGTCTGCAGCTTTATGCATTTCCAAAAGACACTCAAATCAGGGGCTCAGCTTGATCTTCTGCCTCCCGCTCAGCTCTTCAGAAAGAGACAAGGAGCTGTGGCATTAGCCCAACACCTTTGTCAGGTGCGTTTTCTCTATTGTTCGCCAAATGGCGAGGGATTAAGATGAGGGGGTCAGGGTGGCAATTTTTTTATGATTCTTCCTAAGCCAGAAGAGACACTTTTCTTAGAGAGTCGTGGAAAGGAATGCAGACTGCTGAGTGCTTTGGGAAACTTGTTTCAAAACACCTGGAGTGTGTGTGTCTAATCCATACTGTAAAACAGCTGACTTCTGCTTCCTGAAAGCCAACTCCCCTGTCCACCTCAGCCCCTTCTCTTCCACAAGGTTATTCCTCTGCCCCCTACAGCCTTGCTCTTTTAATCTTAGAAATAAAAGGAGTTCCACCACCCACAGCTATGAGGGGGATGCAGTCACCTTTATTTACATGAATGAGAGAGCTCTGTCACTTCCTACCCCCACCACTGAGGTGCCCATCAAGCGGGGGAGTTAGATTTTGGAAATGCCTAGCCTGTCAAACTGACAAGTTCTGCAATAGAGACAGTTTTTTTTCTTTTCTTTCTTTCTTTTTTTTTTTTTTTTTGAGACAGAATCTTGCTCTGTCGCCAGGCTGGAGTGCAGTGGCGCAATCTCGGCTCACTGCAACCTCTGCCTCCCGGGTTCAAGCGATTCCCCTGCCTCGGCCTCCCAAGTAGCTGTGACTACAGGTGCATGCCCCCATGCCCGGCTAATTCTTGTATTTTTAGTAGAGACAGGGTTTCACCATGTTGGCCAGGATGGTCTCCATCTCTTGACCTCGTGATCCGCCTGCCTTGACCTCCCAAAGTGCTGGGATTACAGGCATGAGCCACCGCGCCTGGCCTGAGATAGAGACAGTTTATGTGAATATGGGCCTCAGGCTTCTGGGGAGTTCATTGCCTATGGTCTCTTTGGCACAGTTATTCTTCAGCACCTTTGGGAAAGGTTCTGTAGAAATACAAGGAATTGAAGCTTGCTTCTCCAGTTGTACCTGGCCGCCATTTATTGATCAATTTAGTCTCTCAGAAGTCCTGCAAGCTACAGAGGTGACTGTATTACACAACACAATGCATAATTTTACATTTTAAAAGTGAGTAGGGGCCGGGCGCAGTGGCTCATGCCTGTAATCCCAGCACTTTGGGAGGCCGAAGCGGGTGGATCACGAGGTCAGGAGTTCAAGACCAGCCTAGCCAAGATGGTGAAACCCCATCTCTACTAAAAATACAAAAATTAGCCGGGCACGGTGGCGGGCGCCTGTAATCCCAGCTATTTAGGAGGCTGAGGTAGAAGAATCATTTAAACCCGGGGGGTGGAGGTTGCAGTGAACCGAGATTGTGACATTGCACTCCAGCCTGGGCGACAGAGTGAGATTCTGTCTAAAATAAATAAATAAATAATAAATAAATAAATAAATAAATAATAAATAAATAAATAAAAATAAAAAATTAATACATAAAAGTGAGTAGGATCTTGGGAAATTTTTCCTCAATTTGGGGTTGTTGGGGGAGGCACTCAAATTCCTTGTGCATCTGGCTTCTCTGTTAACCCTAAGAAATGGTAGCTGCCAATAGGCTGCTCAGAGATTAAAACTTTTTAAAATCTCCACATATAGCATTGAATGCCCAGAGATTTAAGGCTGAATAAAGGGGTTTTTGAACATCTCAAAAACAAAACTTTTCTGTAAGTAGTATGTAAAGGCTTAGAATCAGTCATGCCTCACAGAGGAAGAAAAGGAACCAAGATGACATTGGATGGTCATCTGTGCTCTGTCTACGATGTGCAGAGACATTGGTGCTTAGGGCCTCATTTTAGAGGCGTTGGAAAACTGTGTCCCAAGAGATGTCCGGTGCACAGACAAATCCTGGGTGATGACCTGTTTGCCCATAGGGAGCCTTTTTTCCATGATTGTCATGCTAACTGCCACACCGGGGTAAAGTCTTGCAGCTCTAGGGCTATGACACGGTTGGCTACTGCCATGTTTCCTGGTCTAACACTGCACCTAACACATAATTGGCCAGTGGGGATTGCTTGCTGTGAAATGCTTGCTGCTGTATCCTATTGTTAATCAATCAGAGGGTCTGATGATGGTGTACCTCTTCAGATGTTCCTTTAGCTTCCTAAAAATCTGTTTCTGTAAAAGGTAAGGAGTATTTGTTTTTAATCTCAAGCTTATCCTTGAAGGAGCCTATAATTGATGATGGCACTGAAGGTTGAAGTTTGCTTTTATTCAACTGTTTTCACCTACAAAATATACATTATGGCTTATTTGATGATGCACCCTTCTTTGGCAGACTGTGGGCTTTCTGCGGGAAATAGACAAGTTCAGATGTGAGAAAACTGCATATTCTTGACCTGTTCTCCACTCTTGATCCTCCCGTGTGAATCCTACATCACTTTACTCTAAAGATTTTAAGTAAAGATTACTGAAAATATTTTAAGTATGTAAAATATGTAATCTTACTGTAAAGATTACTGTGAAGATTTTAAGTATGTGCGCAGTGGCTCACACCTGTAATCCCAGCACTTTGGGAGGCCAAGGTGGGCAGATCACCAAGTCGAGACCAGACTGGCCAACGTAGTGAAACCCCGTCTGTACTAAAAATACAAAAATTAGCCAGGCATTGTGGTGCACGCCTGTAGTCCCAGCTACTCAGGAGGCTGAGGCAGGAGAAATCTCTTGAACCTGGGAGGCGGAGGTTGTGGTGAGCTGAGATCACGCCACTGCACTCCATCCTGGGCAACAGAGCGAGACTCTGTCTCAAAAAAAAAAAAAGAAAAAAGATTTTATATAAAAGGGGGAATATTGAAGCTGTTTTCCTGCTGAAGTCATTCCAGGTTTAAATTTAAAATAATTTCCTTTCTTTTCTTTTTCAGATACAGGGTCTCACTGTGTTGCCTAGGCTGGAGAGCCATGGCACGATCATAGCTCACTGTAGCCTCGAATGTCTAGGCTCAAGTAATCATCCCTCCTCATCCTCCCAAGTAGCTAAGGCTACAAATGAGTATCACCACACCCAGCTAATTTTTAATTTTTTTGTAGAGATGGAGTCTCACTTTGTTGCCAAGGTTGGTCTCAAAATCCTGGCCTCAAGCGATCCTCCTTCCTTGGCTTCCCAGAGTGCCGAGATTACAGGTGTGAGCTACCATGCCTGGCCCTAAATTTAAGATAATTTCCTAAATAAGCACTTTCAACAAAATGAATAAGCAGTATTCTGTTAACTCAGTACTTTGTAACATTCCGGTGCATAAATAAGATTAATCCCAGATAGGCCAGGTGCGATGGCTTACACCTGTAATCCTAGCATTTTGGGAGGCCAAAGTGGGCAGATCACCTGAGGTCAGGAGTTCGAGAACAGCCTGGCCAACATGGTGAAACCATGTCTCTACTAAAAACACAAAAATTAGCCGACTATGGTGGCATGTGCCTGTAATCCCAGCTACTCAGGAGGCTGAGGCAGGAGAATCACTTGAACCCAGGAGTCAGAGGTTGCAGTGAGTGGAGATCATGCCATTGCACACTCTAGCCTGGGCTACAGAGTGAGACTCCATCTGGGAAAAAAAAAAAAAAGATAAATCCCAGATAATAATTTTAAAATGCATAGGAAGAAACTGTATAAGTCTAAGTACTGCAGGGCTTTGCCCTAGTTTAGGTTTGGAGTTCCTAGAATCCTATGAGCTGGATGCAGTTGGATTGAAGAATGAAGTCTACTTATGAATTGAATTGGAGAAACCACTACTTGAATCCCCTCTGTGGAAAAGGGAAAATACCATTGCTAGAAAGAATAGCATCTAGAAACTAGGAACATGCAATCCAATGAATCCCTCTTACCAAGAAGATCAATTGAGAGCATATCTCAACTGATCCAGGGTCTCCAGACTGCAGAGAAATTCAGGGAGGAGTTATCACAGATAATAACCAATTCACTATTTATGCCAAGCCCAAGCAATAGCTCTAGCTTGGCCCTGCTGCTGAGCACTGGGCATTTCTAACTCTGCAGCACCCAAGGAAGAAGTAGTGGGGAAAGTGAGCTGGCTTTCTCTGTAAAAAGATGACATGATTTGGCTGTGTCCCCACCCAAATCTCACCTTGAATTGTAATAATCCCCATGTGTCAAGGGTGGGGCCAGATGGAGATAATTGAATCATGGGGACAGTTTCCCCTACGCCATTCTCCTGCTAATGAATAAGTCTCACGATATCTGATGGTTTTGTAAACTGGAGTTCTCCTGCACAAGCTCTCTTGCCTGCTGCTATGTAAGACGTGCTTTGCATCTGCTTTGCCTTCCACCATGATTGTGAGGCCTCCCCAGCCACGTGGAACTGTGAGTCCATTAAACCTCTTTCCTTTGTAAATTACCCAGTCTCAGGTATGCCTTTATTAGCAATGTGAGAACAGACTAATATAGGAGAAGAGCATTTCTTTAGAGGCATCTTAAAAAACAATTGACTTTATGAAGCACCATCTCTATATCCCAAAAAGAGATTAATGGCATTTGACTAGCTAAGATGTGATGATATCCAAGAGGCTGCCTCAGCAGGAAAATGCTAAAGAAAATTCAAAATAATGCAGAAAGAGTTGTAGGTGCCATCATCCTTAGGTAGAAATATTCATCTCTTACATATGCTGATGAGAAGTCTCTTATAAGGGTCACAGGAATATTTTCTGCAGTAGGCTCTAGGAATTATGCAGCCAATATTTGAGTATGGTGTTTTCATGGGTTGTGTTAGTAGACAGGGAGGAGACTCAAACTTGATGAAAGGCTTGTCTTTTATTACAAGGTTACAGATAATAATGACAAAAAGTAAACCAAACTAGCAGGGTTACAGGCAAAATTCAGAACATGAAAAAATATAACTGGTACTTTTGTGCTGATCTCATCTCAGGAGTGGGGGATGTCAAATACTAAAACATATTTTACTTACTTCTTTTTTTTCCACCCATGAGACTTGTGGCAAAAGGGTACCACGAAGTCTCCTGAAATGATAGTAGACCCACTTCCATGTGGTGCAAGCTAAAACATGGCTTGATTCTTATTTATTTGTTTATTTATTTATTTATTTATTTTGAGATAGAGTCTTGCTCTGTCACCCAGGCTGGAGTGCAGTGGCCCGATCTCAGCTCACCGCAACCTTCACCTCCTGGGTTCAAGCAATTCACCTGCCTCAGCCTCCTGAGTAGCTGGGATTACAGGTGTGCGCCACTACACCCAGCTAATTTTTGTATTTTTAGTAGAGCCGCGGTTTCACCATGTTGGCCAGGCTGGTCTCCAACTCCTGACCTCAGGTGATCTGCCTGCCTCAGACTCCCAAAGTGCTGGGATTACAGGCATGAGCCACTGCACCTGGCCAAACATGGCTTGATTCTTATTGCAGCGGTGCAGCCCTGAGAAAGTGGAAATCTTTTGTTTTCTGCAAAGTGCCCATGCAGGATCTCCATGGAGATGGTGACAGGACTCTAGGTGACACCCATCCTCAGTCATCACAAAGCTCTGTGGGGAAAGCTTGAATCCACTGATGAGCATAATTATAATATCAACAACAGTAAAATGTCAACAGTATCCACTGTTGTTCTTATTGCTGCTGCAAACATTTGTATGGGGCTTCACGGAAGAGGAAAATTTATCCCATTTGAACCTCCAAAGAGATTTGCCTCAGAAGTCAGAGCCAGTGACTGGCAGAGCTGAGCCTTACAATGACGTCTCCCAATGCCAGGACCAGTGGGATTGTGCCTGGAGGAGACTCTAGATTTTATTTATTTATTTATTTCAAAGAAAAAAAATGTATTGCATTTATTTTTATTTAGTTCTTAAAAGATACTTTTTTCTGGCTGGATGCAGTGGCTCATGCCTGTAGTCCCAGCACTTTGGGAGGCTGAGGTGTGCAGATTACTTAAGTCCAGGAGTTGGAGACCAGCCTGGGCAACATGGTGAAACCCCATCTCTACTAAAAATACAATAAATTAGCCGGGTGTGGTGGCGCATGCCTGTAGTCCTAGCTACTCAGGGGGCTGAGGCAGGACGATCGCCTCAGCCCAGGAAGTCGAGGCTACAGTGAGCCCTGATCATGCCACTGCACTCTAGCCTGGGAGACAGTGAGACCCTGTCTCAAAAAAAAAATTTTTTTTTTCTACTTTTATTTTAGATTCAGGGAAAACGTGCAGGTTTGTTACCTGGGTATATTGTGTGATGCTGAGGTTTGGGGTACAAATGATCCCCTCACCCAGGTACTGAGTATAGTACCCAACAGTTAGTTGTTAAACCGTTGCCTCTCTCCCTCCCTTCCTCCTCTAGTAGTCCCCAGAGTCTGTTGTTCCCATGTGTACTCATGTTTAGCTACCATTTATAAGAGATAACATGCAGTATTTGGTTTTCAGTTCCTGTATTAATTCTCTTAGGATAATGGCTTCCAGCTGCAACCATGTTTCTGGAAAGGACGTGATTTTTATTCTTTTTTTATGGCTAGACTCTAGATTTTGGATGTTTCGAGGTTTATGCTGCATCTGCTTTTTCTTCTTGCTTCTGGTGCATTGCCTCCTGTTGTTCCTCCCTATCCTTTGACTCTCTTTCCATCTCTCTCTCTTTCTTTCTTCTTTCATTCCTTTCTTTCTTTTCCTTCCTTCCTTCCTGTTTTCTTTCTTTCCTTTTTTGAGGAGTCTCGCTCTGTCGCCCAGGCTGGAGTACAGTGGCACGATCTCAGCTCACTGCAACCTCCGCGTCCCGGGTTCAAGCGATTCTCCTGCCTCAGCCTCCCGAGTAGCTGGGATTACAAGCATGAACCAACATACCCAACTAATTTTTGTATTTTTAGTAGAGATGGGATTTCACCATGTTGGCCAGGCTGGTCTCAAACTCCTGACCTCAGGTGATCCACCTGCCTTAGCCTCCCAAAGTGGGAGCCACTGCACCCGGCATCTTTTATTCTTTCATTCAGGTATAATTGACATAAAATCAACTGCACATATTTAAAAGTGCACAATTTGATAAATAAATAGATATATATATATGTACATGTGGAACTATTGCCGCAATCAAGATAGCAAACATTTCCATCAGCCCCCAAAATGTCGTCATGTCCCTCTATAACCCCTCCCATCCCTAATGCAAACACCTTAGAGGCTCCTACTGATCTGCTTTTAGATTAGTGTGCATTTTCTAAAACTTTATATAAATTGAATCATATAATTTAAAAGTCTGACTCCTTTCGTTCAGCACAATTATTTAGATTCATCCTTGCTGTTATGTGAGTCAATAACTTCATAGTCCATTCCTCTTTATTATTTTATTGTGGAGTATCCCCCACTGTATGGATATACTACAGTTTGTTTATCCATTCACCTGTTGATGGACATTTACACAGTTTCCAGTTTGGGGCTATTACAGGTTGAACATCCTTAATTCAAAAATCTGGAATGCAAAATGCTCTAAAATTCGAAACTTTTTGAGCACTGAGATGATGCCAGAAACAGAAAATTTTGCACCTGACATCTTTGCTTTCTGATGGTTCAATGTATACAAACTTTGTTTCATGCACATTTTTTTTTTTTTTTTTTGAGACAGAGTCTTGCTCAATCACCCAGGCTGGAGTGCAGTGGTGCAATCTCGGCTCACTGCAACCTTTGCCTCCCATGTTCAAGCAATTCTCGTGCCTTGGCCTCCCGAGAAGCTGCAATTACAGGCGTGCGCCACCATGCCTGGCTAATTTTTGTATTTCTAGTAGAGATGGGGTTTCACCACATTGGCTAGGCTGGTCTTGAACTCCTGATCTCAAGTGATCCACCCACCTCAGCCTCCCAAAGTGCTGGGATTACAGGCGTGAGCCACCATGCGCGGCCTCATGCACAAAATTGCTAAAAAATATTTTATAAAATTACCTTCGGGCTATGCGTATAAGGTGTACATGAAACGGAAATGAATGTTCTAGACTTGGGTCTCATCCTCAAGATATCTCATTGTGTATATGCAAATATTCCAAAATTAGAAACAGTCAAAATCTGAAACACTTTTTGTCCCAAGGATTTTGGATAAGCGATATTCAACCTGTGCATACAAAGCTGCCATGAGCATTTGTGTACAGGTCTTTGTATGGACATATGCTTTCCTTCCTCTTGGATAAATGCCTAGGAATGGAATGGCAGGCATGTGCTTAAATTTGAGACACTACCAGACTTTTTTCCAGAGTGATTGTGCCATCTACATTCCCAGCAGGGGTATTTATGAGTTCTGGTTCTTCCATATCTTCACCAGTATTTGATGTGGACAGTCTTGTTAATTTTAACCATTGTAAATACGTATGTAAGGATATCTCATTGTGGTTTTAATTTGCATTTCTCTGATGACTAATAATGCTGACTCCTCTTGTTTTGTTGATCACTTTTTTTTCTGTGCACATGCAAACTTACAGATTAAAAAGTTTAATATAATTATGGTCGGGTGTGGTGGCACATGCCTGTAATCCCAGCACTTTGGGAGGCTGAGGTGGGCATATCACTTGAGCCTAGGAGTTTGAGACCAGCCTGGCCAACATAGTGAGATTCCATTCTACAAAAATACAAAAATTAGCCAGGATCATGGACTATACCTGTGGTTCCAGCCACTCAGGAGGCTGAGGTGGGAGATGGCTTCAGCCTGGGGGGTCAAGACTGCAGTGAGCTGAGATCGCGCCACTACACTCAAGCCTGCGTGACACAGCGAGACCTTATCTCAAAAAAGAACACCAAAAAAAACAAAGTCACACATCAAAGACGACATAAGACTAAAATAATAACCATGGATAGTAGGAGAGAAACACAGAAGCATCTTTAAAGTGCAGAGGGATGGCCCAAAAGGAAAAATAACTCAAGCGTTCATTTTTTTTTTTGTTTTTAAATTTTATTTCTTTATTTATTTTTTGAGACAGGCCTTACTCCAATGCCCAGGCTGGAGTTCAGTGGGGCAATCTTGGCTCACTGCAGCCTCGACCTCCTGGGCTCAAGCAATCCTCCCACCTTAGGCTCCTGAGTAGCTGGGACTATAGGTGTGCTCCGCCGTGCCAGGCTGATTTTTGTATTGTTGTAGAGACAGGGTCTCAGTATGTTGGCCAGGCTGGTCTCAAACTGCTAGGCTCAAGCAGTTTACCTGCCTCAGCCTCCCAAAGTGCTGGGATTACAGACGTTAGCCACCACGTCTGGCCAAGGAAAATAACCCAAGTGTTCACTAATTGATGACTGGATAAATAAAAGTGGTGTAGCCATACAAAGGAATATTATTTGGCAATAAATGGGAATGAAGTGCTGATACATGCTACAGCATGAATGAACCTTGAAAACATGATGCTGGCTGGAGGCGGTGGCTCACGCCTGTAATCCTGGCACTTTGGGAGGCTGAGGCGGGCAGATCACGAGGTCAGGAGATCAAGACCATCCTGGCTAACACAGTGAAACCCCGTCTCTAGTAAAAATAAAAAAAAATTAGCCGGGCATGGTGGCGGGTGCCTGTAGTCCCAGCTACTCGGGAGGCTGAGGCAGGAGAACGGCGTGAACCTGGGAGGCGGATGTTGCAGTGAGCCAAGATCACGCCACTGCACTATAGCCTGGGCGACAGAGCGAGACTCCGTCTCAAAAAGAAAGAAAACATGATGCTAAAGACCACATATTGTAGGATTCAACTTCTACATAACATTCAGGATAGGCAAATGCATAGAGACAGAAAATGGATTAGTGGTTGCTGAAAGGAATTAGTGATCAGTGGGCGGTAGAAGAAATGGGTAGTGACTGCCAGTGGGCATGGAATTTCTTTTTGGCATGATGACAATATTTTCAACTGCCTTCTAGCGTCCATTTACTGTTCCAAAGTATTACTTCTAATCATTTAGCCATTATAGCTTTGTTGTTTTGGATGCTAAAATCTCGTTTTCAGGAGTCATCTGACTCAATGGAAATGTCTTTTGGAATGGGTATACTTTATTGTTAACACATCAGTTATCAGAGAATCCCTTGCTAGGGATCAGCTGGCTGACAGTCTGTGAGACTCTCTCCAGCCAAGCTTGCCAGTCAATGATGCAGCTTCCTCCTCACCTGTCCTTCAAAGGCCAACAATAGGTAGTGGAAACAATTCTTTTCAGGTGGCCAAGGAGTAAGGAGGCTCGGAAAACACATACCTCTCCCCATAAGAGAGGTAACAAAGGATGAGCTCTCATGTTTGCCTGCAAACATTAATGCACATGGATAAAAAGCTAGGCTTTCACAAAGCTCAAGGCCCTCCATCTGTCATCAGCTGGGCCAGGAGATGGGGATCCCACCTGGACCATCCCTCTTCCTCATGACGCTTCACCAGCCCGGCCTCTGAGAACCATAAATAAAGACCACTGCGAATGGCTTCTCTGTCTGACCCTTTAACCTGAAATAAAAATAAAGCTTGGAGAATGTAATCCTGACTCAAGGCTCCTTCTGGGCTTCTCCTTCCCTTACCTGTTGACAGGTGCCTGCCAGACCTCGCAGTTACCTTTGATTTAGCTGTAATGGCATCTCCACACTTAGCAGAGGTCTGCCCTGTAATCCTCTCTGAAGCTTAAGTCAATTTATATGGTAACCTGAGAGCCATTTCCTGCTTCCAGATGATGTCACTGTCTGTTAACACATACTGGAATGACCACTAAACTCACGCTTAGGGCGACAGAACAGTAGATCACTCTCAAAGCCAGAGCTGGGTTAAAACAAATATCATATGCGTTTTCAAAAGGAAAAGGAAGCTTGATTCCCATACACTTTTTTTTTTGGTAAATCTCTAAGATACTTCAGTACTTGTTTTCAGAGAACCAAGAGTGGATTTTCTGAATGAAAATCTGCACATGAAAAGTCTAAGTATATTTATAGAGATAAGGGTGGCAAATTTGAAAGTGGGTCAGAAATCGTGGATATAATCATCCAAATTTCCAATTGAATTTTAAATCATGTATTTTTCTCAATTCAGTGCCTTCTCCCCTGAAATGCATTTGCGTTAATAAAAGTTACTCTCCCACCCTGCAGTTCATTAGTTTCAGCACAGTTCTGGGTAAAAAAGAATTCTAAGTGTCTTTGTTCCCAATTTACTTGGGGTTCTGAAGTGTTAAACAGTATCTCCTAAACACTGCAAAATTATGACCATTTTGTCATAGGATAGATGCGTGTGTGTGTATGTTCATTTTGCTTTGTTTTAAATGTGGGAAAATAATTAAAGAATCTTTGGCTTTAACTTTTCTGATGTACCTAATTCCATAGGGTCAATGTTTCTTCTTCCCTACTGTGTTGGTTTCCTATTTCTGTTGTAATAAGTTACCACAAATTTGGTAGCTTAAGCAACACAAATTTACTCTTTACAGTGCTGGAGGCCAACAGTCTAAAATCAGGGTGTCAGTAGTGCCACATTCCTTCCAGAAGTTTCAGGGGAGAATCAATTTCCTTGCCTCCATTTCTAGGTTTGTGGCCCCTCCCTCCATCTTCAAAGTGTACCACACCAACCTCTTCTGTCTTCAGCTTTTCCTGACTGACCCTCCTCCTTCACTCTTAGAATGACCCTTGTGATTACACTGGACCCACCCGGATAATCCAGGATAATCTCCCATTGCAAGATCCTTAACTTTATCCCATCTGCAAAATCCCCTTTACCATGGAGAGGTAGCATATTCGTAGCTTCTGGAATTAGGAGGAAGGCATCTTTGAGGGGTCAGGGTTCAAACTACCACACCTACTACCACAAGTATTTAAAACCTGTGAACTGGAAGTGGGGCGCCACCAGGCAATGGCTGAGATGCAGAGGAAGAAGTGTTTACACACCTGGAGCATTCTCACTGTAGCTCTTTCCAGGAATGAGTTCTCCTGTCTGGCTCTGGGCCCAAAGCCTTCTCCCTAGTGGGCCATCCCTCAGCCTGGTCTTAGAAAATGCAGGCACTGCCCTGCTCCTTGGTGTGGGATGACTGAAAGAGCACTGGACTTGGAGTGACTTTACACAAGACTAATTAACCTCTCCGAGGACCAGCTTCCTCACATGGAAAAGAGGAATAGCACACTCCTCACTGCCGCCGGGGGTGAATAAGGTTGGTGCTAAGAGTGCTTTATAAACTGTAAAGGACTGTGCAAATGTATATTCTAGTGAACTCATTTTAGGGTATAAATTATGTAACCAAGAGATGGTTCACAGTAGAAGGGTCTTGAGGCCCCATCTTTCTTTCTTTCTTTTTTATTTTTTTGAGACAGAGTCTCACTCTGTCACCCCAGCTGGAGTGCAGTGGTGCAATCTTGGCTGACTGCAACCTCCACCTCCCAGGTTCAAGCGATTCTCCTGCCTCAGCCTCCCAAGTAGTCGGGATTACAGGTGTGTGCCACCACGCCTGGCTAATTTTTTTATTTTTAGTAGAGATGGGGTTTCACAATGTTGGCCAGGCTGGTCTTGAACTCCTGGCCTCAAGTGATCCACCCGCCCTGGCCTCCCAAAGTGCTGGGATTACAGGCATGAGCCACCACACCTGGCCGAGATTCCACCTTTCTAAACTCTCTGGTCAGATGTGAACTCTGAGGCTCATCTGATTTCACAGGTCACACAGTTCATCACTGGCTGGGCTGTGCCTGGAACTCAGATATCCTGATTCCTGGTTCTGCATTCTTTCCACTGCAACCCTACATAAGGATAACGCATTAGACTTGGCACACAATGAGCCATTCACTGGGCTTCTCTCCTGAGGTCTGCCCCAGGTCCTCCACCATCACCAACAGGAGCACTCCTTCTGTAATGCTGATCAATGAGCAATTCAGGCCCAGGTGTGGCAGCCCCACAGTTTCTCACCTCAAGTCTGTGATTCTTTCCTGTTTTGCAGTAAGCCCAGATGTTCGTCCAAACAGTCTCTTGCCGATTCCTTGTTTTCACCTTTTCTCAGCAGTCCCCTAGTTGTCTCTGCTTCCAAACCCAGCCACCGTCACTCCATTTGTCACCTATGGAATGATCAGTACCTAATAAACTTTGCATTTACACAGCTCTGGTATTTACATGTCTCACTTCTTTTTAAAAATTTTAATAAACTGGCTGGGCGTGGTGGCTCACACCTGTAATCACACTTTGGGAGGCCGAGGCGGGTGTATCACCTGAGGTCAGGAGTTCAAGATCAGCCATGGTCAACATGGTGAAACCCTTTCTCTACTAAAAATACAAAAAATTAGCCAGATGTGGTGGTGGGCACGTGTAATCCCAGCTACTCAGGAGGCTGAAGCAGGAGAATCACTTGAGCGTGGGAGGCACAGGTTGCAGTAAGCCCACATCACGCCATTGCACTCCAGCCTGGGCAACAAGAGCGAAGCTCTATCCCCCACCAAAAAAAAATTAAATTATATTAAGTTACATACATTAAATTCACCATTTTAATGTTCACTTCTGTGAGTTTTCACAAACGCATACAGATGTATAACCACTGTTATAGTTAAGATACAAAATAGGCTGGGCGCAGTGGCTCACACCTATAATCCCAGCACTTTGGGAGGCCCAGGCAGGAGGATTGCCTGAGCCCAGAAGTTCAAGACCAGCCTGGACAACATGCGAGACTTCATCTCTACAAAAACTACAAAAATTAGCCAGGCGTGATGGCATATGCCTGCAGTCCCAGCTACTTGGGAGGCTGAGGTGGGAGGATCACTTGAGCCTGGGAAGTTGAAGCGGCAATGAGCTGTGATCACGTCACTGCACTCCAGCCCTGGTGACAGAGTGAGACCCTGTTTCAAAAAAAAAAAGCCCAGCGTGGTGGCTCATGCCTGTAATCCCAACACTTTGGGAGGCTGAGGTGGTTGGATCACTTGAGGTCAGGAGTTTGAGACCAGCTTGGCCAACACGGTGAAATACCATCTCTACTAAAAAAATTAGCTGGGTGTGGTGGCAGGTGCCTATAATCCCACCTACTCAAGAGGCATGAGAATCGCTTGAACCCGGGAGGTGGAGGTTGCAGTGAGCTGAGATTACGCCATTGCACTCCAGCCTGGGTGACAGAGTTAGACTCCGTCTCAAAAAAAAAAAATTCTTTCAAGGAACATGCTTTTGTGTCATATCTAGGAAATCATTTTCTATTCCAAAGTCACAAATATTTTTCCTACAACTTTTATAGTGTTAGATTTTATGATCCATGCTTAGTTAATTTTTGTGTAGGATGTGAGGTATAAATTGAGATTCATTTCTCTCTCTGTCTTTTTTTTGCATTAGGATGTACAATTCTTTCAGCATCATTTGTTGGAATGTCTTTTCTTTCTTCATTAAATTGCTTTTGCAACTTTGTAGAAAATCAATGAGTTGTATACATGTATCTCTAATTCTCTATTTGCTATTTTGTTCCATTGATTTGTCTTGATTACTGTAGCTTTATAATGAGACTCAACTCAAGTAGTGTCTTTCAACTTTGTTATTTTAAAAAATTGTTTTGGTTATTTTAGTTTCTTTGCCTTTCCATATAAATTTTAGAATCAGCGTATTAAGTTTTACAAAAACTCTTGCTGGAATTTTGATTGACATGGTAATAAAGCTATTAGTCAATTTAGAGATAATTGGCATCTGAACAATATTGAGTCAGCCACGCATAGGGGCTCACACCTGTAATCCCAGCACTTTGGGAGGCCGAGGCAGGTAGATTGCTTGAGCTCAGGAGTTTAAGACCACTGTGGATAATGTGGCGAAACCCCATCTCTACAAAAAAATACAAAAATTAGCCTGATGTGTTGGAGGGGAGGAGCACATGCCTGTAGTCCCAGCTACTTGGGAGGCTGAGGTGGGAGGATGGCTTGAGCCTGGGAGGCAGAGGTTGCAGTAAGCCAAGAGTGTGCCACTGTACTCCAGCCTGGGTGACGGAGTGAGCCCCTGTCTCAAAAACAAACAATATTGAGTCTTCCAATGCATGAACACAGTGTTTATCTCCATTTATTTAGGTCTTTCTGGATTTCTTTCATCAGTGTTTTGTGGTTTTCAGCATGCAGACATTGAATGTATTTTCTTAAAATTTTTTTCTAAGTATTTGTTTTGTTTATTTTATTTATTTGTTTATTTTTAAGACGGACTCTTGCTTTGTTGCCCAGGCTGGAGTGCAGTGGCACGACCCTGGCTCACTGCAACCCTGCCTTCTGGGTTCAAGCGATTCTCCTGCCTCAGCCTCCCTAGTGGCTGGGATTATAGGCTCATGCCACCATGCCTGGCTAATTTTTGTATTTTTAGTAGAGATGGGGTTTTGCCATGTTTGGCCAGGCTGATCTCGAACTCCTGACCCCAGGTGATCCGCCTGCCTTGGCCTCCCAAGTATTTGATGTTTTTTGAAGCTATTTTGGTTTTTTTTGTTTTTTTGTTTTGTTTTGTTTTGTTTTTTGAGACAGAGTCTTGTTCTACTGCCCAGGCTGGAATGCAGTGGCATGATCTCGGCTCACTACAACCTCTGACTCCCAGGTTCAAGTGATTCTCCTGCCTCAGCCTCCTGAGTGGCTGGGATTACAGGTGCATGCCACCATGGCTGGCTAATTTTTGTATTTTTTTAGTAGAGATGGGGTTTCACCATGTTGGCCAGGCTGGTCTTGAACTCCTGACCTCAGGTGATCCACCCGCCTCGGCCTCCCAAAGTGCTGAGATTACAGGTGTGAGCCACTGTGCCCAGCCTTAAGTTTCTTTAGTTAGAAGATGAGATCATTAATGTAGATAAATTGATTGACAGAATACAGGATGCTTAGTTACATTTTAATTTCAGATAAATAATGAATGATTTTTAGTATAAGTATATCCCAAATATTTCATGAGACATACTTTAAAAAATCATATTTTACCTGAAATTCAAATCCAGCTGGGTATCCTGTATTTTTTTTTTTTTTTTTTTTTTGAGATGGAGTCTCACCGTGTTGCCCAGGCTGGAATGCAATGGCACGATCTCGGCTCACTGCAACCTCCGCCTCCTGGGTTCAAACGATTCTCCTGCCTCAGCCTCCCGAGTAGCTGGGATTACAGGCACGTGCCACCATGCCCAGTTTTTATTTTTAGTAGAGATGGGGTTTTACCATGTTGGCCAAGCTGGTCTCGAACTCCTGACCTCGTGATCCACCTGCCTCAGCCTCCCTAAGTGCTGGGATTACAGGCGTGAGTCACCGTGCCCAGCTGGTGTCTTGTATTTTTATGTGAAATCTGACAATTCTAATTTAATACTTTTTTCTGTTTTTAGAGACATGATCTCACTCTGTTGCCCAGGCTGGAGTGCAGTGGCATGATCATGGCTCACTGCAGCCTTGAACTCCTGGGCTCAAGTGATCCCCCCGCCTCAGCCTCCCAAGTAGCTGGAACTCCAGGTGTGCGCATGGATCTGGTTTTGGAACCTGTGTTTTGTGACACATGCTACTCTTCCCTCCATCATCACCATGGTCATACCACCTATAGAAAGTTCTAAGATCATAGCAGCAGGAACACGGGGTGTTTCCTAACTAGTGGAAAGCAGCAGACCCACTGGATGTACTGTCATCTTTTCTTTTTTTAAAAAAAATTTTTCAGCCGGGCACGGTAGCTTACGCCTGTAATCCCAGCACTTTGGGAGGCCGAGGCGGGCGGATCACCTGAGGTCAGGAGTTCGAGACCAGCCTGACCAACATGGAGAAACCCTGTCTCTACTAAAAGTAAAAAATTAGTGGGGCATGGTGGTGCATGCCTGTAATCCTAGCTACTCAGGAGGCTGAGGCAGGAGAATCGCTTGAACCTGGGAGGCAGAGGTTGCGGTGAGCTGAGATCGCACCATTGCACTCCAGCCTGGGCAACAACATCAAAACTCTGTCTCAAAAAAAAAAAAAATTTAGGTTACCAGAATTACTGAACAAATATACTGGAGTTTACCTTCCATTTGACATGCTTGACAGCATGAGTCAATTTCCATTAAACTTGAGTCAATTTCCATTAAACTCAAGTCAATTTCCATTAAACTCAAGCCAATTGCCATTGACATAAATTGGGTACTTTAGGGAGGTAAATATATTCTCTACGGCTAGATCTCCATTCTTTTTTTTTTTTTTCGGTGGAGGGGGGATGGAATCTCACTCTGTCACCCATGCTGGAGTGCAGTGGCATAGTCTTGGCTCACTGCAGCCTCCACCTCCTGGGTTCCTGCCTCAGCCTCCCGAGTAGCTGGGACTACAAGCACGTGCCACCACATCTGGCTAATTTTTTAGTTTTAGTAGAGACGGGGTTTCACCATGTTGGCCAGGCTGGTCTTGAACTCCTGACCTTAGGTGATCCGCCTGCCTCAGCCTCCCAAAGTGCTGGGATTACAGGCGTGAGGCACAGCACCTGGCCTAGATCTCCATTCTTTAGCAGAACCTATATTACCAAGAAGTGGGAGAAAAGAAGGCAGCTACTCAACCGAAGTCTGAATCAAATGAAGACAAAATCTTCTCAAGATTTATGCAATTGCAGCAGTAAGAGCACATGTAACTCCAGAAAATTATCCTGTATTTGCAAATCACTTATTTTGAAACTACTTCTCTTTCTTTGGAGGGGGAGGTGTTAGAAATCCCAACCAAAAGGAATTCTTTTTTGTTTGTTTGTTTTTTGCCATTGCTGGTTGTCTCTCCTGGAATGCCCCTTCCTGCCTCTCTCTTGTAATAGCTCACCCAAATCCTGCCCATTCTTTGAGACTTAGCCTCAATATCCCCCTTTCCACAGCCTACCTTTTCAGACTTACTATGGAGTTAGAGTTGATCCAGCAAATTGGTCATTTGGTGAATTGATTTTCAGCCCACTGGCCAGCTGGGTGCGTGATATTACAACAAATCAATCTTGGAAGCCAGATGTCATTCAAATGAGGAGAAGAAATGACATCCTGTGGCCATAAAGGGGAAAACAGTTCTCAAGTGTTGGTTCCCTGGCTGCTGGGATGGGTGAGAAATCTCACCTACCAAAGCAGGTACTGAGAAAGAGAAGCAGGTGTGAGGAAAGAGTACTGCCGATGCAGAAGTAGTAAAAATTTTCTTTTTAATTTCTTTGTGCTATTAAACATATATGTAAGTAATTTCAATAAGCTTTTATTAAACATCATAGCAGCAGGGAATCATTTAACATCTCCCATGCCAGCAGGTCGCTAATATAGTTTCAGCCTATTTGGGACACTAGTCAGTCCTGAATGAAGACTATGCATTGAAAATCTGGGGCAATTGGAGAAGGTTTCTGGGGAAGATAGCATTTGAGCTGTGTGGCCTCTAAAGAAGGAAGAATGGAAGTTTCCAACAGAATGAACAGCGTGGAGGTAAAAAGAGATAACAGCCGGTGAGAAAAAAGACATTTTTGTAGGGACAGGAGTGGTAGCTGAGGCTGTAAAAGTGGGAGGTTGGGTTAGGAGTTTAGGAAGGCCTAAAAGTTGTAAGAAGCCAGGGTCTTTCTGGTTGGCAGTGGGACTCCGTCAACTCATTCAGGGTCTATGGGGGGCATACAGAGACACAGAGACAATATCTTGCATTGTACAGCAGTTAAATCAGCATCTGATTCATTTTTTTAAAGCCTGTTGAGGTTTCTTGGCCATCTCTCCAAGGGTAGGCAGTGATCCGTGCATAAATCAAGCAGTGTGAGAAGTCGGATCATTAAGAGAAGGAGCTCTGTTTATCCACAAACACCTTGACAACTTGCAGTGATGGAAAAGGAGACACAGGTAAACTGTCAGGTGGAACAGGCAACAGTCACATCACAATGCTTCTCTTAACTCTCTCAACTTTGTCTGTTCTTTTCCTTGTGTTTCTGCAGCTCTGGAACTGCTGAGTTTTCTGTGTGAATGACACAGATGCAGAGATCATTTCAAGGTATCACTTTGGGCAGATGTTTGGGTGCTACCAAATATAACCCAGGCCATTTAAAATCCAGGAACAAACCCAAGAGAAATAGGGATATCAGAGTTTCTGGTGTGTGCCTCTATGTAGTATCTGTTCTGCTGTTCAGAACTATGCCCAAGTCCTTATTTTGTCCTCTTATAACTCAGTATATCTCACAAATAGAGTAGACACTCAATATTCAATAAAATCGGCTTCTCATGGTGGTTATTTAAATCTATAGCTGATATTAGGATACTCCTCACGGAAATATAAAATGAGAAAGACTATGGAAGAAAGAACTGGACAGAACAGAGGCTTGAATTTTTTTTTTTTTTTTGAGACGGAGTTTCGCTCTTGTTGCCTAGGCTGGAGTGCAATGCCGCGATCTCGGCTCAGCACAACCTCCGCCTCCGGGGTTCAAGCGATTCTCCTGCCTTAGCCTCCCAAGTAGCTGGGACTACAGTCATGTGCCACCACGCCCAGCTAATTTTGCATTTTTAGTAGATGCGGGTTTTCTTCATGTTGGTCAGGCTGGTTTTGAACTCCCGACCTCAGTTGATCCGTCTGCCTCGGTCTCCCAAAGTGCTGGGATTACAGGTGTGAGCCACTGGGCCTGGCTTTTTTTTTTTTTTTTTTTTGACAGCATCTCACTCTTTTGCCCAGGCTGGAGTGCAGTGGCACAATCTTGGCTCACTACCACCTCTGCCTCCCAGGTTCAAGCGATTCTCCTGCCTCAGCCTCCCGAGTAGCTGGGATTATAGGCACGTGCCACCACGCCGAGCTAATTTTTCTATTTTTAGTAGAAACAGGGTTTCACCACCTTGGTTAGGCTGGTCTCAAACCCCTGACCTCAGGTGATCCAACCGCCTTAGCCTCCCAAACTGCTAGGATTACAGACGTGAGCCACAGCATCTGGCCTAGGCTTGAATATTTTATATACTTAATTAACATTGATACAGATCATCAGTGAAGTGTTTCTTTTAAAATAAAGTTTATACAGTAAACTATTATAAATGAATATGTGTATATTATAGAAATAACCTATATAGTTCCACCAATCTAATACAACTGTTAGCATTTCGGTGATTCCCTTTCAGGCTTTTTTTTTTTTTTTTTTTTGCACATTGTTTTGAGATCTTTCTTAAATAAGAAGAAAACAAATTCCTGTTAAAAGTATGAAGGAGGCTGTGCATGGTGGCTCACACCTGTAATCTCAGCACTTTGGAAGGCCGAGGGGGCAGATCACTTGAGGCCAATAGTTTGAGACCAGCGTGGCCAACACAGTGAGACCCTCTCTCTCTCTCTATATATATATATATATTTTTTTTTAATAATAAAAAAAAGTGTCAAGGAGCAGTTGGAATCTCGAGAATGACTCTTAAAATGAGTGAAAATCCTCTTGGCCTGATGTATACACCCACAGAAATTCTTTGATACCTGGAATCCTTAGAATTAAATGGATTTCAGCTTTTATTTCCTCAGCCAGCATTTACTGAGTCCTCTTCTGAGACTTACAAGTGCTAACTAAGCCCAAGGTAACTTAGCAGTCATCATGTGCTCTAGGTCACTGAATGTGAAAATGAGAAAATACATGGAGTCGAGCTTGTAAGAGCTGGAATTCAGGGCGTTCATTAGGCAAAGCCACCAGTTAGCAGAGAATTTGAGTAAGGACAGGGACAATGACCAAGTCTGGAGGATAAATGGAAACCATGGAGAGAAAATAAATATTCTTTTCAGTTTCCGGGGGAAAAAATGTATGGCTAATGCTCAAAGACATAACTGGATTACATGTTGTAAGAGCTTTGGGCATGACCAAACACAGCCCCTTCAGGCTGACTCCCTCCAGCTTCTGGCCCATGGGGGTTGGACAGAAGAGGCAGGCCTAACGGGGAGCCAATTTCCTTCCCGGGAGCCCTGCTTCTCCTGAATAGGGAACAGTGTCCATTGTCTACTCTTGCCACAACTACCCTGGACATGAATAATATCCTCATTTATTTAGGGCAGCTGTGGTCCAGAGAGGTCCACGAACCTCCGAAAGTCCCTGCAGCTCAGTAAGTGTTGAAGCCAGGATTCAAACATGTCCTCTCTGCTCTTGAAAAGAGAAATGCCTCAACTCTCAGTAAACCACTGCACTACTGGGAGGGTGTGAGAAAATATCAATCACATTATCAGATTCCTTAAAAACCATATCTGCAAATCAAAGATATGTCGTATCAAAGATATGTCATATCAAAGATATGTTTCCATGTCGTAGTCAGCCAGATAGATCTACAATGAGTAGCTAATCACTGGAACCAGTGTCACCTTCAAATCGTAATGACAAGTATTTGATTTATTTTATGGTTGTGCAAGGTGAGAAATAAAAGGCTTGAGTCTTTGAGAACCCATGCTGCTATGGGCTGCTGCTTTAAGAGGGATACTAGAGACATCTCCGTTCATTTCTAGGATTTCTGATTTAGGATAAGAGTACTTTTGACTTAACCAAGCCAACAAGGGTGGGGTAAGGATTCCTTGAATAGTGACTCCTGCTCCCAGTGGCTTATCTCCACTTTGAAATTAATGGGGCCTCAGGGCCTTGCAGTTAGGGGTGACACAAAAATGTACAAAGAGAGAATTTCACATTTTAGTGCATTGCCAATGATATAAAGTCATGGAAGAGAAAAGAAAAGTAGGAAGATTTAAGACTAGAAAAAGTAGTAGAAATTATCTCCGTCAGCCTTTCCTCTCAGCCTCCCAAGTCCGATAAAAGCCCTCTTTTTACATACATGTAATCTGCAGGATCTTTAATTTGTGATGACATTTGAGTAGAGAACAAGGGGAAAATTGTGAAGGGTTAAACAAAATGCTGTGACTTTTAGTTAATATTATTATTATTCTTATTTTCAGTAGTGTAGAGGTGTTGCGTTTAAATGCTATTACCGAAAGATTAAAACTTTACTCCATTAAGAAAAAAAATCACAGGGGACTCCAAAAAGCCCACAGTGTATCTCAGAACCCCCACATTTCATGGTGTTTATTACCAGAAGCCTTTCAGAAAGCAATGAGTTCGTTCTGAGCTTCTTAAAGTTTTGGGAAGGGCAGCCGAAGAATGCCATGATAGTTTCATTAAGGAATATAGAGGGTAGATTTTCACTAGAGAGGAAGTGAGACGAGCTGTCTGGGGAAAAGCAAACACTTCACACTTCAAGGTGGACTGAAATTTCTCTCTTGCCCTGCTCCTCTTCTCCCATGACCCCTGAGGTTCGTGATGCACCTTAGCTGAAGTACAGATCAAAGGAGAGGGTGACTTTTGACACAAACTGAAACCGTCCAGTTGTTTAATTATCTCTTTATGTGAAAGGCCAGGTTTTACTTTGCCTGTCTGTCAGTATAGGCAGGTGGTTATTTTCCGGGACAGGTTTATGTTACCTAACAGAGCAAAAGTGAGCCAATAGCAGGACATCTTGAAATTAATTGCCCATTTGGGAATAATTTTTATGAACAAAAATTTTTCTTAGGCATATGGAATGTAGGCGCAGCACTTTCAATTTAGCATCTGATGCTAAATGCATGCTTAGGTTTTAAAATAAAGTTCTACAATTAAATTGATAAATACCTTACTTACTCTAAAAGATTATGTGGCTGTGTTGCAGACATTAATCTTAAAAATTCTCTGCTAGGGCTGGGCGCGGTAGCTCACGCCTGTAATCCCAGCACTTTGGGAGGTCGAGGCGGGTGGATCACGAGGTCAGGAGATGGAGACCATCCTGGCTAACACGGTGAAACCCCGTCTCTACTGAAAATACAAAAAAAATTAGCCGGGCGTGGTGGCGGGCGCCTGTAGTCCCAGCTACTCGGGAGGCTGAGGCAGGAGAATGGCGTGAACCCGGGAGGCGGAGGTTGCAGTGAGCCGAGGTTGCGCCACTGCATTCCAGCCTGGGCGACAGAGCGAGACTCTGTATTAAAAAAAAAAATTCTTCGCTAGTTCTGCTTGATCATCCTCTTTATCAGGTTTACATTTTTATTTTTACCTTTTTAGTTTTTAAAAAACGATTCAGAGATGGCGGTCTCGTTATGTTGCCCAGGCTGGTCTCAAACTCCTGGCCTCAAGCAATCCTCCTGCCTTAGCTTCCCAAAGTGCTGGGATTACGGGCATGAGCCACTGCACCTGGCCAGATTTAAGTTTTAAGGACATGAAGAGATGTGGCAAGTTCAGCCCTGTTCCGGGGTGAAGTAAACATTTCCATTTGCAGTGGGGACACTCTACAAATACTGGTCTGAAGCCAAATTCAGGCCAAAGCCAGGAAGGCAACATGGTAGCTGAAAAAGTGTGGGTTCTTAAGCCAGACAAGTCATGGGCCACTTCCCAGCTGTGTGACCTTGGGTAAGGTAGTTAAATTCTTTGATCCTCAGTTTCCTCATCTGTAAAATTGTGTTCTGATACATTGCAGGATTGTCATGAGGATTATTGGTAATATACATGGAGCGGGAAGCACATGATCACTTTTTAAGGGAACTTGCAACAATGGCAAATTCTCGGGACTATACTCTACCGTAGTTCATCAGTGAGTACCCTAATTTGAAATGCAAGTCCAGCAAATTTTGGGATCATAAGAATTGTGACTTCTGGTCAAATTTTGACCCACCAATTAGATATTATGATGTAAGTAAAGTGTGTGTGAAGCATTTTTAAATCCAAAGTCTCCTGCAAAGAGTAACAAGAAGAGATAACCATATTGTCAACAATTTGTGTTTTTCTTAGGTGAACAAGTAGACTGCTTTTGTAGAAAGGGTGTAACCTATCCCAACTACTCCTTTAAATGGACCTGTTTTATGCCTCTAATACTATATGGATGCTGAGCATATTCTGTAGGAAATCTACAAATCAGTTCAAGGACAAGTTTAGGCTTGAAAATTAAAGGTCTGCACATTAGCTGAGGCATCAGTTTAGTGAAATGATGAAGCTAAAATTTTGTTTGTGTTTTATAAAACTGAAGGGTTTGTTGTGGTGACTTTAGTTTGAAACACAGAATATAAAAAAGGAAAATCTATTCTTATGATAAATATAGGTGATGATGACAGCACATGAGAGAATATACCATATTTGTGCCTATAGAAGTAGAAAGAGAGAAGGAGAAAACTCTTGCACAAGGAGTTATAAAATGCAAATTGAAGGAAAAACATTTGCTTCACAGAGAGTCTCACCAATTGTAAATCCATAGAACTTCTTATTACTGGGGTCAATGGATGGGCCTCAGGGGTTCTGGGAACTCCTTGAGGATGCAGGTATGCTTTTTTTCTTTTAATGGAAATATCCACATTTCTGGAGAAAGTCCATGACTTTCATCAGATTGTTTTTTTAAGTATGGGGGTAGGCAGCAGCTTTTGCTTTAAATATTCACCTTTTTAAAACATTTCAAATGGGTTTGTGATATCTATTAATGAAAATTGTTAAAAATTGACTATTAGTAGCCCTTGTATTATATATAGTTCGTCAATGAGCACTGTGATTTGATTGATTTATTTATTTAGAGACAGAGTTTCGCTCTTGTTGCCCAGGCTGAAGTGCAGTGATGCGATCTCAGCTCACTGCAACCTCCGCCTCCTGGGTTCAAGCGATTCTCCTGCCTCAGCCTCCTAAGTAGCTGGAAT
The DNA here is from genome assembly GCF_000001405.40 of Homo sapiens. Lineage (NCBI taxonomy): Eukaryota > Metazoa > Chordata > Mammalia > Primates > Hominidae > Homo > Homo sapiens. The sequence goes on from NC_000002.12 coordinate 88,496,024, forward strand.
TACAGGGGTGTGCCACCATGCCCAGCTAATTTTTTGTATTTTTAGTAGAGACACAGTTTCATCATGTTGGCCAGGCTGGACTTGAACTCCTGACCTCAGGTGATTCACCCGCCTTGGCCTCCCAAAGTGCAGGGATTACAGGTGTGAGCCACCGTGCCTGGCTGAGCACTGTGATTTTAAATGCAAGTCCAGTGAATTTGGGAATCATAAGAGTTGCGCCTTCTGGTCAAATTTCAACCCACCATTTGGATATAATGCTGTAAGTGAAGAGAGAAATAAGATAGTTGCAGTTTACATTGTTGCTGATGATGAATAAGATGATATATGCAAAAAAATAAAAGAATAGAAAGGTGATATATGCATAACACTCTTTAGGTCAAATGCATGGCATTGAGCCTAGAGGGCCCGAGTTGAAGTCCTGTCTCTGTTACTGCTGTGTGGTTTTTGACACGGACTCACCCTTGTTAGGATGATAAGAGCTGGTTCTCATGTGAGAATACTGTGAGAATGGAATGGGACAGTGCATGTGGATTCTTAGAACAGCTTCTAGCTCAGAGGAAATGTTCACAGATGTCTGCTGTGGTCCCTGTAAGCCAGGAGAAGGGAAGAATCTGCCACAGGAAGTCTCCAAAAGAAACAGCAGGGCATTATCCTTTTAGTATCTCCTGTGAGCTTCGGGGCCTGTTGAGCTGGACATTATCAGTTGTTTTAGGTAGAACAAATAAAACTCATTGAGTGTGGTCACCACCATCAATAGGCTTGGAAATGTGCCTCCCAGCTGGTTTTCTTGCAGTACCTCTCACGGATTCTGACCAATTAGGGCAGAGCATTACCCTGGACCAGCACAAAAGTGGCTTCTGACACCAGCTGTCAGAACCCAGTAACTGAATTGAATTCACTGAAGATGTTGGAGGTCACAAAGCAGAGTGGCTAAGTCAGCGGGGTTAGACGCTCGGCACAGCAGTTCACTAGCTGTGTAACTTAGGGCAAGTTACTTAACTCTCTGAGCATCTGCAGGATGGGGTTGATAACAGGAACCCCCTCTTTGCCCTCTCATGAGGATGAAAGGAGTTAATTCGTGCACCACGTTTTGTAGCGTCTGGCACCTAGTGTTAAATGATAGATGCTAAGCAGCATGAGTTAATAAGCTCTAACTGCCCTGTGCTGAGTTTTGTATATGAATAGCTCTTGTAAAGTAGTTCTGAGGTAGGTGCTGGTACATCTGTCTTTTACCAAAGAGGAATCTGGGGCACAAAGACTTTGAGAAAGTTACCCAAGATCAGGCAGCTAGAGAGGGTCAGATTCATCTCTAGGGGGCCCCATTGTACCCACTGCATCCAGGGGCAGGTCCCTGTTAGATCAGAAGAGTCCTATGTGCCCACCACTGGACTTGGGGGTCCCAAGTCTCTCTATATTCAAGTTGGAGGGAAGAAGAGGGAGTAAATCCCTTGGCCCCAGAAACTGTCCCTGGATCACTCAGATCTCATATGTACAAAATGGACACAAAAGCGATATCTTAGGTTTTTCTAGCACTTTCTGTGTGTAAGCACCTAGAAATATGTGCATAAGATATTTGTGCACATATGTGATAATTAATGGGTGCAATAACAGACGATTCAGTGTTTTGGCATCTAGTTATTGGGGGCCCTTGTATTATGCAGATTCAAGCCTGTGCACCAAGAGGCATCAATGCAGGGGACCCTGCGTGCTGCAGTGTAACCCTGGTGAAGGATTATAAACACAGAAGTGCATCCTGGAGGCAAGCATGTTGGAGGAGCATGCAGAGGAATGATGCTTTCAACACTGTGCTAGGGAGAAGGCCAGAGCACTCCCTCAGGAAAACATCCACCGCAGCATTCCGATGAGGTGGTATGGTTTGCCTAAGGCACTGTTCAGAGGAAGTTTCAAAGGACTAGCCTGGGAATTGAAGAACTCCCCACCCTTTTTTTTTTTTTTTTTTTTTTTTGAGACACAGTCTCCCTCTGTCAGGCTGGAGTGCAGTGGCGTGATCTTGGCTCACTGCAAGCTCCGCCTCCCAGGTTCAAGCAGTTCTCCTGCCTCAGCCTCCTGAGTAGCTGGGACTACAAGTGCGTGCCACCACGTCTGGGTAATTTTTTGTGTTTTTAGTAGAGAGGGGGTTTCACCGTGTTAGCCAGGATGGTCTTGATCTCCTGACCTCGTGATTCCCCACCCTTCTTGCAGCCCCCTGTGCACTCACTAATCTATTGAATTATGCTCGAAAGGTATTGTTCTGGAAACGTGTAGAAATAAATTCAACATTCAAGACTTCACAAGTAACAGTGGGGGAAAGGAAATAACAAGGCACAAGGACATCTCGCAGCAAGCCCTAAAACACTGACCATCTTCTTCAAATGTTTACAACATTGAAGTGTACGTGATGTTGCCATGGGTGTCACTTCTTCCAGCCTCAAGAAGGGAATGGCCTACAGGACATGAAGAATTGGCAGTATTTGAAAGGCTGACACTGGTATTGGATGGAAGTTTAGAGCTCTTTGAATTCAAACATTCATTTGGATGTCTTATGGCATCTCAAACTGAACATGGCCCATGCATAAACTAGGAAGAAAATCAAGGATGCAATTACTCTAAAAATCAGGGCAGTGGTTACCTCTATGGGATACCTGTGATCAGGAGGAACAATGAGGGTGAGTGATTTCCAGGGTTTTATTTCTTGACCTGGGTAGTGGTTAGATGCATGCAATGCATTAGAGTAATTCATTAAACTTGGCCTGGCATGTGTGGTGGCTCACGGCTGTAATCCCAGCACTTTGGGAGGCCAAGGTGGGAGGACCACTTGAGCCTAGGAGTTCGAGACCAGCCTGGGCAAAATAGGGAGACCCCATCTGTACAAAAAATAAATATGTTGTATTTGTATATACATTATTTCCATTGCTCTGTTGGCTTCTATATTTGCATATTTTAATACTTGCTTCTTTCTGTGAACTTTGTCACAGTAAGCAACAATAAAAAGGTCTGTTCGTCCACATAAGCCTGGTCTTTTGCCATTCTTCACCATTTCAGTGATTGGCACCACCATTCCCCCAAGTGACTAAGGTCTAAAACCTGGGACTCCCTTCTCCTTCCTTTCCCTAACCCTGCCTCTGATGAAATGGATTCCTCCATTCATCCCTTGTTCCCAAAGCTCTCCCCTCCCTCTGGGTCTCACTGTCTCCACTGATGCCACTCTGTCATCCTCTAAACTCCCTACATGCACCCTTCCTCCCCACAGAGATGGTAAACTTTTATAAAAACGTTTTATTTTGAAAATGATTATAGATTTACAGGAAGCTGCAAGAACAGAAGAGAGAGGTCTCACAGATCCTTCATCCAGCTTCCCCCAATGTCACTGTTTTACATAAGTATATTATACTGTCAGTACCAGGAAATGGACATGGGTACAATCCATGGAGCTTATTCAGATTTCAGTTGTACCTGCACTCATTTTTGTGTGCTGTGTGTGTGTATCAGTCTGTGTAATTTTATCCTAAGTGTGGATTCATGTAGCTACCACCACAATCAAGATACAGAATTGTTCTATCACCAGATATTTCCCTTGTGCTACCCTTTATAGTCATACCCAGTCTACTTCTCCTCCCTTGTCCCTAACCCCAGGCAACCACTAATCTCAATAATTTTGTCATTTTGAGAGTGTCATATAAATGGAATCATGCATATGTGACCTTTTGAAGTTGGCTTTTTTTTCTCAGCATAATGCCCTAGAGATCCATCCAAGTGGTCGTGTATATCAGTGTTTCTTTTTATTGCTGTGTAATATTCTATAGTATGAATGTAGAATAATCTTTTTAAAGCAGATTGGTCCCAGCTACTTGGGAGGCTGAGGGAGGAGAATTGCTTGAACCCAGGAGGTGGATGTTGCATTGAGCTGAGATGGTGCTACTGCACTCCAGCCTGGGTGACAGAGTAAGACTCTGTCTAAAAAAAAAACCAAAACGCAGACAACAGCAGATTGGAACCTGTCACTTCCATGTTCAAATGGACCTTTCCTATGGCACTAAGAACAAAACATATGCTCCTCACCTAGTGGGCCTCCCTGCCTGGCTGGCAGCTGCCTCCCTATCTTCTCTCTCTCTCTTTTTTTGAGATGGAGTCTCACTCTGTTACCCAGGGTGGAGTGCAGTGGCACAATCTCAGCTCATTGCAACCTCTGCCTCCTGGGTTCAAGCGATTCTCCTGCCTCAGCCTCCCATATAGCTGAGACTACAGTCATGTGCCACCACGCCCAGCTGATTTTGTATTTTTAGCAGAGATGGTGTTTCACCATGTTGGCCAGACTGGTCTCGAACTCCTGACCTCAAGTGATCTGCCCGCCTTGGCCTCCCAAAATGCTGGAATTATAGGCGTGAGCCGCCATGCCCGACCCCTGTCTTCTCTTGATACCTGTCCCATCCCCCTCATATACACAGGCCTCTGTCATTCCTAAAACCCAACCGGCTGTTTCTCTGTGCTGCTCACCAGGATGACTCCCCCCACCTCTCCTTGTCTTCCAGTCCTTGCTGAAATGTCACCTCCTCAGAGAGGCCTTGCCTGCACTTTCCTGTACAAATGCTGACACCTACCCGTTTTTCTGCTTATTTTCTCCCTTGCATTACTTGTACTTTGTCAGAATTTAATTTTTTGTCTACTTGTTTAGTGTCTGATACTCTGACCCCTAGTACAGTGACCAGTGTGTAACAGACACTGAGAAAGAAATAAGCTGAATAAAGGAGTTGATTTGTCTCTGAAAGAGGATGCTGATGTAACATCCACCTGTGTAACATCCACCCCTCTGGGTAATCAAGTGTTGGAATCTAAGCTATTGCAGGCATGGATTAATAATGTACTTGTGTATGCCTGGCCTTTTTCCAGAAAGGGATTCAAGGTGGCTTGCAAAACTGCAGATGATGCAACCAGATAAAAAATAATGAGTGAAAATAAGAATGGGAAAAGATGAAGCAAGCCCACACCTGGAAGAAAATAAGAGTAGGGAAAGATGAAGATGGACCACGCCCGGCAGGTGGGATGCAGGGCTGGCAGGACCCCTGGTTGCCTGCTCTTCAGCAGCCAGCAACCTAGTGCCTGTAGCTGGACAAGCAAAGGAAGACACAAGCAAGGTGGCTTCAGGTCATGATGAAGGATATGAAGAAAATAAAATTTAAACATGGTCCATGAAATTAAAAGCAAGCATATATATATATACATATATATATATATATATATGTATATATATATATATTTTTTTTTCCCCCTGAAGAAACAGTTATTCCTGATTCTGGGAATTGAGAGAAAGATTTACCATGAGCCTTAATTTTTTTTTTTTTCCATCATGACCTGAGTGGTAGTGTGATCCTAGTTCACTGCAGCCTCAGACTCCTGGGCTCAAGTGATTCCCCTGCTTCAGTCTCCCAAAGTGCTGGAATTACAGGTGTGAGGCAGTGCCCCGGCCAAGTTTTTTTTTTTTTTTTTTTTTTTGAGACGGAGTCTCGCTCTGTTGCCCAGACTAGAGTGCAGTGGCACAATCTCAGCAACTTCTGCCTCCTGTGTTCAAGCGATTCTCCTGCCTCAGCCTCCTGAGTAGCTGGGATCACAGGCGCCCGCCACCATGCCTGGCTACTTTTTTTGTATTTTCAGTAGAGACGGGGTTTCACCATGTTGGCCAGGCTGGTTTTGAACTCCTGACCTCACGTAATCCACCCCCCTCGGCCTCCCAAAGTGCTGGGATTAAAGCGTGAGCCACCGCGCCCGGCCCCCTGGCCAAGTCTTAATATTTTTATTTTTCTGTTAATTTTTTTTGGAAGATCTATTATGGTTGGAGCTCCAGGAAATCATGAAGAAAAAAATGACAAGGCACGCTGCCCTCTGGAAATTTATGGGGAAAACAGGTCTCAGCTACCGATGATCGCTCCACCACCCCTACCCCTGCTCCTCCTCATATCAGTAGGCCCTGTTGCTTTCACCTCTTACTCGTCTTCTGATTAAATGAACTGCCTAGAGTAATACCAGTTTAGTAGCAAGCTGGGCCAAGAAAGTGAGTGTCTGGATGGTAGATCCACTTTCTTCCTGTAACATCCACCCCTCTGGGTAACCAAGTGTTGGAATCTAGGCTGTTACAGACACTACCATAGGCCCCTTGTGGACCAGCAACGTTTGTTTATCAGTTGAATCCACTTGAACCCACCACCCTCCCACATACTTATCTGAGTTTTGAGTCCCTCCTCTGGTTCCCCTAGCACCCTGGGCTCAGCCCCATTCTCCTGCATTGCAAGTGCCTCTTGGAGATGACTCTTTTTTTTTTTTTTTGAGACTGAGTCTGGCTCTGTTGCCCAGGCTGGAGTGCAATGGCGCGATCTCAGCTCACTGCAGCCTCCGCTTCCAAGGTTCAAGCGATTCTCCTGCCTCACCCTCCTGAGTAGCTGGGATTACAGGAGCCCACAACCACGCCCAACTAATTTTTGTATTTTTAGTAGAGATGGGGTTTCACCATGTTGGTCAGGCTGATCTCGAACTCCTGGCCTCAAGCTATCCACCTGCCTCAGCCTCCCAAAGTGCTGGGATTACAGGCATGAGTCACCGCACCCGCCGGAGATGACTCTTTTATGTCATGGCGTCACTAAGCGCATTCTGGAAGCACCTGCAACAGAGTCATCTGGGTGCTTCAGCAGCGGCTGCCAGGCGGTTAGTGTTTCATGGTGTTGCTCACAGCAGGTTGGGAATGTGTTTTTGGTAAGGACCCTGACCTAAAGAGATGTGGTCGAATAGGGTCCTCTCCAAATTCATATCCATTTGGAATCTCAGGTTGTGAGCTTGTTCGGAAATATGGTCTTTGCAGATGTAATTAAGGTAAGAATTGAGATGATATCATACCGGATTAGAGTGGGATGTAAATCCAGTGAGTGTCCTTATAAGAGATGGAAAAGGGTTAGCTGTGGTGGCTCACGTCTGTAATCCCAATGAGAGGTGACAGCATGCTGGCAGCCCTCGCTCGCTCTCGGCGCCTCCTCGGCCTTGGCGCTCACTCTGGCCGCGCTTGAGGAGCCCTTCAGCCCGCCGCTGCACTGTGGGAGCCGGCTCCCTCAGCTTGCGGGGAGGTGTGGAGGGAGAGGCGCGGGCCGGAACCGGGGCTGCGCGCCGCGCTTGCGGGCCAGCGCGAGTTCTGGGTGGGCGTGGGCTCGGCGGGCCCCGCACTCGGAGCGGCCGGCCGGCCCCTCCGGCCCGGGGAAGTGAGGGGCTTAGCACCTGGGCCAGCAGCTGCTGTGCTCAACTTCTCGCGGAGCCTTAGCTGCCTCCCCGCCGGGCAGGGCTTGGGAACTGCAGCCCACCATGCCTGAGCCTCCCCTCTCCGCCGTGGGCTCCTGCGCCGCCCGAGCCTCCACGACGAGCGCCGCCCCCTGCTCCAGGGCGCCCGGTCCCATCGACCACCCAACCGCTGAAGAGTGCAGGCGCACAGCGGGGACCGGCAGGCAGCTCCACCTAGGGCCCTGGTGTGGGATCCGCGGGGTGAAGCCAGCTGGGCTCCTGAGTCTGGTGGGGACTTGGAGAATATTTATGTCTAGCTAAGGGATCGTAAATACACCAATCAGCACTCTGTATCTAGCTCAAGGTTTGTAAACACACCAATCAGCACCCTGTGTCTAGCTCAGGGTTTGTGAATACACCAATCGGCACTCTGTGTCTAGTTACTCTGGTGGGGACTTAGAGAACCTTTATGTCTAGCTAAGGGATTGTAAATACACCAACAGACACTCTGTATCTAGCTAATCTAGTGGGGAGGTGGAGAACTTTTGTGTCTATCTCAGGGATTTAAACGCACCAATCAGCCCCCTGTCAAAATGGACCAATCAGCTCTCTGTAAAACAGACCAATCGGCTCTCTGTAAAGTGGACCAATCAGCAGCATGTGGGTGGGGCCAGATAAGAGCATAAAAGCAGGCTGCGGAGCTAGCAGCGGTAAGCTGCTCGGGTTCTTTTCCACGGTGTGGAGGGGTAGTTCTTTTGCTCTTTGCAATAAATGTTGCAGCTGCTCGGCCTTTAAACCCACACTGCTTTTATGAGTTGTAACACTCACTGTGAAGGTCTGCAGCTTTATTTCTGAAGCCAGCGAGACCGTGAACCCACCGGGAGAAAGGAACAACTCCTTACGCCCCGCCTTAGGAGCTGTAACACTCACCTCGAAGGTCTACAGCTTAACTCCTGAGCCAGCGAGACCAAGAACCCACCAGAAGGAAGAAACTCTCAACACGTCTGAACATCAGAAGGAACAAACTCCGGACACGCTGCCTTTAAGAACTGTAATACTCGCTGCGAGGGTCCGCGGCTTGGTTCTTGATGTTAGTGAGACCAAGAAGCTACCGATTCCGGACCCACCAACACTTGGAGAGGCCAAGGCAGGAGGATTGCTTGAGCCCTGGAGTTTGAGACCAGCTGGGCTACATGGTGAAACCCCGTCTCTACAAAAAAATACAACAACAAAAAATTAGCTGGGCATGTTGGTGCATGCCTGCGGTCCCAGCTACTCAAGAGGTGGGAGGATTGCTTGAGCCGAAGAGGTCAAGGGTGAAGTGAGCCATGATCGTGCTATTGTACTCCAGCCTGGGTGACAAAGCAAGACCGTGTCTTGGGGGAAAAAAATGTATTGAAAAAGTAGGAGACAGTTGGAAAAGGGCTCACAGAGAAGACAGCCATGAGAAGACTGAAGTGGGTAGAGATTGAAGTCATGCTGCCACAAGCCAAAGAACATCTGAGGATGCCAGAAGCTGAAAGGGGCGAGGAAGAGACAAGGGAGTCTCCCCAAGAGCCTTCAGAGGGAGCATGCCGTTGCTGATACATAGATGTTGGTCTTCTAGCCTACGGAATTGTAAGTGAATGCATTTTCTGTTACCTTAAGTCACTTAGTGGTAATTTGTTCTGGCAGCAACGGCTTCCCACTCCTGGGGGAAACGAATGCAAGGGACGTCCCCCTCTAGAGGGTTTAACTGCTCAGGCTATCACTACCATGCACAAACAGCTGATTATGATGGCAGGGAAATAAATTTGATAGCCCCAACAGAGTGTGCCCAGTCTAGGTGAAGGATGGAGTATTACAGAATACATGCTCTCATCCATTAAACATTAAAGAAGGCAGACTCACTTTGCAAAGCTTATTGAAGGAAAGTGAAACTTGTGAGGGAAATCAGATGGTCAAGACTCAATACTAGAAGTAAACTTGGAGTATTTGGAAGAAGGTAGCCTAAGATGGGGCAACTCAGGGCCTGAAACAGGCCAGACACATTCTAACAGGAGAGGTAGAGTGTGATGCAGGACAGAGACCAGGAAAGGATTGGACCAGCTTTGAGACTGCTCCCTCACCCCCTGACTAAGGCTGTTACCAGGTGCTTTGTAAGAGAGTAGATATCCCTGTGTGGATTGAAATTGATTGATTGATTGACAGGGTCTCGCTCTGTTGCCCAGGCCGGAGTGCAGTAATGGGATCATAGCTGGCTGCAACCTTGAACTCCTGGGCTCAATTGATCCTCCTACCTCTGCCTCCCGAGTAGCTAGGACTACAAATACGTGCCACCACACCCGGATAATTTTTGTATTTTTTGTAGAGATGGGGCTCTTGCTATGTTGCCCAGACTGGTCTTGAACTCTTGGGCTCATATGATTCTCCCAATTTGGCTTCCCAAAGCTCTGAGATTATGGGTGTGAGCCACCATGTCTGGCCAAAATATGTTTGTTGAGCATCCACTTTGTGTGCCAGACTCAGATCTAGCATGGAACATCGGAGGGCCAAATGCATTTCTTACCCTCACAGAGCTGGTAATAATGTATCAGGAATATTTTGGTTGCAAGTAACAGAAAACTCAAACTGACTTAAACAATAAAAGGAACATATTATTTCCAGTAATTCCCAAGGCATTTGGGGCTTCCAGCACCATTCAGCCAGGCTCCTACTTGGTTTCTTTGTGATTCTCTTGGGCCTTCTCTCTTCTGTGTGTCAGTTCCAGCCTAGGGTTGACTTCTTTTTTGTTCATGGTTTCAGGATGGTTACCAGCAGTATCTGCAGCTGCTTGCTTTACACTGGGGAGGTGGGAGGGGGCATTCTCCTGCAATCATACATCCACGTGATTGAATCCACAGATCCAAGCTCATCCCTGACTCAATTATAAGGCAAAGGAAGTAAGATATCCTGATTGGTTTAGACCAGTGCTACTCTTAAGTGTGGCCTCCCGGCCAGCAGTATCAGCATCCCCTGGGAATTTGCTAGAAGTGCAAATCCTTGGGATCAGAAGTGGAATCAGCAACTCTGGAGGGGGAGGGCTCAGCAACCTGTGCTCAGCAAGCCCTCCAGGTGATTCTAATGCACGCTGTAGTTTACTCTTGAACTAATCAGATCCCATTTGTGGAGCTGGTGGGGAAGGTTATTTTACCCAAATTCAATGGTGGAAGGATGGAATGGATATTGGGGAGGCAATCATAGCCCCTATCCTTAGTGATTAAGGCAAATATCATAGTTTATTGCATTCTTTATTGAATTCTTAATAGGTGCCAGGTCACAGCGCTAATCAATTTACATGCATGTTCTCATTTAATTCTCACCACAAACCTGTGAAGTAGGTACTATTATTGTCTACACCAATTGAGAAAACTGAGGCCCAATGTAAAGTAACTTATTTAAGGCTTTGTCGCTAAGTGTCAAGGCTGGAAGTTGAACTCCCGCGAACTGACCCCAGAGGCTGTGTACAAATAAACAGCCAGCCACCAGGACATGTGATAAGCATGTGACTGACGGAGGAAGTCCAGGTGCCTCAGGAGTACCACAAAGGCACCTAGCATGCTCTAGTGGGCATCAAGGAGAGCTTCCTGGAAGAAGTGACCAGATGGTGAGGAGTTTGCTAGCCAGATGAAGAGGAGGAAGTGTCTAAAGGCCGAGAGCCAAGAGACGGCTTAGCATGTCTGAGGGTGTGATTTGAATGTGATGCTGTGAGTGGGAGAAAAGAGGGGTGACTGAGAGGTGAGCAGGGACCAGAACTAGAAGGGCCATGCGGACTAAGTGAGGAGGTTCAACTTTATCCTTAGGGCAGTAGGGCACATCTGAGGTTCTGACCAGCATGAATACGTTGGACTTGGCCTTTAGAAAAATTGAGCAGAGGCAGAAAAGCTATTTGGAAACCCATTGCATGGGTCCATCTCAGTAGAAATGATGGTGCCTGGGCAAAGAGCAGAGAAATTGGGCATGGATATATAAATCCTATATATATATATAGAGAGAGAGAGAGAGATACATATAGATATATATATACACACACACATATACACATATACATACATATATATATAGAGTTGGGTTTTGGCAGGAATGGGGGATATGGATGGCTACAATGTATTGAGCTGTACCAGGTGCTTTGTATGTACTGTTTCTAATTCATTCAACTACTCTACAAGGTAGGCATTTTTATCTGCATTTTCTGAAAGGGGATGAGGATCTAAATTACCTGCCCAGGAATCACACTAACAAACGATAGAACACTGAGTTTAGGCTGGGCGCAGTGGCTCACACCTGTAATCCCAGCACTTTGGGAGTCTGAGGCAGGTGGATCACTTCAGGTCAGGAGTTCAAAACTAGCCTGTCCATCGTGGTGAAACCCTGTCTCTACTAAAAATACAAAATTAGCCGGATGTGGTGGCGCGTGCCTGTAATCCCAGTTACTCGGGAGGCTGAGGCAGGAGAATCACTTGCACCTGGAAGGCGGAGGTTGCAGTGAGCCAAGATTGTGCCACTGCACTCCAGCCTAGGTGACAGAGTGAGACTCCATCTCAAAAACACAAAAAAAGAACACTGAGTTTAAATCTACGCCTGTGTTTTCTGCATAGAGTCATCATTAGGAATGGCTATGGATCAGGTTTTTGTGCATTATTTCTAATTCTTCATGAAGTTATATTTATGTAATTGTATATATTATACATACATCATATGAATAGGTAAACCTGTCCTTTGTTCACTAATAAATTCCCAATGATTGGTACGTAGCAGGTGCTCAATAAATATTGGAAGAAAGGAAGGAAGGGGCTGGGCGCGGTGGCTCACGCCTGTAATCCCAGCACTTTGGGAGGCTGAGGCAGGTGGATCACCTGAGGTCAGGAGTTCAAGACCAGCCTGGCCAACATGGGGAAACCCTGTTGCTAATTTTGTATCTACAAAAATACAAAAATTAGCTGGACATGATGGTGTGTGCCTATAATCGCAGCTACTTGGGAGGCTGAGGTGGGAGAATCATTTGAACCCGGAGGCAGAGGTTGCAGTGAGCTGAGATCGCGCCATTGCACTCCAGCCTAAGCAACAGAGTGAGACTGTGTCTCAAAACAAACAAAAGGAAGGAAGGGAGAAAAGGAAGAAAATGATATAAAAGCTGTTACACATAGGTGGTTAAATGGTTTTAACCAATGATAGTTACACTCAAGATTTTGCTGGGAAGAGTAGGGAAAAACAAAATTTTATCTCTAAATACTACATATTACAAATGAATACAAATAGGAAATATCTGAGAACTGAAGATAAACATATATATACATATTTGAGCTATTTAATATATAATAAAGGAATTGATAAATGGCTTGTATCTATGTAATTTGTCTTGAAGTTTTCTTATTTCTTAATGTTATTGTTTTTGGGGTTGCCTTATGTCTAATATTGCTGGAATATACACAGAGGAGCCTAGTGAAAATAAACTTTTATTTATTTCTAATTATTTTCGAAACCAGGGTAATGGAATAGATAGTCACTTGACTGCTTGCAAAAATGCTTCACCCAAAGATATAATCAGACAAAATGGGATTCTGAAAGACTCGGCCATGGGCAAAATATCTTCAAGGTCTTCCTCAGTTTCCAAACTTTAGGGCACAAAATAATTCCCTTGAGAGCTTGTTTAAAATGATGATTCCTGTGCCTCACTCCAGCCTCCCTCATCAAATTCTGATTTGGAAGATATGAAGTGGGGACTTGATATTCTGTATTCTTAGCAATCAGCACTGGAAATCCAAGGACCACACTTGAAGATCCATCAACTTACCTTGAAAGTGTTTGTGACCAGAAACATCAGGCTTTTTCTCAACCTCTTGCTGCCAGGTTTGCATTGAGGTAGGGTGGGGGCTGACCTCAAAGTGACTGACCGATCTGTCAACACGATTTCTGGGGAAGGTGTTCCTCTCTGCACTTCAATTCCAGTGCGATGGCATGAGGGAGATTCTCTCATAGATTACGCCTCCCGCGCCAGGTCAGACAGGGAGAGAACGGGGGTGTGACTTACTGATTACCTTGCCCTTTCAACATCTAAATGGCCCGACCCAGCACTGACCCTGGACTCATGTCCCAAAAAGCATTTGAAAGAATTTAGAAAAGCTGACAGAAGTACGAGAAGACAAAATAAGCTGTTAATATCTTGCAGAAACTGTTAGAATAAGATCTTTTAGGGACAGTATCCTTCTTCCAGTTATTTTGGGCATAGATCACATTATCATCATAACTACCATCGTCATCATCAACAACAGCAATCAGTAGTTATGGAGCACTCAAAGGATGAGGGCTATTTTTCTTGACAGGATGTCTGTTGCTCAGGCTGGTCTCAAACTCCTGGCATTAAGCAGTCCTCCCATTTCAGCCTCCCAAAGTGCTAGGATTATAGGCTTGAGCCCCTGTGCCTGGCCTAGGACTGTCATTTTGTATTCTATTTCCAGGCCTTTGGGCCAAAGGATTTTATTCAGGTATCCCCGAGGCTACCAAAATTATTTTAGACATTTTCACAGAAATGGTTTCTCGCATGGACATGGACATCCTTCTGTTTCTGTTCATTTGAAAATCTATTTTCTTTAAAGACATGTTAGCATTTCTTTTTTTTTTTTTTTTTTTTTTTTGAGACGGAGTCTCTCTCTTTCGCCCAGGCTGGACTGCAGTGGCACTATCTCGGCTCACTGCAAGCTCCGTCTCCTGGGTTCACGCCATTCTCCTGCCTCAGCCTCCCGAGTAGCTGGGACTACAGGTGCCTGCCACCACGCCCGGCTAATTTTTTGTATTTTTAATAGAGATGGAGTTTCACTGTGTTAGCCAGGATGGTCTTGATCTCCTGACCCCGTGATCCGCCCACCTCGGCTTCCCAAAGTGCTGGGATTACAGGCGTGAGCCACCGCGCCCGGCCAAGACATGCTAGCATTTCATAGTATGCGTGCACTCGTATTCTTTTTTTCCTATTGTTTGCCTATAAATTCCCTGGCATGCACCCATATTTTTAAAATCAGTTTCTGCTGGTGTAGATTTGGGTTGTCACAGGTTTTTGCTAATTCAAGCAGTGCCATGACAAACCATGTCATGCCTGTCTTTGCACAAGTGAGTGATCATTGATGTAAGACCAACACCTAAAAGTGTAATTGCTATGTCAAAGGGTAGAGTCATTTACATTTTTGGCAGGTACCTCCAATTGCCTTCAAAAAAGTTATGGTGGTTTATACTTATATCGATAGTGATGAGCAAGTGCCTATTTCCTCATGTCAGTACTGGAAAATTACATTTTAAACGTTCTCTTGGCACTCCGATAGGTGGAAAATCGCATCATATGTTCATTGGCACTCCTTTTATTTACAACAATGTATTTATGGGTCATTTGTGTATTTTTATTCTGTGAAATGCCTAATCCTTTGCTAAACTTATGAAGATATTAAAATTACTTTAAACAGAGGTTAATTTAAAAAATATTTTTAAGTTTTAAAATAGTAAGCTTTGTTTATTAGGAAAATGTATGATATGAAGGTACTGAACATGTCTCATTTATGTCATGTCATTTGATCCCAGAGTCATAGAATAGAAAGAAGCTGATAATCAGGATGAAGTTTTTTTTTTTTTTTTTTTTTTTGAGACTTGCTCTGTTGCCCAGGCTGGAGTGGAGTGGCGCGATCTCGGCTCACTGCAAGCTCCGCCTCCCGGGTTCATGCCATTCTCCTGCCTCAGCCTCCCGAGTAGCTGAGACTACAGGCGCCTGCTACCACACCCGGCTAGTTTTTTTTGTATTTTTAGTAGAGACAGGGTTTCACTGTGTTAGCCAGGATGGTCTCGATCTCCTGACCTTGTGATCCGCCCGCCTTGGCCTCCCAAAGTGCTGGGATTACAGGCGTGAGCCACTGTGCCCGGCCACTGAAGTTTTAAAATGGTTTTTGAGTCTTGTGGAAAAAATTGAAGCTTTTCTGAACAAGAAAATAAACAATTGCAGTCTCTCTGCCAGTCACTATGCTAGACATGACGACTTTTCTACCATTGGATCTTCTCAACAATTATTTGGTGCTGTTATGATTCTCACCCTCACTTTTTTTTTTTTTTTAGATGGAGTCTTGCTGTGTCACCAGGCTAGAGTGCAGTGGTGTGATGTCAGCTCACTGCAACCTCCACCTCTCAGGTTCAAGCTATTCTCCTGCCTCAGCCTCCCGAGTAGCTGGGATTACAGGTGCCCACCACCACGCCCAGCTAATTTTTTGTATTTTTAGTAGAGATGGGGTTTCACCATGTTGACCAGGCTGGTCTTGAACTCTTGACCTCAGGTGATCCGCCTGCCTCGGCCTCCCAAAGTGATGGGATTACAGGCGTGAGCCACCGCGCCCGGCCTTTTTTTTTTTTTTTTTTTTTTTTTTGAGACAGTCTCACTCTATTGCCCAAGCTGAAGTGCAATGGTGCAATCTAGGCTTACTGCAGCCTCCACCTCCCAAGTTTAAGTGATTCTCCTGCCTCAGCCTCCTGAGTAGCTGGGACTACAGGCACCCACCACCACACTTGGCTAATTTTGTATTTTTAGTAGTGATGGGGTTTCACCAGGTTTGCCAGGCTGGACACGAACTCCTGACCTCAAGTGATCCGCCCGGCTTGGGCTCCCAAAATGTTGGGATTACAAGCGTGAGCCACCGTACCCAGCCTAACTCTCACTTTTAAAGAGAATGCTTTCCCCTTTCTGTTGAGGAGATCTGACAACACAAAAATGAAGCAGGCAAAGATGATGCCAGTGACACTTTGAGTTCCCAACCACAGCATAGCCTTGACGATGCAGTGTGTTTGTTAGAGCTCCTCAGCAGAAAGGGGGAGAGCATTCTCTTTAAAAGTGAGGGTGAGAATCATAACAGCATCAAAGAAGCGTAAAGATCCAGTGGTAGAACAGTCGCCACGTCTAGCACAGTGACTGGTAGACAGACTAATTCTTAGTTTATTTTCTTATTCTGAAAAGCTTCAGTTTTTTCCACAAGACTCAAAAACTGTTTTAAAAATTCAGCCTGATTATCAGCTTCTTTCTTTTTTCTTTTCTTTTCCTTTTTTATTTTGAGACAAAGTCTCGCTCTGTCACCCAGGCTGGAGTGCAATGGCGTGAAGTCGGCTCACTGCAAGCTCCGCCTCCTGGATTCACACCGTTCTCCTGCCTCAGCCTCCCGGTAGCTGGGACTACAGGCACCCGCCACTCATGTCCAGCTAATTTTTTGTATTTTTAGTAGAGATGGGGTTTCACCGTGTTAACCAGGATGGTCTCGAGCTCCTGACCTCGCAATCCACCCGCCTCGGCCTCCCAAAGTGCTGGGATTACAGGCGTGAGCCACCGTGCTGGCCAATTATCAGCTTCTTTCTATGGGATTTCAATTGAATTGAATGACATTTCCTTCTTACTGGGAGAGGCAGTCTGAGAAACAGATTGGATACTGAAACACTGGGATGTTCAATAGGATGTCAGTGACTTCCATCCAAAGATCATTAGGGACCCAACTGGAATTGAACAAATTGAGTTTATTTCTAGTAGCAAATAGGGAAAACACATACAATGGGAAGCTTTTGGAATGGGGTGTTAGAAAGTATCTATAATTGGGCTGGGTGTGGTGGCTCATGCCTGTAATCCCAGGACTTTGGGAGGCCAAGGTGGGTGGATCATGAGGTCAGGAGTTCAAGACCAGCCTGGCCAACATGGTGAAACCTCATCTCTACTAAAAATACAAAAATTAGCTGGGTATGGTGGCATGCGCCTGTAATCCCAGCTGCTCGGGAGGCTGAGGCAGGAGAATCACTTGAACCTGGGAGGCAGAGGTTGCAGTGAGCCGAGATCACGCCACTGCACTATAACCTGGGCAGCAGAGCAAGACTCCATCTCAAAAAAAAAAAAAAGTATCTATAATTGGCCGGGGACAGTGGCTCATGCCTATAACCCCAGCACTTTGGGAAGCTGGGGCTGGTGAATTGCTTGAGCCTAGGAGTTAGAGACCAGCCTGGCCAACATGGGAAATCCGTGTCCCTATAGAAAATACAAAAATTAGCTGGGCATGGTGGCATACATCTGTGGTCCAAGCTACTTGGTAGGTTGAGGTGGGAGGATTGCCTGAGCCAGGGAGGTTGAGGCTGTAGTGAGCCGTGATTGCACCACTGCACTCAGCCTGGGTGACAGAGTAAGACCCTGTGTCAAAAAAAAAAAAAAAAATTACAGGATTCGAGCTTGTGTCAGGTGATTTGGGGGAGGGTTTAAGAGAGTCGGGTTTTGCTCTGGATTATATGCTGTCTGGAAGCAGATGTAACTCTGTGGTCTTATTTTTTATTTATTTATTTTTTTGAGATGGAGTCTTGTTCTTTCGCCCAAGCTGGAGTGAAGTGGTGCAATCTCAGCTCACTGCAATCTCTGCCCCTGGGGTTCAAGCGATTCTCCTGCCTCAGCCTCCCGAATAGCTGGGATTACAGGCACCTGCTACCACGCCCGGCTAAGTTTTGTATTTTTAGTAGAGATGGGGTTTCGCCATGTTGGCCAGGCTGGTCTCGAACTTCTGACCTCAGTTGATCCACCCGCCTTGGCCTTCTAGAGTGCTAGGATTACAGGCGTGAGCCACCATGCCTGGCCTGATAGTTCTTATCTATAAGGCAGGAGGAGTAAGTCAAGGCTAAAGAAGCAGCAGTTACCATTAGGCTGGATAGGGAAGTTTTTGGTTATTTTTGTGTCTGTCTTGGACAATGTTCATGTTTTGTCTGTGTTGAGACATGGTTATGGAGGAGTCTTGTTTTTGTCTTCATCCATCATGGTCACAACGGTCTTGTCTGATGTTGATGCTCTGTGAAGTTGTTTATGCCCCGTAGGAGAACACCAGAGCTTCCAGATCAGGAGCCACTTTTCTATTAGAATGTTTTAGAAATTGTTTAAAATAAAAACCATCCCCCAAATTCCAGCATATAGATTGCCCTCTTTAGATCTTTTTCTCACCACGCATGCAGAGGCCATAGACACTGTGGTTGAAAGTGTGAACTCTGATTCCAGGCAGCTGAGGCTGGAATCCTGCTCCTGTCACTTCTTAACTGTGTGTGAACCTGAGCAAGTTATTTACTCTGATGGCTAATTTTATGTGTCAACTTGCCTGGGATAAGGGATGCCCAGATAGCTGGTAAAACACTATTTCTGGGTATGTCTCTGGGGGCATTTCCAGAAGAGATTAGCATTTCAATTAGTAGACCAAGTACAGGTGAACACCCTTCTCAATGTGGGGAGGTATCATCCAATCCAGTGGGGACCTAAACAGAATAAAAAAGCAGAAAAAGGGCAAATTTGCTGTCTTGCTGTTCAAGCTGAAACATCTGTCTTCTCCTGCCCTTATGTACATGGGCGCTTCTGGTTCTCAGGCCTTCAGACTCAGACTGAATTATACCACCAGTTTACCTGGTTCTGCAGCTTACTGATGGCAAAGTGTGGGACTTCTTATCTCTATAATCATGTGAGCCAATTCCTATAATCTCTCTCCATGTATATAGGTATGTATGGATATGTATATGTGTGTGTGTGTGTGTGTATGTGTATATACATACACACATACAGGTTCTGTTTCTCTGGAGAACCCACTTACAAAATGGGAAGAATAAAAAGGACCTATATTGTACAGTTAGGGTGATTTTTTTTTTTTTTTTTTTTTTTTTGAGATGGAGTCTTTTTCTTTTGCCCAGGCTGGAGTGCAGTGGCGCTGTCTTGGCTCACTGCAGGCTCCGCCTCCCAGGTTCCCGCCATTCTCCTGCCTCAGCCTCCCGAGTAGCTAGGACTGCAGGTGCCCACCACCACGCCCAGCTAATTTTTTGTATTTTTGGTAGAGATGGGGTTTCACTGTGTTAGCCAGGATGGTCTCGATCTCCTGACCTCGTGATCCGTCCGCCTCGGCCTCCCAAAGTGCTGGGATTACAGGCATGAGCCACCGCGCCCGGCATTTTTTTTTTTTTTTTTTTTTTGAGATGGAGTCTTGCTCTGTCTTTAAGGCTGAAGCACAGTGGCACAATCTTGGCTCACTGCAGCCTCCGCCTCCCACGTTCAAGCAATTCTCCTGCCTCAGCCTCTGGAGTAGCTGAGATTATAGGTGTGCACCACCATGCCCAGCTAATTTTTTTTTTTTTTTTTTTTTGAGACAGAGTTTGGCTCTTGTTGCCTAGGCTGGAGTGCAATGGCACGATTTCAGCTCACTGCAACCTCCGCCTCCTGGGTTCAAGCGATTCTCCTGCCTCAACCTGCCAAGTAGCTGGGATTACAGGTGTGCACCACCACTCCCGACTAATTTTGTATTTTTGGTAGAGATGAGGTTTCACCATGTTGGCCAGGCTGGTCTTAAACTCCTGACCTCAGATGATCCACCCACCTCAAAGAGGGTGTTGGGATTACAGGCGTGAGCCACCACGCTCGGCCTAGGGTGATGATTAAGTGAATCAAATCCACACAAAGCTGTCAGGACCGTACCCAGCACAGAGGATTGCCTTGTTGTTACTGTTACTACTGAATGTCCAGTCAATTCTCAAGTGCCTGGGGAGTTGTAGGAGCCTCTGGCTGTTGTCATTTCTTCTTTTTTGAGATGGAGTCTTACTCTGTTACCCAGGCTGGAGTGCAGTGCTATGATCTCAGCTCACTGCAACCTCTGCCTCCTGGGTTCAAGCAATTCTCCTGTCTCGGCGTCCCGAGTAGCTGGGACTACAGGCGCATGCCACCGTGCCCAGCTAATTTTTTGTATTTTTAGTAGGGACCGGGTTTCACCATATTAGTCAGGCTGGTCGTGAACTCCTGACCTCAGGTGATCCACCTGCCTCAGCCTCCCAAAATACTGGGATTATAGACGTGAGCCACCGTGCCTGGCCGTCATTTCTTCTGTATTCTCTTCTTTCCTGTCTGTGCTGCATACTTACCCCACACAGTTCCTTTTGAAAGGTCCCTTTCATCATGTTACTGTTGAATGACATGATCCATGCTCACTCTCATTTATTGAGCATGTACTGTACATCAGGCATTGGGCTGGGCAGGGTTTTCCCAGAGTTTTACTTTATTCTCCTGCAGGGCAGGCATTTTTAGCCCTACTTTACCACTTCAGAAGGAAACCGAAGAGAGAATATAAGTAACTTACCCAAAGACACACAGTTTGTAAGTGGTAAAGCTGAGTTCAAGTGCAAAATCATCTGACTCTAAAGCTTTTTCCTCTCTGCATTTAGCCTCCCCCATGTAAGTCCAGCACTGAAGGTCTTCATTGCACAGCCCCAGATGCCTTTCCAGCCTGACTTTTAAATATCCCCTATATAGTCAAAGAGCATTATGGAGGGTCTAGCAGGCTCAGAGGAAGTCAAGAGGAAAAAGGCAGTTCAAATATTTTTTTGTGGGGGAAGCAAAAAAAAAAGCACAACTAAACAAAGACATGGACATGGCATAAAGTAAGTGACAAATATCTGCTGAAGTGTCATAAATGTTCAGAGAAAAGGGATGTAGGTGAGAATGAGTAGTTAGGAAGTAGTTCCCACCAGAAGCCAGGGAGTGGCGGAGGCTTCAGGGGTGGAGCAAATTTGGACAAGAGAAGGATGCTCCTCATCTAACACTTGATTTCATCGCTACCTGTTCTCTGCCATTTCTTCAGTCTCCCTCAACTCCAGATGACCCTGGCCTGCTTCTGCACTTCCCTGCATGTGCTTTCTTTGGACACTTCCTGCTTCCTCTCCCTCCCAGTGTGTAAAGTGCTGGATGGCAGGAACAGAGTTTTTCATCTTTTATCATCATCCACCAACACCTTCCTTCCTATGACCACACACACACACACACACACACACACACTCACATACACACAGCATCTAGCACCATGCCTCGCTCACCTAAGACAGTCAATACTTGTGTGTTGAACAAATGAAGCAAAAGGTCCTGAGTTCTTATCTCAGTTTAACAATTTCACAGGTTCTTTTGGTATCATTTCTCAGGTACTGTGCACATCCACCGCCCCGAAAGCATCCCAGACCAGGCCTTGATTGGCTGTCTGCTTCTGTCCATCCCTGAAAGATTTTGGGCCCCAGCTCCCCGCTCTATAAATAGTAGGGGTGGCCCAGCCATGGTCCTCCTACCCATGCATAAGAATCACAGAATCTCCAGTAAAGCTTGTTAAAAGTCCAGGGTTGGCTTCATTTCCCAGAGATTCTGACACAAGTGTGGCAGCAGAAATCTGGATTTTAACATGTATCCCAGGGGACTTTGAAGAAGAGGGTCATTGGGCTGCCCTTGGAGAAATCCTATGCTAGGTGACCCAGCTAGTTTCTATGAATCTAGAATGGAAAAGGATGACAGACCCTGTGTGTGGGGCTCCCAAAGGCATCCAGTTGGGGACAGACCTCTCCGAAGCACCATCACTTTTTAATTTTCAGAGCCATCCACTTGAAACCTAATGACCCAGTGTGTTTGTGGCAGTGGGACAGTCAGCGTCCTGATCCCTCCTGGAGATGTGCTGATTCCTCAGGGCCCTTTAATGGAATGGATTCCTCTTGCCTTCCCTGCTGTGCGGCAGGGGCTGATCCTGAATTAACTCAAGATCTGTTTTTTGTTTGTTTTGTTCTTCAGGTGAAGGGGTTTCTATTTCTGATGAGGGTCCTCCTGGCTAAGACATCTCTTTTGGGAAAGCAGTGTTTGCTAAGCTCTTGGAGGCTCCAGGATCCTGGAGAGGGAGCAATATCCCCACTGAGCTGGGGAGGAGGCCTTTGTAGTGTCGACTTGCTGTTTGTGTTTCAGGCTCTAAGGGAAGGGTTGCTCCTAATTAAAGGCATAAATGCTTTAATCCCTGGCCCGAGGGCTTCCCATAGCGCATTAGCCGTATTAGGAAGGAAATGGATTGTAATCCCTTTAATATAAGCCTGGAGGAACTTGAGGGCTTCTGATTGGGGAGAAGAATTTCCTCCTGTGATTTAACAATATTAACATACTGAATTTGCATAGGCAGAAATTTGGGGCCCAGCTCTCTCCAGGTTATGGTGGGAGATGTGGGAGTCACTCTCAGATGACTTTTGGGGTGTTCTTGTTCCTATTTCCATCGAATGAATGAAGGTTACAATAATTAAAGTCCTACAGCATACCAGACTAGGTGCTAAGTAATTGATACTTTTCTTCTTTAGTTTTCACATCCAACCCTGTTGTATATGTATTGGGCTATTTTCTCAGTATAGATATATAGATTTAGAGGTGAATATCCTCATTGGAGGTAGCAAGGGAGGAGGAGGAATGATGCTTGTTGAGGGCGTTTGGTGTGCCTCTGCTTTGTATAACCTGTTTATTGGATCTTGTCCACACACCTTTTTTGCATCCTTTAAAATAACATTTATTTTAACATAACTGTGCTTCTAGAAGTACACTCATATTTCTATATGAGTGTTTTTTAAATAATATAATTTGGTTTATCTTACACAATTTGAATGCAAAATTTCTATGTGATTGAAACTTTAAAAAAACAAAAGCAGGATTTGTTTTCTGGGTTATTTTTTGTCTCTTACATATGTAGGAAAGATCCTCCCTTGCCTGCTGCTGAAGGAGACAATGAGAACCATGAAAACATTTACCCATTTGAACTTCAGAAAAATCACATGTATTGCATTGTAAAAACTTAAAAATTGGTACAACATGATGTTTTGCAGTGTTTCCATGATGTTTTGCAGTGTTTCAGGCAAGCTCACTCAAGTTCAGTTAACTATGTGGTAGTCTGGGGTGGAGGAAGCCTGTGCAGGCATTGAGGATTTCAATCTCAATGAAGAGGGCACTGAGCTCCTGGGAGTGAAGTGACTTGTCCACACTGCCATAACCAGCGGGTGGCTGAGCTGAGGGCCTAGCCACTCCTGCAG
Organism: Homo sapiens; assembly: GCF_000001405.40. Lineage (NCBI taxonomy): Eukaryota > Metazoa > Chordata > Mammalia > Primates > Hominidae > Homo > Homo sapiens. The sequence continues at coordinate 88,519,169 of NC_000002.12, forward strand.
CTTGTTGCACTAACGTTGCTGCATTGGCACCAAAGCTAAGAGATTCTGCAGAAACATGCTGGGCGCAGTGTCTCACGCCTGTAACCCCAGCACTTTGGGAGGCTGAGGTGGGCAGATCATGAGGTCAGGAGTTCGAGAACAGCCTGACCAACATGGTGAAACCCCGTCTCTACTAAAAATACAAAAATTAGCCGGGCGTGGTGGCACATGCCTGTAATCCCAGCTACTCAGGAGGCTGAGGCAGGAGAATCGCTTGAACCTGGGAGGCAGAGGTTGCAGTGAGCTCAGATCGCGCCAGTGCACTCCAGCCTGGGTGACAGAGTGAGACTGTCTCAAAAAAAAAAAAAAAAAAGAAACCTGACTGCAGTGAAGGTGGCACACAAAGGGGCCAAAAAGAGGCTCGAGTACATGGACCAGCAAGGCCTGAGCACAAGTGCCAGTGACCTTATCATCCTTCTGGCCTGATTTCCCTCCTGCTGCCCTTGAACACTCCATTTGGGAGGCACAGAATGCCTTTTAGTGTCAGGGCAGGGTTGCTCTGCAGGGCTACTTGGGAGGCTGTAGTACCTAAATTAGGGATATTGTCCATCCTCCCTGTTAGCTTCAAGTACCACCTATATCATCAGCAATTCCAGAGTGTATAACATGTTCAGAACTTTCTTCTCTGAACTATAAATCCTTCTGCCCATGTGTTTACTCGCCTCTTCTTGGAAACCACACAGGCTCCACAACTAGAATAGGACCCCAACTGCACTCATAGATTTATTCCTGGTATTAGTCCATTTTCTGTTGCTTATAACAGAATACTTGAAACTGGGTGCTTAATAAAGAAAAGTAATTTATTTCTCATGGTTATAAAGGCTGTGAAGTACAAGGTCAAGGGGCCATATCTGGTGACGGCTTTCTTGCTGGTGGGGACCCTTCAGAGTCCCAGAGCAGAGCAGAGCATCACCTGGTGAGGGGCTGAGCATGCTGACGTGCTAGCTCAGGTCTCTTTTCTTCTTATAAAGACACCAGTTGCCCTCCCATGATAACCCATTAATCCATTAACCCATTAATTCATTAATTCATGAAGAGCCCTCATGACCCAGTCACCTTGTAAAGTCCCCACCTCTCAATGCTGCCACATAGATTAAATTTCAACATGAGTTTTGGAGGGGACAATATTCAAACCATAGCACTTCCCAAACCAATGCCTCCTCCTGCCTTTCCCACCTCATCAAAGGACCATCAAGCTCCAATGGCTTATTTGAGAAATCTGGGAATCTTTTTGACCCTACTCTGTCTTGCCACTGCCTCTTTCTGATAATGATTAAATCCTATGCGGTCTACTTTCCTAACGTCCCTTGAACCTACTCACTTCTCTCCATATCTACTGCCATCTCATCCAACTGTCCCAGCCATCATCATCATCATCCAGTGGCCTACAATGGATAAAGTCAAAGTTCTTCCCATACGTGCGTGATGAGGTAGTATCTCCTCTCCAGCCTCATCTGGAGCTGCCCTTGTCCCTCCTGGCTCTGCTGCAGCAGAGCAGGCTCTCTCCTACACGTGGGAAGTCTATTTCCTGCCCTAGGGCAGTGAACAGAAGTCTCCTTCCCCTTTAGAACTGAGTTAAAATGTCATTACTTGAGGCAAGTTTTCTCTGACCAGATTCCAAGACTGGATCAACCTCCGATACTCCACATTTTTTCATGGCACTTGTCAAAATTGTAATGAAAGACTCACTTGTGTGATTATTTGCATATTTATCTCCCATCGTACTGTAACTTCGTAAGGACAGAGACCATTTCTATTTTATTTCGTTACCATAATTCCAGGCCCTTGCACAATGCCTGAGATACAGCAGGAACTCAAAAAATATGGGGGCAAATATTGGTTTGAAGAACACCAAGCACTTTCACAGACATATCTGTTGACTTCCTACACTCTTTTCAGGTAGGTGTTACCTCTGTTTTACAGATGATCAAACTGCCTTTTATTAATCTTAGATGATTTACCCAAAGACATGAGGATAGCAAGTATCAGAATTTGAATTCAGGACTCCAAAAATGTACTTGGTAATATTTTTCTGAAAAATACATACTTGGGGCACAAAAATCACTTATGCCCCAGCTGTCTCCTCCACTCTTATCCCTGTGGCCACTCTGTTCTTTGCCTTAGCCTTTGCCATCTCTTTCAGTTTTATTTAATTCACAAGCACTTCTTAAATCCCCATGCTTAAGTGTTGGTGCACTGAGGAATAAAAAGTAAGATCCAGCTCTTTCCCTCAAGAATCCCACAGTTAGTTAGGAGAAATAACTATGTGAGCACTCCAACCTTGAATTTGTAGGTATTGTTTCAGCTGGCAGTTACAGAAACTCAACTGAAATTGGCTTTAGCAAGAAAAGGAATGTACTGGCTCACATAAACTGCGAAGTGTAGATGTAGATCAAGCTTGCTTCAGGCATGGTTATATCCAGGGGCTCAGTGTTAGTCAAAATGCTGTTGCTGTTTCTATCTCTGGGATAGTCTTGTCTTTGTGCTGATTTTATTATTGGCCTGGCTTTCTCTACACAGTGGCTTCAGGCAGCCTCAGGCTCACATGGTTCTTAGTGCCTGCTGTTTCAGCTCTTCCTTCCCAAGAGCTAGGGATGGCACTCATCAGTCCAGCTTGGATCATGAGCCTCCCCCTGAATCAATCACTGTGGCCTAGAGAGTGGAATGTTCTGGTGGCAACATGCCCATTTAGAGTTGGAGTAGGATCAGCACCACCCATGCCATGTGATCCCCAAAGGGGAGTGTCTTAGTTCATTTTTTGTTGCTGTAACAGAATACCACAGACTAGATAATTTGTAAAAAAAAAAAAAAAAAAAAAAAAAAAAAAAAGTTTAAGGCTGGGCCTGGTGGCTCACGCCTGTAATCCTAGCACTTTGGGAGGCCGAGGCGGGCAGATGACTTGAGTTCAGGAGTTCCAGACCAGCCTGGCCAATGTGGTGAAACCTTATCTCTACTAAAAATACAAAAAAAGTTACTTCGGCATGGTGGTGCATGCCAATACTCCTAGTTACTCAGGAGGCTGAGGTGGGAGGATTGCTTGAACCCAAGAGGTGGAGGTTGCAGTGAACTAAGATCACGTCACTGCACACTTCAGCCTGGGCAACAGAGCAAGACTCCATCTCAATAAACAACAACAACAACAAAACCCAGAAGTTTATTTGGCTCACAGTTTTGGAGGTTAGGAAGTTCAAGGGCATGACAGCAGCTTCTGGCAAGGCCTTTTCATACTGTATCATAACGTGGTACAAAAGTGGGAGGGCAAGCGAGTACACGCAAAAGTGGCGAAACATGAGGGGCGGCCTCACTTTACAACAACTGGCTCTTGGGTTAACTAATCCAGTCCTGAGAGAGTGATAACTCACTCACTATGGTGAGAATTAGCGCAGTCCCAAGAGAGTGGCATTAATCCCTCTTAACCACCTCATCAAATCTTAAAGGCCTCACCTCCCAACACTGCCATGCTGGGGACCAAATTTCTAACACATTAATTCTGTGGACACACTCAAAGAAAGGCAGGAAATAATTATCTGAGGGGAAGTTGGCATTCCATTAAAGAAGAGGAATGCCAGAGATTCCCAGCCAACTCAATCTCTTGACCTTGCCCATCATTCACTCCTTTCTAGGCACATGGCTGGTGATTCTTGTTCTCAGTGGTTCCTGCCTTTAGGCTTTGCACTAGCTGATTGCTGTGTCTAGAACCCCTTATTCTCAGATCTTTGCATGGCTGGTTCTTTCCCATGCTTCAGATCTCTACTATAACATCACCCTCTCAGAGAGACCTCCTTGGACCTCCCATCTGAAGTGCCCACTAGTCATCCTCTTGTGCATCGCCTGGCTTATTTGCTCTATCTAAGGGAGGGTGACCTGCTTATTATTGTGTTTGCTCTGTGTTTTCATCTCACCAGAATGTAAGCAGAGATTTCCATCTATTTTTGTTCTTGAATCTATAAAGTTCAGAACAATGCCCAAACACAAAAGAAGTGCTCAGTAAATATTGGTTGGATAAATGAGTCTATGGTGGCACCTAGTGAGATAAAGGAAAGCTTTATAGAGGAGGTGTCCCTTAAAGAAGGTGGATTATTAAAATTATATATATAATATATGTAACATATATGTTTAATATTATATATAAAATTAAATATACATATTTGTATATAATTACATAAAATATATAAAATACAAATATATATACAATTTCATATATATAACAAAGTTTATCATTTTAGTCACTTTTAAGTGAATAATTCAGTGGCATTAAGTACATTCACAATGGGCAACCATCACCACCATCCATTCCCAGAACTTTTTTTAATATTCTGAAACAGAAACTTCATATCCATTAAACAGTAACTCCCCATTCCTCTCCTCAGTCTCTGGCAACTATCATTCTACTTTCTGTCTCTATGAATTGTACTTCTCTAGGTACCTCGCAGAAGTGGAATCATGCAGCATTTTTCTTTTTGTGACCGGCTTATTTTGCTTTATTTTGCTTAGCATAATGTCCTCAAGGTTTATCCATGCTGTAGCACGTGTCAGAATTGCCTTCCCTTTTTTTTTTTTTTTTTAATTTTGTTTTGAGACAGAGTGTCGCTCTGTTACACAGGCTGGAGTGCAGTGGTGTGATCTCGGCTCACTGCAACCTCTGCCTCCCGAGTTGAAGCAATTCTTCTGCCTCAGCCTCCCGAGTAGCTGGGACTACAGGCGTGCACCACCACACCCGGCTAATTTTTGTATTTTTAGTAGAGACGGGGTTTCACCATGTTAGTCAGGCTGGTCTGGAACTTCTGACCTCAGGCAAACTGCCTGCCTCGGCCTCCCAAGTTGCTGGGATTACCAGCGTGAGCCACCGTGCCTGGCCTCCCTTTTAAGGCTGAATAATATTCCATTGTACGTAGATACCAAATCCATTCATCTCTGAAGGACATGTAAGTTGTTTCTACCTTTTGACTATTGTGAACCATGCTGTTGTGAACGTTGGTGTACAGGTATCCATTTGAGCCCTTGCTTTCAATTCTTTTTTATTTATAACTAGAAGTGGAATTTCTCCACATCCTCATCAACGCTTGTTTCTGTATTTTTTTTTTATTGTAGCCACACACTATGAATGTCAAAAAGTGACATTTTGACAATTTTGAGCCAGGCTTTCAGGCAGCAGAGGCCTGGGTGGCAGTCTGTGGTGTGAAGTGGATTTAGTCACACACAGTCTGATGTTGTAAACCACATGGGCTCTATTTACCTTCCTCTCCTAGGACTAGGAAGATTCTGTAGAGTATCGGAAAGCATTGGTTCATGTGCTGCCAGGATTCATGTTGGCTCTGGTGAGCCAGGGACAGGGAACTGACCTGCAGGCAGCCCAAGCAGCCACCTACTCACCTCACAATGACAGGGACCCTCATCATACAGGTCAGGGCTCAACTCAAAGACAGGCGTGGCAGTGGGACACAGCAACAGGACTCTCCATGTGGCAAGGGCACCTGGAGGTGGGAGGGCAGGAGCGTCGTCTTGCCCTGGCAGAAGAAGCGGTAGGCTCTGTCTGCGTGGCAGCTGGTCCCCAGCCCTAGGAGAGAAGCTGTCTGTGAGCAAAAGGGAGGGGATACAGGTGTTGGTTGAGGTCTGGGCACCACCCTGCTGGGCCACAGTCTGCTGAAGAGAGTGGGGCTTAGGGGAGGGTTCCCTGGGAATGCAGTGGAGTACCCCTTAAGGATCTAGGGGCCACGCACACAAGGAGTCTGTGCAGCGAGGCCCTCGCTAGGACTTCAGGGCTGGAAGGGAGGGGTCAGTGTTAGGCCTACAAACTACTGTTGTTCAACTGGGAATGCAGAGTCTTGCAACTTTCTTCACCTTGGATACTCCCCTGTGAATCAAGGTGGCTCTGAGTCCTAGGCCTGGGCCTTCCTCTATCCAGGGGAAGTGCTGAGGCCTGGTTCAGAGGAACATGTGAGCTGGAGCCAGTTCATACTGGCTCACAAGAGCCCATCCTGTGCATATCTGTGCAACTCAGTGCCAATGACATTATGTTGATAGCCTGAAATGAGCCATGATAGGAGCATTTACACCACAGAAATTGGCAGATGCTATAAACCCAGGGCCTATTTTCCCTGAAAACATGGTTGTTAAACATTTACCAGCACTTCACTTGCCCTAGGATCAGCTATACCTCTCAAACAGTAAACCTGATCAGTAAATGTGATCTTCTAAACAGCCCTCATTCCTCCTGAGTCCTGCTCCAGCCCCTTTGTCCCAGGGACCCTGGTATCACCACCAACCCCTTGATGATGGAGTGACATGCAGGGTAGGAGCCCAGGGAAGATGGGGAGGAGTGGGCTAAGAAAGCTGGGGCAGCCATGCTTGGTTGGCACAGCTTGAAGATAGTGGCTACTTTCCTTGTCTGTGGCAGAGCAGGGCTAAACAACTTGTCTGTGTCTAGGTCGTTTGCCATGGCAGGTGTGAAATACCCGGGACAGGTGAGTGATGTGGGTTTCTGTCCCCTGTGACGGTCTCAGGGTTGGGTAGCCTCAGCAAGGCCCTGGAAGGGCCAGGCTCTTTCTAGAAGCTCATCTTTCTGTAATGATAGTTTTGGGTTTTGTGGGTTTTTTTTTTTTTTGGTACAAGAAGAAGAAGAGAACTGAGTTTTCTTCTTTATAATTTTCTGGGGGTTCAGTTATTTACTCAGCATGCACTTATTAGGCACCCACAGTGTGCCAGGCCCTGTCCTGGGCTTTGGGACTGCAGAGATGTCTAAGTACACTAAACCTGCTCTAGTGTACTTCATTAAATCCATCACAGTACACCCTGCAAGTGCTGTTGTGGAGGGTTGTAAGGAACAAGGAAAGGGTTTAACTCTTGGGAGGTGGAGAATAAAAGGGTGGGAGAGATGTTTTGGGGAAGTGACATTTAGTCTGGGTCTTGGAGGATAGGTAGGAGTTTGCTAGTCTGTGAGGAGGGCAACTTGCATTTCCATCAGGAGATAGGAAAGAGCACATGCCAGGCCCATGCAAGTGGGAGGAAGTAAGGCTGGAGTAGAGAAGGCAGGAAGGTGGCGGGATGGTAAAAATGGGTCACAGCCAGATCATTTGGGCTCTGAATGTCAGGCCCCAAAGTCGGCCTTTGTCCTACAAACAGCAAGAAGCCATTGAATGGCTTTAAGTGGAGGAGTGACGAGGGAATCTCTTGTTTTATATTCTCCTTGTGCTTTAGGACCCTGTGGATTTAGACATATACCAAAGCTCCCACATGGTCGACTATCAGCCCTACAGGAAGCACAAATACTCCAGGGTCACGCCGCAAGAGGTAGGAAGGCACGCAAGTCCTGTCATTCAATCAACTGCCTACTGAAATCCTCTCTGTTGCTTCATTTGTATTACAAATGTGGACATTTGGGCCCTTGTTAGAACAATATCCAATGCCAGGAGATATGACTTAGAGATCTTTTCTGTGCATGTGCATGTATGTGTGTGTATTTTTTTTTTCTTTTTGAGAAGGAGTCTTACTCTGTCACCCAGGCTGGAGTGCAGTGGCGCGATCTCGGCTCACTACAACCTCTGCCGCCTGCCTGGATTCAAGCGATTCTCCTGCCTCAACTTCCTGAGTAGCTGGGATTACAGGTGCCTGCCACTGCGTCAGCTAATTTTTGTATTTTTAGTAGAGATGGGATTTCACCATCCTGGCCAGGCTGATCTTGAACTCCTGACCTCGTGATCCACCTGCCTCGGCCTCCCAAAGTGCTAGAATTACAGGCGTGAGCCACCGTGGCCGGCCATGTGTGTATGTTTTCAAATGTACATCAAATACGTCATGCATACAAAAAATTGTAAATAATACACATTTAGAGTTAAAATTACACTGATAAACACCGATGTAACCATTACAGACCGCTTAAAACATGGCACATTAACATTAGCAGTACCTTGTAGCCTCTTGGTAACCCGCAAACTTACCCCTCCTCCCATCTCCAGAAGTGGTTAATCATTCCCTTGTAGGCCAGGCACAGTGGCTCACACCTGGAATCCCAGCATTTTGGGAGGCAGAGGCGGCCAGGAGTTGAGACCAGGGGTTTGAGACCAGGAGTTTGAGGCCAGCAGTTCGAGACCAGCCTGGCTGACATGGCGAAATCCCGTCTCTATAAAAAATACAAAAATTAGCCTGGCTTGTTGGTGCACGCTTGTATTTTCAGCTGCGTGGAAGGCTGAGACATGAGAATTGCTTGAACCTGGGAGGTGGGGCGAGACTCTATCCCCCCCAAAAAAATCATTCCCTTATGTGTTTTTCTAAAAACTCATTTTACCTTATATGTATATATTCTTTGGTTTTGCCTTTTTGAACTTTATTACATATTGGATTTGTACCCTTCCACAATTGTCACTTTTTGCTAAACATTATGGCATATTATTCATTTTCTGCTGCATAGTATTACATTGCATGAATATGCCACAGTGTACCGTATTTGTCGTTTCTGTATCTGTCTCTTCTTATTGGTGGACATTTGGGTGCTTTATTCCTACTCTTCCCACTCCCAAATGCTGCATTGAAGATGAGATAAGTCACATCCTAATGTTCAAGAGTTTATCCATTCCAGGAGTGGAATTGTTTGTCATGGAGTATTAGGTAAAATCACTGTTTTCCAAAGCAGTTGCACCAATTTACATTATGGCCAGCAGGAGACAGTTACTTCTGCTGCTCTGCAATCTTGCCATTGCTTGGTATTGGCAGACATTTTAATTTTTGCCAGTTTGGTGGGTGCAAAATCATATTTTCCTGTGGTCATAATTTTCATTTCACTAACAATGAGGTTGGACACATTTTCATTTGTCGATGGAGATTTGCTATTTTATAAAATGTCTGTTTATGTCTTTTGCTCATTTTTCTACTGGGTTTCTTGTCTTTTTCTTATTAATTTGTAGACGTTCTAAAAAATATTCTAAGCATTTTCCCTTTTTTTTTTTTTTTTTGAGAAGGAGTCTGGCTCTGTTGCCCAGGCTGCAGTGCAGTGGTTTGATCTTGGCTCACTGCAACCTCCGCCTCCTGGGTTCAAGCGATTCTCCTGCCTCAGCCTCCCGAGTAGCTGGGATTACAGGCATGCACCACGACACCCAGCTAATTTTTGTATTTTTAGTAGAGATGAGGTTTTACCATGTTGGCCAGGCTGGTCTTGGACTCCTGTCCTCAAGTGATCCACTCACCTCAGCCTCCCAAAGTGCTGGGATTACAGGCGTAAGCCACCACACCTGGCCCTAAGCATTTTTCATTTGTCAGTTATATATGTGGATAAACTCTTCTCCAGTTTGTGGTTTGTCTTTGCACTAAATATTTCAGGGAATGTGAATTCTAATTGTTAATATAGTTAGATTTATCAGTTTTTTCCTTTATCATTTTCTCTTTTCAAGATTGCTTAAAAATCTTCTCCCGTCCTGAGGTTTCCCCACTAAAAAAAGATCTAAACAAACAAAGATGGATCAGTTTCTGAGATGTTATTTAATGGAAGCAAAGTGTGGGATGGAATATAATATTCATCATTTCTGTACAAACCAAGGGAAGAAGATATACACATACATGTTTATATGCACATCAAATATTTCTAGAGAGATACAAAAAGCACTGATAGCAGTGGTTGTCTCTGGAGATGGGAACCAAGGGAGGAGGAGAGTGGGAAAGAGACTTACGTTTCACTATAAACCCTTTTGTGTAATTTCAGCATTCCCTCTGTTGTATATGTTACCATTCAAGGACTAATTTAAAGTTTTGAAAAAATAAAGAAGGGTGTGCTCTGTCTTGGATGCTTCCAAGAAAAGCTACATCATCTCTTGTCTCTCTCACCCCTCCATTCATGTGTGATTTGTTTCCACAGCAGGCAAAGCTCGATGCTCAACTCCGGGACAAAGAGTTTTACAGGCCCATCCCTAACCCCAACCCCAAGCTAACAGATGGGTACCCTGCTTTCAAAAGACCCCACATGACTGCCAAAGACCTGGGACTCCCCGGCTTCTTCCCATCACAGGAACATGAGGCCACGAGGGAGGACGAGCGCAAGTTCACCAGCACCTGCCATTTCACATATCCAGCTTCCCACGATCTGCACCTGGCCCAGGGTGACCCCAACCAGGTCCTCCAGAGTGCTGACTTTCCGTGCCTCGTGGATCCCAAACACCAGCCTGCTGCAGAGATGGCCAAAGGCTACCTGCTACTGCCAGGGTGTCCCTGTCTTCATTGCCATATAGTCAAGGTCCCCATCTTGAACCGGTGGGGACCCTTGATGCCATTTTACCAGTAGGAAGGATGAAAATACCTTCCAAAGGCTCTTCCAAGGGCATGTGGAAATCCTATGACCTTGGAGTGCAGAGAGGAGAACTGAAAATAAAACTGGAAAGATGTTCCAACTGCACTGGGACCCTGGGATCATGTTCATTCTACCTCCCTCCCCGGGCTGCCCTGGGCTACAGCATGCCCATTGCAGAGGGAGGAAGAGAGAGAGGGAGGGGAAATTAGTGTGTATTTAGAACTGAAATTTGTGTCATGTTTCATTATAATTAAGAAACCTGGCCAGGTGCGGTGGCTTATGCGTATTATCCCAGCACTTTGGGAAGCCAAGGCAGGTGGATCACCTGAGGTCAGGAGTTCAAGACCAGTCTGGCCAACATGGTGAAACCCCGTCTCTACTAAAAATACAAAAATTAGCCAGGCATGGTGGCTTACACCCAGTAGTCCCAGCTACTGGGGAGGCTAAGGCACGAGAATCGCTCGAACCCAGAAGGCAGAGGTTGCAGTGAGCTGAGATCGCGCCACTGCACTCCAGCCTGGGCAACAGTGAGAGACTCGGTCTTGGGGGAAAACGAAAGTCCTGTTGTAAAGATTTTTACTGTTTTAAGCATTTATTTAAAAAGTGGGGAAAAGTGTGTTTCCCGCAGTCATCTAGCTATTGGGTGTGATCGCAAAACCTGAGGTGCTGTTGGATAACTTTTCCCCTCGATATTCTTATTTCAGTTCATCCACCACTCCTACCTTGTAGCAATCAACAGCAACAGTTTAAAGGGCATTGTTTCATACTTTTCTTCTTGCTCAGTGGAATGCATGTAAACATACATACGTGTGAGTCAGTGAGTCTGCTATAACAGAGAACCAAAACACAGTAGCTTGACCAACATGCTAGTTTATTTCTCTATTGTCTAATAGTTCAGAGGTAGACAGTTAGGAGGGTAGAACATGTTTGTTGTGGCTTCTATCTCTGGGTCCAAGGTGGATGCTATGGGCTGAATTATGTATCCCACAAATGCATATGTTGAAACTCTAACCCCCGATATGATTGTATTTGGAGATAAAGCTTTTAGGAGGTAATTAAGGTTAATTGAGGTCATAAGAGTAGAGCCTTATTCCACACCTCTTCTAATAGGCATCCTTATTAGAAGAGGAAGAGAAAGAGATTTCTCCATCCATGTGCATGCACTGAGGAATGGTCATGGGAGGACACTCTGAAGGCAGCTGTGTCCAAGCCAGGAAGAGAGCCCCCACCAGAGACCAAACCCTGCTGGACCTTGAACTTGGACTTTCCAGCCTCCAGAACTGTGAGAAAATAAATTTCTGTTGTTTTAGTTGCCCAGTCTGTGGTATTTTGTTATGGCAGCCCAAGCTGAGTGATACAGTGGCTGATTCAGTTGTTGACATTTTTCAGTTAGAAAGAAGAATAACCTGGGGATACAGGTACTTTTCTTTTACGAGCAAAATGCAGAAATTATATTCTTCACTTACTGTCTTGTCCCCTTGGTCAGAGCTTAGTTATACCGCCATACCAAACCTTGAGGAAGGCCGGGAAGTATAATGTTTATTCTGGATGGCCATGTACCCAGCTAAAAATGAGGGGTTTATTAGTTTAGGAGAGGATAGATTTTGGTTGTGACTATCCAGCTTTGCCCAATACATGAGAAATCTTTTGCTTTGGGATCATACTGTACACCAGTGTTTCCCCTAGGGAATCTTATTAAAATGCAAGTTTTGGTTCTGTAGTTCTGGGGTGTACATTCTGCATTTCCAACAAGCTCCCACTATTTTATTTCCTACTTCTATAACATCAACTTTTTAAAAGACTCCACAGATGAGTGAGAACATGCTTGATGCCAATGCTGCAGGACTATAGGGCACACTGGAGTAGCCAGGCTGGACACAATACTCTGCAGGCTGATTTTCCCCCGACTTATGGATTTAATTATTTTTAATGACTACCTAATATTCCATTGAATTGATGGATATTGATGTATTACAATTTTATTACTAGTGGATAGCCATGCTTTTCCATTTTTTCCTGTACGCATAGTGCTGCGATAACTATTCATGAACATATATCCTTACCTATTGATGTTTTTATTTCTGTAAGACAGAATCTTACAAGTAGAATTGCTGGTAAAACGGTATGGATGTTTAGTGTTAATAGAGACTAAGAGAATTTGTTCAGAAGAGTCGAGTCAAAAGTCCCCATCCCACCGCAGTGTGTGATAGTGTCTCTTTTCCTGTCTCCTCACCAGCACATGGATATTATCAATCTTTAATTTTTGCCAATTTGATGGGTGAAAAATGGTATCTTATCTTTTTTTTTTTTTTTTGAGATGGAGTCTCACTCTGTCATCAAGCTGGAGTGCAGTGGCATGATCTCGGTTTACTGCACCCTCTGCCTCCTGGGTTCAAGTGATTGTCCTGCCTCAGCCTCCTGAGTAGCTGGGACTACAGGTGCGTGCCACCATACCCAGCTAATTTTTGTATTTTTGTTGAGACAGGGTTTCACCATGTTGGCCAGGATGGTCTCAACCTCTTGACCTCGTGATCCACCCGCCTCAGCCTCCCAAAGTGCTGGGATTACAGGCATGAGCCACGGTGCCCAGCCCTTATCATGGTTTTAATTTGCAATTACCTGTCTACTAGCCAGGCGTGAAATTTTTTCTATATTATTCGTCCTTGGGTTTCCTAGTCCCATGTTTTTCTCTCGAGTTTTATTTCTTCTCATCAATTTTTTTTTTTTTTTTTGAGATGGAGTTTCACTCTTGTTGCCCAGGCTGGAGTGCAATGGCGCAATTTTGGCTTACCGCAACTTCTGCCTCCCAGGTTCAAGCGATTCTCCTGCCTCACTCTCTCTAGTAGCTGGAATTACAGGCATGCACCACCATGCCTGGCTAATTTTGTATTTTTAATAGAGACAGGGTTTCTCCATGTTGGTCAGGCTGGTCTCGAACTCCTGACCTCAGGTGATCCACCCTCCTCGGCCTGCCAAAGTGCTGGGATTACAAGCGTGAGCCACCGTGCCTGGCTCTTCTCATCAATTTATGGGAGCTCTTTGTACATTGACATGTTAGCCCTTTTATCTAGTAAATGTTCCAAATATGTTCCTCTTTAGTTGTAATTATGAAATTTTAGATATGTAATGTGATAATATTTTTTCTAATATAAAATTAATAATGCCTTCAGTAGAAAATACTGCAAAGTGAAGAAAAGTTTGAAAGAAGAAAAGGAGACCACCTATAAAATCCCACTACTCAGTGATAACTACTGTTAATATTTTGATGCCAGGGTGGCAGGATAAAGGTGACGATCTTGATTTTTTGTTTTGTTTTGTTTTGTTTTTTTGAGACAGGATTTCACTCTTATTGTCCAGGCTGGAGTGTGATGGCGCCATCTCAGCTCACTGCAACCTCCACCTCCCGGGTTCAAGTGATTCTCCTGCCTCAGTCTCCGAAGTAGCTGGGATTACAGGTGCATGCCACCAAGCCCAGCTAATTTTTGTATTTTTAATAGAGATGGGGTTTTGCCATGTTAGCCAGGCTGGTCTCAAACTCCTGACCTCAGGTGATCCACCTGCCTTGGCCTCCCAAAATGTTGGGATTACGGGTGTGAGCCAGCACACCCGGCCAAAATCTTGATTTTGGAGTCAGGCAAAACTGAGGCTTCACCCATGCCTTAATTTACTATTTACTAGCTGAGAGATGTTCTAGAAAATCTCTCTGAACCTCAATTCTCTCATCTGTAAGAGGCATTAATAATGCTCCTATCTTATGAGTGAACACTGAACAGTGCCTGAGATAGTGAGACCTTTTATACACACATTTACAAAGTTCACACTGAATTCTGTAATTATTTTTGTTTTTCTGTTTTTAGGCAATAATACATTTTATTAAGGTATTTTTTCATGCCTACTTTCTATTTCTTGTATCATCCCCCTGGTTGATTTCTTTCTTTTTAAAAAATTATTATTTAAAAAATTACCACATAATAATTGTACATATTTGTAGAGTACATGGTGATGTTTTGATACGTGCAATGTGTAGTGGTCTAATCAGGGTGTGATGACAGTAATACTGAGTGTCAACTTGATTGGATTGAAGGATGCAAAGTATTGATCCTGGGTGTGTCTGTGAGGGTGTTGCCAAAAGGAGACTAACATTTGAATCAGTGGGCTGGAAAAGGCAGACCCACCCTTAATCTGGGTGGACACCATCTAATCAGCTGCCAGCTTGGCTAGAATATAAAGCAGGTAGAAAAATGTGGAAAGACTAGACTGGCCTAGCTTCCCAGCCTACATCCTTCTCCCGTGCTGGATGCTTCCTGCCCTCGAACATGGACTCCAAGTTCTTCAGTTTTGGGACTTGGACTGGCTTCCTCGCTCCTCAGGTGGCCTGTTGTGGGACCTTGTGATTGTGTGAGTTAATAATAAGCTCCCATATATATATATTATATTATATATATATATATGGATATCCTATATACAATAGGATATCCTATTGTATATATATCCTATCAGTTCTGTCCCTCTAGATAACCCTGACTAATATACAGAGTAACCAGTATATTCATCACCTCAAACATTTATCATTTCTTTATCTTGGGAACATTCAAAATCCTCTCTTCTAGCTATTTGAAAGTATATGATAAATTGTTGTTGGCTCTAGTCACTCTATTGTGCTGTAGAACAGTAAAACTTTTTTCTAGCTATAATTTTGTATCCTTTAACCAGCCTCTCCCTATTTTGCTTCCCCTCCTACCCTTCCCAGCCTCTAATAACCACTATTCTACTTCCTATTTCTGTGAGATTAACTTTTTTTTTTTTTTTTTTTTTTGAGACAGAGTCTCGCTCTGTCGCCCAGGCTGGAGTGCAGTGGCGGGATCTCGGCTCACTGCAAGCTCCGCCTCCCGGGTTCACGCCATTCTCCTGCCTCAGTCTCCCAAGTAGCTGGGACTACAGGCGCCCGCCACTACGCCCGGCTAATTTTTTGTATTTTTAGTAGAGACGGGGTTTCACCGTTTTAGCCGGGATGGTCTCGATCTGACCTCGTGATCCGCCCGCCTCGGCCTCCCAAAGTGCTGGGATTACAGGCGTGAGCCACCGCGCCCGGCCGAGATTAACTTTTTAAAAGACTTCTTATATGGCCAGGTGCAGTGGCTCACGCCTGTAATCCCAGCACTTTGGGAGGCCAAGGCGGGTAGATCACCTGAGGTTGGGAGCTCAAGACCAGCCTGACCAACATGGAGAAACCCGTCTCTACTAAAAATACAAAAAAATTGGCCAGGCATGGTGGCACATGCCTGTAATCCCAGCTACTCAGGAGGCTGAGGCAGGAGAATCGCTTGAACCCGGGAGACAGAGGTTGCGGTGAGCCGAGATTGCGCCATTGCACTTCAGCCTGGGCGACAGAGCAAGACTCCATCTCAAAAAAAAAAATAAAAAGACTTCATATATGAGTGAGAACATGTAATTTTTGTCTTTCTGTGCCTGGCTTCTTTTGCTTACCATAATGTCCTCCAGGTTCATCCATGTCAGGATTTTATTCCTTTTTGTGGCTGAAGAGTTTTCCATTCGAATATGTACCACATTTCTTTAACCATTTGTCTGTTGATGGACGCTTAAGTTGATTGATATTTTGGCTGTTGTGAATGGTGCTGCAATAAGTATGGGACTGCAGATGCCTCTCTAATATACTGGTTTCCTTTCCTTTGAAGAAATACCCAGTGGTAGGATTGCTGGATCATATTGAATACTGTAATTTTAAATCCTGCTTGATTTTAATTGCATTAACTATCAACATTCCCACTCAACCTTAAAACTTTGCATCATTGCGTGAATTTTAAAACTATAAACATCACTGCATGAACATAACATAATTTATTATTGTTAGCTATTCAAGATTTTTTCCATTATGCATTTTCTGTTACAAATAACAGGATGTTTTTTAAAATATAAACCTTTTTTCTGTAATTAGGTTGAAAAGGAGTAGCAGGCCAGGTGCAGTGGCTCGTGCCTGTAATCCCAGCACTTTGGGAGGCACAGGCGGGTGGATCATCTGAGGTCAGGAGTTCAAGACCAGGCTGGCCAACATGGCGAAACCCTGTCTTACTAAAAATACAAAAATTAGCCAGGCCTGATGGTGGGCGCCTGTAATCCTGCCTACTCGGGGGCTGAGGCAGGGAAAATCGCTTGAACTCAGGAGGTGGAGGTTGCAGTGAGCCGAGATCGCACCATTGCATTCCAGCCTGGGCGACAGAGAGAGACTCCGTCTCAAAAAAAAAAAAAAAAAACAAAAGAAAAGTAAAAAAAGAAAAGGAGAAGCAAAGTTACTGGGTCGAAATGCATGAACACATTCTTGAAGCATATTACCAATTACTACTTTCTAATCAGATGTATTTTTAATATTAAGAAATGGTTACTAATTTTGTTAGGTGTGATGAGGGAATTTTGGTTATGTTTAAGCATTTATTTATTAGAGATCATTTTCTCTTGAAATATTAACTGAAGAATTGATGTCTGAAATTTATTTTAAAAAAGCTCTAGCAAAAAGCGTTGATGGGGGTAGGAAATAGGTCAAACAATATCAGTGACAAAATAAAAATTGTTGGGTGACAGGTGCTTGCAAGTTCATGATCCTACTCTCTGCTTTTGGGTATTTTTGAAATTATCCACAATAAAACATTAAAATGGAAGGAAGGAAGGAAGGAAGGCAGGCGGAGGGGAAGGGAAGGGAGGAAAAGGAAGGAGGGAAGAAGGGAGGCAGAAAAGAAAAGGAAAGAAAAAATGAAAGATGTATCTCTTTAGAATACTACTAGCCATTTATGAGAGTAGTTAATTCACAGTGTCCTTATCCCTGTTATTATCAAGAAAGAAAGAATGAAAGAGAAAGAAAAGAAAGGAAGAAGACTGCCTATTAGTTTGATAAGAGTACAGTCTCTTTGATCCCTGGTGAGGTGGAATAACTTTTCAAAGACCCTTTATCTCTTCATCACTTGTAAAATGCTTCCTGGTCAGTACATTCCTTTCTTCCTATCTTGTTACAATCTTTAGTGAATCTGTTTTATCCATAACATGCCTTCTAAGATGTCTATAAAAGAAAGTATCTACAAAAGAAAGCTTACTACATCTCAATGCTTTTTAATAAATAATTTTTTTTTCAGTGACAGGTCATGTGGATCAGCTGATGGTTTTAACACATGGAATTTCTACAAAATGCTTTAGCTGAGGTGAAAACATTAGTAACAATACATATTTGCTGCACACACCACACATATTTCGTCTTCATATTCAGATGAAGAAACAGAGGTTGAGGGAGGTTAAGTACCTGGCTCAAGTCCACATGTAACAAAGCCAGAATTTAAATCCCAGATTTGATTCCAACCCTAAAGTTTTAGTCATTTTTGAAAACTTGCATGTCACTTTATTCTAAATAAAAGTTTTATTCTAAAACTTTATTTTTTTATTTTTATTTATTTATTTTTTGAAACAGAGTTTTCCTCTGTCACCCAGGCTGGAATGCAATGGCACGATCTCGGCTCACTGCAACCTCTGCCTTCCATGCTCAAGCGATTCTCTTGCCTCAGCCTCCCAAGTAGCTGGGATTACAGGTGCATGCTAATTTTTTGTATTTTTAGTAGAGACAGGGTTTCGCCATGTTGGCCAGGCTGGTCTTGAACTCCTGACCTCAGATGATCCACCCACCTCGGCCTCCCAAAGTGATGGGATTACAGGCGTGAGACATTGTGCCCGGCCTATTCTAAAACTTTAATAAAAACGGTTGTCTTGCTCCCTAATGTCCAAGTTTCATTGATTAATAGCCATCAGTGTGAACAACTACCTGGACCAAGAAGATCAGCTGGATTCGGAGATATCCTTCGCTAGTTCTTAATCTGAGATGTTCAGAAACCTTGGAAATGTCTGTTTCTGGAGAGACCATCACTGTCTCTCCCCTAGGTGGACAGAGCAAGAAGGTGAGCCATGACCTGGATCTGCTGGAGCAGGAGAGGACAGCGGTAGGGGAGCCCAGGAAGGGATCAGGCACAGGAGAGAAGGATGAGTTGAGACCCCAACACGCTGCTTTTGAGGCGCTTGCTGCACCTTCCCACAGGAGGCTGAGGAAACAGCTCTGAGAAATAGCTACTAAAATCCTAAGATTTTGCCTCAGAAATCTCCTTCGAATTTGACCCTCCATTCAGACCCCACTGCAGCAGGCCTCCTCTATGGCACCCGGGAACGGCCCTTGCAGTCCTCCCCATTTTAACTCTAGAGGAATCATAAAACACAGGTCTGATTACATATTCATGATCTCCCTGTATAACCACCACGTGGGGGGTCCCACAGCGTAAGGCCCTTCCTAGGAGGCAGCAACCCCTCCCTCCAACCCCATCTCAACCTGCCCTACACGCATATTCACCCCTCTCCCACCTCCTGCCTTCCACTTGCTGTTACTTTTTGTAAACAACTTTTTCTCCTGGTTTCCCCCAGTTTCCCCCAGCTGACAGCTTACACAGCCTCCTCTGAAGAATCCTGCCTTGACAACCCCCTGTCCCTAACAGTTTGCTCGCTCTCTGTGTTCTTAAGTCCCTTTGTTCCTACATCTTTCAGCGGGGGGCTGTGAGGAGTCCAAGAGTGAACACCCAGTGCCTGCCCTGGCAAACAGTGACTGCTCAATCATTGTGAGCTATATTTTATTTTATTAAAAAAATTTTTTTTTGAGACAGAGTCTTGCTCCATCACCAGGCGTGATCTCAGCTCACTGCAACCTCCACCTCCCAGGTCCAAGCGATTCTCATGCCTCAGCCTCCAGAGTAGCTAGGATTACAGGTGTTAGCACAACTAAGTTCCTCTTCAAAACTTACCTCCCTGTTTATAAGTTGTAAGGTTATAAGCTAGCCCTTCTCCCTGCTTTCCCCTTTCTCCACTTTGGCCTTCAAAGTCCTCGTCTCGCTACCTTATTTAGAAAGAGGTTCAAACTTCCTTCTGTTCTGTAACCAACCCCCTTGCTGTACCCATACATATCCAGGCATGCCTAGGCATGCCTTCCCTCCTGCCTAGTTAGTAACAGACGGTCTCTCCTCCCCACTCCTCTTTTAGCAAATTGCGCGTTTACTCTATTTGGAGAATTTTAAGTCTTAGCCAATCAGGTCAGCTTAGATTGTGAGGTCCAACTCCAGCCAATGGGGAAAGGACACAGAAACAACAACTGCGTTAGGGATAAAAACCCCTTCTCTCCTTTGTTGGGGTACTCTTGTGATCATGGCTGATGCAGGCAGCACCCTTCTGTAGAAGTAGTTGCCTTACTGAGAAAACTTTTTGCCTGAGTGCTGGTTCTTCTTTTCGGCACCGAGCACTTGTTTCTAACAGAGACATGTGCCACCACGCCCGGTTAATTTTTCTATTTTTAGTAGAGACGGGATTCTGCCCTGTTGGCCAGGCTGGTCTGAAACTCCTGACCTCAAGTGATTTGCCCACCTCGGCCTCCCAAAGTGCTGGATTACAGGGTTAGCCACAACGCCCAGCCATATTTAATTTTAATATGTATTATCTTTAGAATAATTTCTTTTTTGAAAATCTTTTGGAGTGTTTTACTTTCTTTCTTGCCCTTGAAACCTGGCATATAGCAGGTGCTCAACAAATATTGAAGGAAGGAATGAGGGTGAGAGAGAGCAGCGGTTTTCCAAGGGCCCGCACAGGAAAGAGACAGAAGGGCTCCAGTTGTCTTCTGTAACTGCCCCCAGCAGCTTCAGGCTCCAGGCAGGGAGCAAGGAAGCTATCAGTACCTGGCAATATCAGGTAAAGTGACCCAGACAGACATTCCTGAGGATGGCTCACAACTTTGCCCACTGAATTCTACTCTCTCCAACTGAAGTTGCCTTTGGGGAAAAGCAGGACAATAGGAATTCCAAATTGGGTTTGGGTGGTGTCTCGATCATCCCCTGTGTCTTCCTAGTCCCAGCTCTGCCCTGGTCCAATAGCTGTGTTTAGTGAATAGATCCAGGGGGAGCCTGCTTTGGTCAACAGACATCTTAATAGTCTCAGAATAAAACTCTTCACTCTTCACCTAGTTTATTGCTGGGCAGAGCATGGCCGGATTCCAGCAGCCATCCCCATCTGCCTTCATTCCTCTTGTATTTTTTAGGGTCCCCTGAAGTTCCTCAATATTAGGCTGAGAGCAGAGAATCGGGAGCAGGTATCCTGGAACTAGACTCACAGTGTCATGCAATGTGCCAACCCCCATATTGGGCTGAGCACATACCTTATCTTACTCAATACCTGCCTTCACCATTGAGTGAATACAGCCATCGGGCCTATGTTGTAGCAGAGAAAACCAAGGCCTCAGGTGACTTGGCCAAATGTCACACGGGTGGTAGCTGAGCTGCGATTGGCTGAGCTGGGTTTGGCTTTCTCCTCCCATAAAAATCTCATTTTGACCTTTCGTTTTCTCATGTGTAGAAGGGAGGATAATTATACCCATCTTACAAGATACAAAAAAGAAAGTACATGAATGCACTTAACATTTTTAAAGGGTTAATAGAGTGTTTCTTTCAATTATCAATATAAAAGAGAATTAATTAACACTTATTTTCCCACCCTTACTTGTAGATTCTGTGCTGCGCCCCACCACCATGATGTCAACTCTATGGATGCTTTTGTCTTTTTTTGGCCTTGGGAGGGACCCCGTGGCAGAGGCTGCAGAGACCAGACTGGGGGCTTGAAGGTAATGCTAACAGCTTTTTTATGTTATATATATATTTCAGAGCTTACAAAACATGGCCACAGAGGGTATCATCTTCCAACTTCATTTCTTCTCTGTGACACAGGAATTCTTACACTCATTTCACAGAAAGCACCAGCAACCAAGGGGTGAGGGTTTAGGCCCCAGGCTTCCATGGCAGTGTGCCCTCTTCCAGATCAAGTGGTCACTCACAGTTGATCTTTGACTCTGAGAGTTCCTAGCAGGGGATGGCAGTGGAGTGCCTGGGTCAAATGCTGATTCCTCAGTTCTGCCAGGTCTGGATGGAGAGTCATTAGAACTGGTGTGAACTCCAGTAATCTATTGTTTTATATGGTTCACTGGCGGCTGAGTCACTGGTGCCATGTGAATCACACATTGAGAAATAGCAGAAGAGAATGCACAGCCCCTGGAAGTCTTGGACAGAGAGTGACAAGTCTTTGCTGGACATAAACTATAACTAGGGAGCTAGGGTAAGGTGGATCAGAGCATGCATAGATTGAAATATCTTTTACGGCTGGGGTGTGGTGGCTCACACCTGTAATCTTAGCACTTTGGGAGGCTGAGGTGAGTGGATCACCTGAGGTCAGGAGTTCGAGACCAGACTGGCCAACATGGTGAAACCCCGTCTCTACTAAAAATACAAAAAATTAGTTGGGCGTGGTGGTGGACACCTGTAATCTCAGCTACTTGGGAGGCTGAGGCAGGAGAATTGCTTGAACTCAGGAGGCAGAGGTTGCAGTGAACCAAGATCAAGCCATTGCATTCTAGCATGGGCAGCAAGAGCAAAACTGCATCTCAAAAAAAAAAAAAAAAGAAAAGAAAAGAAATATCTTTTACTAGTCCATTTTGTGTTGCTATAAAAGAACACATGAGACTGGGTAATTTATATAAGAAAGAGGTATATTTAGTTCATGGTTCTGCAGGCTGGGAAGTTCAAGGACATGGCTCTGGCTTCTGAAGAGGGCTTTTATGCTGTGTTATAATATGGCAGAGAAAGTCAAAGGGTAAGTGGACTCAAACGAAGAAAGAAAACATGAAGAGTGTCTTGGCTTTATAACAACCTACTCTTCTGGGAACGAATTCATTCCCAGTCCCTTGAGAGCAAGGGCTCACTCACTTCCTCAAGAACAGCACCAAGCCATTCATGAGGGACCTGCCCCCATGACCCAAACACTTCCCAGTAGGCCCCACCTCTTCATACTGCCACACTGGGGATCAAATTTCAACATGAGATTTGGTGCAGATAAACCATATCCAAACCATAGTGTATCTCAAGAATGTTTTGGGGCCTGGAGTGGTGGCTCATGCCTGTAATCCCAGCACTTTGGGAGGCTGATGTGTGACAATCTCTTGAGCCCAGGAGTTCAAGAGCAGCCTGGGCAACAAAGCAAGACCCTGTATCTACTTTTAAAAAATTAAAAAGAATGTTTTGGCTTTGCAACATTCCAGAACATGTCCATTAATTTCCAAACATTAAAGAATATATATTCCATTTGTATAGGATGCCTAGAGTAGTCAGACTCATAGAGACAGGAGGAAGAATGGTGGTTGTGAGGGGTTGGGGAAGGAAGAAATGGGGAGTTATTATTCAGTGGTACAGAGTTTCAGTTTGGGAGGTTAAAAAGTTCTGGAGATGGATGGTGATGATGATTGCACTACAGTGTGAATGTACTTAATGTCATAGATCTCTACACTTAAAAATAGTTAAAATGGTAAATTTTATGTGTGTATTTTACTACAACAAATATTTATATATAAAACACACAGACACAAACACACATAAAAATAAAGTTTCTCTCAGTATGACATAAAATCTGGAAACTACAAATTAAAAAATTAAATTATACATTGCGTACATAATAATCAAACTTCCTGCGTGGAAAAAAAACCCATAAAATAAAAAGGCAGGCCGAGTGCAGTGCTCATGCTTGTAATCCTAACACTTTGGGAGGCTGATGCCGACAGATCCCTTGAGTCCAGGAGGTCAATACCAGCCTGGGCAACCTGGTGAAACCCCATCTCTACCAAAAGTACAAAAATTAGCCAGGCATGGTGGTGTGCTCCTGCAGTCCTAGCTACTTGGGAGACTGAGGTGGGAGAATCACTTGAACCCAGGAGGTGGAGGCTGCAGTGAGCCGAGATCATGCCACAGTACTCCAGCCTGAGTGACAGAGTGAGACCCTGCCAAGAAAAAAAATAAATAAATAAAAGGCAAAGAACAAAGTAGGAAAATATTTGCAACATAAATAACACATCTGAGTTCTTTATACTATGAAGAAACAGACCCACAATGCTGGAGAAAAATGATTTTTAATTCAATCATTTTTCTCTCATTTAGCACATACATATTTAACACCTGCGTACCAGGCACAATTCTAAGTACCGGGAATATAGCAAAAATGAAAATAATAATAAGACAAGGAGATTCCATTCTAATTGGGGAAAATAACAATAAATAAAATGAGGGAAATGTGGCATGTTGGAAGGTTGTAAGTGGAGTGGAGAAAGACAAAGCAGGTAGGAGGATGTCAGAGTTATGACACCAGGTTCCTCAGAGCAGGTGGCATTTGACCAACACCTTGGAG
Organism: Homo sapiens; assembly: GCF_000001405.40. Classification (NCBI taxonomy): domain Eukaryota; kingdom Metazoa; phylum Chordata; class Mammalia; order Primates; family Hominidae; genus Homo; species Homo sapiens. The sequence goes on from NC_000002.12 coordinate 88,542,783, forward strand.
AAGGGGAGCCCTTCGCACGGGGAGGACTGGGACTGAAGGAACAGGAAGGGCAGACCCTGGGGAGGTGCCTGGGAGGCAGTGTCAGGGTGGTTACAAGGTTTCTCAGGACTGTCTAGGTGCAGGTAAGCCCTTACAAAGGCTGCGACTCTTCTTTCGAGTGAGACGGGAGCCACTGCAAAGTAATGAACAAAGGGTGACATAACCTGGTTTCAGTTTTATTGTTTATTTTTATTTTTTATTTTTTTGAGACAGAGTCTCGCTCTTTTCCCCAGGTTGGAGTGCAGTGGTGTGATCTCGGCTTGCTGCAACCTCTGCCTCCTGGGTTCAAGCAATTCTCCTGTCTCAGCCTCCCGAGTAGCTGAGATTACAGGTGCATGCCACCACACCCAGCTAATTTGTGTAATTTTAGTAGAGATGGGGTTTCACCATATTGGCAAGGCTGGTCTTGAACTCCTGACCTCAAGTGATCCACCTGCCTTGGCCTTCCAAATTGCCGAGATTACAGGTGTGAGCCACCATGCCCAGCCTGGTTTCTGTTTTAGAAGAATCATTTTGACCACTGGATTGAGAAAAGACAGAGGGGACAAATGGAGAAGCAGGATAATCCAGGTGAGAGGTAGGGGTGGCGTGGACCACAGCAATCACTGTGGAGGTGGAGAAGATGGAGAAATGGTTGGATTTTGATTGTGTGTGAAGGCAGAGCCTGAGATTTCTTGACAGATTGGCTGTGGAGTACATGAGAGAGACATTGATGATGACTCCATTTTTTGGCTTGTGCAAACTGGAAAGGTGACCTGCTTTTCACTGAAATGGAGAAAACGATAGTCCAAATGAGTTTGGGGAAGATCAGTTTGGTTTTGGAAATATTAAGTTTGAAATGCCTCTAGGATTTGAGGAGGCAGCTGGCTACACAGGGCAGAGTCCAGGAGAGAGGTCAGGGCCTGGAGATAGATCCTCAGGAATTAACAGCATATGGATGGCATTGAAAATCAGGAGACTCAGTCCCTTGCCAAGGAGTGGAAGTGGTCCGAGGACTGAGGTCTAGGGCAGGTCAAAGTTGAAAGGTCAGGCAGATGGAGGGAGCTTTGAGGTGGGACAAAAACCACAGGGGTCTGGTGTTCTGGAGATCACGTGAAGAAAGGTGACAGGGAGGAGGGAGCAACCTGCGGATCAGCAGCGTCAGATGCTGTTGCTGGGCCAGGACTGAGGACTTAGCACTGGATGTATTAATAGCAACAAGGTTATTATTGGTGACCCGCAAGGAGCCTGGGGGTGAAAACCTGAAAGAGGTAACCAAGTGCTCTTAACAATGCTCACATAAAATTTGAAAATGCTCAATAAAATACACACATAAAATTTCCCATTTTACCTTTAACTTTTAGGTAAAGACAGGCACTATTATCATCCCGATTTTATAGATGAGAAAATTGAGGCACAGAAAGGTCAGACGGCTAGTGAATGGTGGAGCTGGGATTTGAACCCTAGTAGTCTATCTCAAGATTATAAGGGCTGCTGCATGCAGTGGCTCACATCTGCAATCTCAGTGCTTTGGGAGGCCAAGGCGGGAGGATTGCTTGAGCCCAGGAGTCCAAGACCAGCCTTGGTAACATAGTGAGACCTCCATCTCTACAAAAAATAAAAAAGCCAGATTTAGTGGCGTGTGCCTGTAGTCCCAGCTACTTGGGAGGCTGAGGCAGGAGGATCCCTTGAGTCCTGGAGGTTGAGGCTTCAGTGAGCCAAGATTGTACTACTGCATTCTTGCCTGAGAAATAAAGCAAGACCCCGTCTCTGAAAAGAGAGAGAAAGAGAGAGATTGTAAACACTATGAAAAAAAAAAATGCAAGCCAGGTGCGGCAGCTCATGCCTGTAATCCCAGCACTTTGGGAGACTGAGGTGAACAGATCACTTGAGGTCACGAGTTCGAGACCAGTCTGGCCAAGATGGTGAAACCACATCTCTACTAAAAATACAAAAATTAGCCAGGTGTGGTGGTGGGCACCTGTAATCTCAGCTACTAGGGAGGCTGAGGCAGGAGAATCGCTTGAACCCAGGAGGCAGAGGTTGCGGTGAGCCGAGATCGTGCCACCACACTCCAGCTTGGGCCACAGAGCAAGACTCTGTCTCAGAAAAAAAAAAACAGGAAAAAAAAAAAAAATGGAGACCTCTCTGAGACCGAAATGACAGGAGAAACTCTGGGCAGAAGCCCTTTGGTGGCAAGCACAAGGCCATCTGATGAAGAGTGCTGGGTGTGCTCATGGAACAGGAAGTCCAGTATATTGGCTGTGGTGACTGAGAAAGAATTGAGTTGTGGACTGAGTGAATATCTGACTGCCTTGAGCTGTGGTTCTCTCCTGGCGTGATGACTTCTCCAGGTGGCAGGGCACGCACTGCCACATTCTATCCCAGTACATGACCTTTCTGTTCTCGAGGATATTCTTCCTTAGATTGAGCTCTGCTAGATTCTCCCCAATAGCCATCTTCTCTTCTGTATTAACAGACACCTAAGATTTTTGCTGAGCAATGGCCACTTGGAATAAAGACTACATTTCCCAGCTTCCCTTGCATAAAACACGGCCATGTGACTAGATCCCAGCCAATGGGCCATAAGCAAAAATGGTATATGCCTCTTCCCAGGCCACGCCCTTCCCCTCCTGCATCCTGGTGCTTGGACAAGTTATGAGCCTAGTTGGACCTTGTGGATAAGGGCCCTACCCTAGGGATGGTGAAATGGCAGTGAGAAGGAGGTTGGATTTTTGAGTGGTACACAGCAGTCTCGTCAGGTCTAGAGTGTCCCGTGGAATAAAATAAACCTCCAATTGTTTAAGCCAATGTTTCTCAAGCTTACCTGTACATTAGAATCACCTGTGGAGCTTAAAAAGTATATATATATATACTGATTCTTGCCCCTTCTCCTAAATTTTTGATTTAATTGGACTGAGGTATAGCCTGGCATTGGATAATTTTTTGAGACAGAATCTCCCTCTGTCACCCAGGCTAGAGTGCAGTGGCACAATCTCGGCTCACTGCAACCTCCGCCTCCTGGGTTCAAGCAATTTTCCTGCCTCAGCTTCCCAACAGCTGGGATTACAGGCACCTGCCACCACGCCCGGCTAATTTTTTGTATTTTTAGTAGAGATGGGGTTTCACCAAGTTGGCCAGACTGGTCTCGAACTCCTGACCTCAGGTGATCCACCCACCTTGGCCTCCCAAAGTGTTGGGATTACAGGCGTGAGCCACTAGTGGCTCCTGGCCGGCGTTGGATATTTAAAAATCTCCCCAGCCAAGGTTGAGAACCCTTGGTTTATGTCACTGGTAATTTGGGTTTCTGTTAAACACTTAAAACTATATCCTGATGTGTCCAAGCTCAGGTGGGTCTTGGCTCTTAAAAGCTACGCCTTGAGAATAGAGTCAAACTGCTCTCAGACTGCTGGACAGGCCTTCAAATGAAAAGTCAGGGCCAGGCACAGTGGCTCATGACTGTAATCTCAGCATTTTGGAAGGCCAAGGTGGGAGGATAGCTTGAGCCCAGGAGTTCAAGACCAGCCTGGAGAACATGGTGAAGCCCTGTCTCTACAAAAAATACAAAAATTATCCAGGTATGGTGGTGCATGCCTGTAGTCCCAGCTACTCGAGGGCTGAGGTGGATTGCTTGAGACCAGGACGTCACGGCTACAGTGAGTCATGATTGTGCCACTGCACTCCAGCGTGGGGAACAGAGTGAGATCTCATCTCTACAAAACAACAACAACAACAACAACAAATTAGCTGGGTGTGATGATGCATGCCTGTAGTCCCAGCTGCTTGGGAGGCTGAGGTGGGAGGATTACTTGAGGCCAGGAGGTTGAGGCTACAGTGAGTCATTATCATGCCACTGCACTCCATCCTGGGCAAAAGAGTGAGAACATGTCTCAAAAAACAAACAAAAAAACCCCCCAAAGTCAGGTGATAGACCTCTTCCTAATTATGTCGTGTTCATCCCTTCACTGGGATGAGGGCCGATCAGGAGGATCTTCACCAAGATTGTTATCCTGGAGGAGAGACCTGAGAGGAAGGGTTTCCAGGGGGTGAGGGTTCAGGTGGGTAGAGGAAGTAAAGGGGTAACAGATAGACAAGCTAGGGAGCATGGCAGCTTGAGAAAAGGCCAGGAGTTCATTTGTTACTCCTGAAAAGCAGAATGGGCACATGTGGGTTCTCAAGAATTAAGGCTCAACTGGGTAAGTTGGTGGAGGGTCTTGTATGTCAAGCTCATGAGTTTGACTTTGAACCTGAGGATGTCCAGGGACTTTCAGAGGATGTTAAGCAGGGAAGAAATAGCAAGGCCAGATTTATGTTGTAAAATATTCTGTCATGACAGCATGAGTTGGTTCAAGACTGGAGGTGGGCAGACCAGTTCTGAGGTCCCGTGAGAGGTGTAGGGACCAATGAATGCAACCTGCTTGTGTTTGAAGTTCTGCTAGATGTCTCACATTGTTGATTTACTTTAAGTTTCCAACAAACCTAGAGTTCTCATTGTCAACATTTGTATTGCTTCGAAGCTAGTTCCTACTCGGCCTGCATTTGTCCATCCAGAGCTTAGGGATCTGGGGGAATGGTTATAGGTCCCTTCTAGAATAGTCCCTTCCTCTTAGGAATTGCTTGGGAGATGTTAGTAGAAAGAACCATGGCCCAGGTGCATTTTATCTTGTTAGTGCCAGCCTATCCCAGAAGTAGTCAGGGTAGGGCCAGTACAGGAGAAGGGCTGAAATAAATCTAAACTTCACCACAGTCCATTGCAAATATTAATGTTTGTGTGAATTACTTTGGGATCCTATTAAAACATGAATTCTGGTCCAGCAGGTCTGGAGTAGAACCTGAGATACTGCATTTCTGCAGATGCTTCTGGTCCTGTAGCCACTATGAAAGGGGAGGCATGTGGTTCTCAGCTTTGACTGTACTTTGGAATTATCAGGAGGCTTAAAAAAATCCTGAGGCCTGGGCTCCACACCCTCAGGTTGTGATTTACAGGGCTGGAGTGCTGCCTGGGTATTGGCTATTTTTTTTTAAGGTCATATTATTATTCTACTGTGCTGTCAAGATTGAGAAGCAGTGCCTTAGAATCACCTATGAGTGTTTAAAATGTAGGTTCTTAAAACTTTTGATTCTTTAAATCTTGGAAGTAGTGGATGGGTGGTGCATACCTATAGTCCCAGTTACTGGGGAAGCTGAGATAGGAAGATCTCTTGAGGCCAGGAGTTGGAGGTTGCAATAGTCACTGCACTCCAGCCTGGGCAACATAATATGACTTCCTCTCCGAAGAAAAGAAAGAGGCCGGGCACTGTGGCTCACGCCTGTAATCCTAGCACTTTGGGAGGCTGAGGCAGGAGGATCGCTTGAGGCCAGGAGTTGGAGACCAGTCTGGCCAATGTGGCAAAACTCTGTCTCTATTAAAAATACAAAAAATTAGCCAGGTGTGGTGGTGCACGCCTGTAGTCCCAGCTACTTGGGAGGCTGAGTCAGGAGAATCACTTGAACCCAGGAGGTGGAGGTTGCAGTGAGCTGAGATCGCACCATTGGAGTCCAGCCTGGGTGACAAGAGTGAAACTCCATCTCAAAACAACAAACAAACAAAAACCCCCAAAATTAGCTGGGCGTTGTGGCACATGCCTGTAATCTCAGCTACTCAGGAGGCTGAGGCAGGAGAATTGCTTGAATGCAGGAGGCAGAGGTTGCAGTGAGCTGAGATTGTGACACCACACTCCAGCCTGAGCATCTCAAATAAATAAATAAATAAATAACAGGAAGAAAAACAACTTGAAAGAGGCCTTGCAAGAAGTGTGCACTATAGCAAGCACTGTTGGAGAATCTACTGCAGGTAAACAGCCCTTACACTTGGAAAAGGACCCTGTGGGTCATGGTGATGCCAGAGTGCAGTGATTATGGCGAAGCTGCCTGAGGGTCATGGTTATTGGAATTGGATAGAGCTGATTGGACCTCCAGGCTAGTATTTTCCAGCAACCATATACTAGTGGGTCAATCACATTTAAAAAACCCTTAACTCTTTTACTTGCCTTTCCCACTAAGATTGACATTTACCCGTGTGATTATTTTTAAAGAATAGATTCCCAAAGTGGAATTTTCAAGAGAAATTATCTTTCAAATTTAGACAGATACTGACAGAAAAAATCATAAAGATACATTTCTAACAACAGGCTATGAGATAATTCTTTCATCACACTTTTGCTTACACGCATAAATCTTTTAAATGTTTTCCACGTGATAGCAGAAAAATGGGATCCACTGTTGGTTTCGTTTGTATTTCTTTCTTTCCTTTTTTTTTTTTTTTCAGACGGAGTCTTGCTCTGTCGCCCAGGCTGGAGTGCAGTGGTGCACGATCTCGGCTCACTGCAACCTCTGCCTCCCGGGTTCAAGCGATTCTCCTGCCTCAGCCTCCCGAGTAGCTGGGACTACAGGCGTGCACCACCACACCCAGCTAATTTTTGTATTTTTAGTAGAGAGGGGGTTTCACCATGTTGGTCAGGATGGTCTGGATCTCCTGACCTCGTGATCCGCCCTCCTCGGCCTCCTAAAGTGCTGGGATTACAGGCGTGAGCCACCGTGCTCAGCTTTTATTTCTGATGAGTAGCTAAGTAGAGTTCTTTTCATTTTTTTTAAACTACTTACAATTCACCTATGATTTGCCTGATTATACCCATTGCATGGAAATCCTTTGATTCAGTAAGCCTCAGTTTCCTCCTCTGTAAAATGGGGGCCATAATATCTCCCAAGGTTATTGAAGGTATTCTATGAGATACCACGAATATGAACTGCCTAGTATAGGACATGGTATGCAGCAGGCCTTCCAGTAACGTTGGATTTTGAAACTTATCCAGTAGCCACCCTCTGGCTGCCCAGCAGGTCTGCGTCCCGGACAAATCCATTAGTCCTGAGGGCGGAGTGAGTGGTAATTAACCTAGGAGAGCGAGGGACTCCTCCCGTCCCTCCTCCTCTTTGGCCAGCATCTCCCGCACGCCACACCTCCATCGCCGGTAGTTCTCATGCCCAGCCCACCCTCCTGCATCTGTCACAAGAGGATCAGTCACCGCACTGGACTGACTCGGTGACACTCAGTCCCCCACCCTCCATCCCAAGGCCCTTACGGGGGAACGCAAGAGCGCCGCGGGCCCGCGGAGCCCCCGCTTTGCCTCGGCATCTGTCGTCCCCACTTGGCCACCCTGAGCTCTTCTTCCTCCTGGGCCAGGTCTTTGAAACGACAATTCCTGCCGCGGCTCCTGGCTGCGCCCGAGCCAGATTCCCTGCCCCAGCCCCGAGAATCCAGACGGCATCCTCCTATCTTTCATCTCCAAACCCTCCGGCCATGCTGCGCCCCGGCTCCCCGCTGATTCCTGTAGACCGGCAGCTAGGGTCAAAGGCCTGGGAGAAAGGAGGCATTCCTAGCCCTCCTCCACCCCCTGGGCAACCCGAAATCCCTATACAACAAAGGCGTTTCTTGACTACTTGAATAATAACCATCCTTTTATATTTGCAAAATACGTTGTCCTCACCCAATCAAATGCCAGCCTGTAGTCCTTGTCATAGGCATATTCAATGTCCACATTTATGCATAAACATTATAAAGTTTTTATATGCTGCGTGTTTTACTAAAGGGTTTTTTTCTGTGCCTTTCTCTCCCATCATATAATCGTAAGAAAAATAAGTCACACATATTTGTATGACCCTTTAACTCATAGTTGTCACTTAGTCCTCAGAATAACCCTACCACAGGACTGTGCCCATTTTAGAATTGAGAGAACTGAAGTTGTAATTTCATTTTGTTTCCGTTTATTGAATTCTATTTACCAGATTCTACACTAAATTTTGTATTTATTATTTAATCTTCAAAATGTGCTGTTTGCAATGAAGAAACAGATTGGAGAGCTGAAGGAAAATTGTAAACAAGGAAGAAGTAATGCAGCCAGCCCTAATTCCAAAGCCCAGCGCTGTCCTGTCACCTGTTACTCCTCTAAAATGCTCTCTGAATTAGGGATTATTCAGAAAAGTGGGGATTGTTATGCTAACAAGGGCAATGCAGTGATAACTGTATTATTACAAGCTTCCTGTTAGGCTGTTGTAGTTATTTTAATTATTGCATTGGTTTTTTTTTTTTTCATATAAAACAGTGATGAAAATATCTGCTTTGCAGAGATCCTATTAGAATTAAATGAGACTATGTAAAATAAACTATAAAGCAGAATACAAATATGAGATCAATTAAGATATTATAAACGCTGGCCAGGGGCGGTGGCTCACACCTGTAATCCCGGAACTTTGGGAGGCTGAGGTGGGTGGATCAGTTGAGGCCAGGAGTTTGAGACCAGCCTGGCCCACATGGTGAAATCCCATCTCTACTAAAAGTACAAAAAATTAGCCAGGCATGGTGGCACATGCTTGTAATCCCAGCTACTTGGGAGGCTGAGGCAGGAGAATCCTTGAACCCGGGAGGCAGAGGTTGTAGTGAGCCGAGATCACGCCATTGCACTCCAGCCCAGCCTGGGTAACAAGAGTGAAACACTGTCTCAAAAAAAAAAAAAAAAAAAAAAAAAAAGATATTGTAAATGTTGTTTATTGGTTTCCTTTTTCTTAATTTTAAAATCTAATTTATTAATCACATTGGATTAAAGTATTATCTGCATTGGAAAGAACTCAAACAATGCTGAGATGCATATTGAAGCTAATAATCTTCTCCAACCTCTCCAACTCTGTCTACCCTTGTAAGGTAGCTAGTGTAGCATTTGGTGAGAATCCTTCCGAAACTTCCTCTATGCCCATGAAAAATGCCATTTAAACAGACGTAGAAACTCTTTTACTTGGTTGCAGTTGTACTATTCACACTTCTCTGCAACTTGAATCTGTCATTTATCTGCTTAATAAACCATTTAGTAATTCCACTTATGCTACTGACTCATTGCGTTATCTATAGTATGAATATATCTTCACTTATTCAGCTGGGTTTTTTTTGTTTGTTTGTTTTGTTTTGAGACGGAGTCTCGCTCTGTGGCCCAGGCTGGAGTGCAGTGGCACGATCTCGGCTTGCCCAAGCTCCTCTTCCTCCTGGGCTAGGTCTTTGTACCGACAATTCCTGCTACCACCTCCAGGGTTCAAGTGGTTCTCCGGCCTCAGCCTCCCCAGTAGCTGGGACTATAAGAGTGCACTAGCATGCCTGGCTAATTTTTGTATTTTTTCTTTTAGTAGAGATGAGGTTTCACCATGTTGGCCAGGCTGGACAACTGTTTTCTTGAGTATGTCATGAAAAGATCCTTTTGGAGAAAGAGCACCCTTTCTCCTTCATTACTTCTCAGTATCAATATCAAACTCTCTCACTCCCTTGGGGCAAGTATGTGACCTTTCTGGGTGGTGAAAATTCTCCCAGGCTCTTCCTGGGAGGCAGTAGAGCTCTATGCCAGCAAATTCGGCACTGTTTCCTCTCCTCCTACTCACATTCTTGCTGCTAGCAAGAGAGGAGCTGGTCCCAAAGTGGCTGCCATCATTTATGACAATGTTCTCTGAGTACTCTAAAAGCTAACATCATTTGAGAAAGCAGCAGGTTCTTCTCAAAGAGCCACTCACTATAGCACCCCCTGAAGTCCTTTAAAACTCAACACCACAGAGCATTGATAGAAGACCCCCCTCTGGTTGTTGGGAGCTAGCACGTGGTCAGCTGCTGGACAAAGAAGGGATGGCTTTCAGCTTCCACTGCCCTGGCTCAGGCCCTCTGACCTCTTGCTCGATAAAGGCTAACGGCCCCTGTCTGGTTTCATCTCCAACTCTTTCTCCCTCTCGTCAACCCTCTTTCTCAGCCACCATAGTGATCTTGTGATTTAAAAAAAAAAATTAGAGATAGGGATCTCGCTGTGGTGCCCAGTCTAGTCTTGAACTCCTGGGCTTAAGCAATCCTTCTCCCTCGACCTCCCAATGTGTTGGGATTATAGGAGTGAGCCTCTGTGTCCAGCCTATAGTGATCTTAAAATCTCTCATCATGTCCTTCCTCAGTTCAGTAATTTTCTACAGCTTCCGATTTTCTAATAATACCTTAACTGTTTACCAACAAAGTCCTGGAATACTCATCCATCATCTTCAAAAAGGGATATCTGTCATTTCTTCTGTCCCCAAAGTGCACTCTCCTCTGGATTCTATAAAAGTGTCCACACCAGAAACTCAGGAGCCATCTTCTCCTTTACCTGTATTTAGTGAATTCCAGTATCCTGGTCTTTCTGACTCAAAAATAATTCTTAAGTTGGTCTACTTCTCCCGACCCCACCTTTGAGAGCTCTCTTTTTTACTCCTGCCCTCCCTCCATGCCTTTGCATGGGCTGTTCTCTCTGTTCCCTCTCCCTTCCCCAACCTTTTCTTAGTCCCCCAGAACATGAAGAAGAATCAGAAAGGAAAGCTACTCAGCTGCTCCAAAGAGGGAGGCACCGAGTAAGGTATTAGGGATTAGGGATACTGAGAGTTGTTAGAAGTAGAGTTGTTGGAAGTAGCCAGGCACATACTGTTCCTGTATTTGTTTTTTGTTTGTTTATTTTGAGACAGAGTCTCACTCTGTAGTCCAGGCTGGAGTGCAGTGGTGTAATCATGGCTCACTGTAGCCTCAACCTCCCAGGCTCAGGTGATCCTCCCACTTCAGCCTCCCAGGCAGCTGGGACTCTAAGCATGTGCCACCATGCCCGGCTCATTTTTCTACTTTTTTTGTAGAGATGGGATTTCGTCATGTTGCCCAGGCTGGTCTCAAACTCCTGGGCTTAAGAGATCCTCCCACCTCAGCCTCCCAAAGTGCTGGGATTATAGAAGTGAGCCACTGCAGCTGGCCCATTTGTTGTTTTAAGTCATTGTTCACGTGAGAAATTTAAAAGCAGTTCATGGCATGTGGGACTTTATACGGTCGAATTTTGCAATATCTGGCATGTTTAGATTATGTTGACATGCTTGTTCTCGTGATGTGTTGAACATTTGAGGGGAGGGAGGAATAACTTTACATGTTGAAAAATGTTCTTTATCTCAGCCCTCCACTGTCTACTACAGTCATGTGCCACGTAACAATGTTTTAGTCAACAAGGGAACACATATGCAACAGTGGTCCCATAAGATTATAATACTGGGGCTGGGCACGGTGAGCACTTTGGGAGGCCGAGGCGGGTGGATCACCTGAGGTCAGGAGTTCGAGACCAGCCTGACCAACATGATGAAACCCTGTCTCTACTAAAAATACAAAAATCAGCTGGGCCTGGTGGCAGGCACCTGTAATCCCAGCTACTCCAGAGGCTGAGGCACAAGAATCGTTTGAACCTGGGAGGTGGAGGATACAGTGAGCTGAGGTCGTGCCGCTACACTCCAGCCTGGGTGACAGAGTGAGACTCCATCTCAAAAAAAAAAAAGTTTATAATACTGTAGTTTTACTGTCCCTTTTCTGTGTTTAGACACACAAATACTTACCATTGTGTTACCATGGCCTACAATATTCGGTAGACATCATGCTGTGTCATCTAGGTTTGTGTAAGTGCACTTCGTGATATTCACAGGACAAAATCACCTAACAATGCATTTCTCAGACCTTTAAGCAAGGCATGACTGTCACCTGGTGACAGCTACTGTAGTTGCAGGAAAAGGCTCTCCATGGGGAAGTCTCGCAAGGCAGTCCCTGGACAATCTAGTTATGGGGGATCGTAGATGTTCCCAGCAGTGAGCCAAAGAACATCCAGAGTCCCCGCTTAGCCCTTGACTTCTCCACTATGGCTAGTGGTTAGACTGGGAGCTTGCTCTATCTCTACTCTTTCAGAGAAAAATGGCACAGAAATAAAATGGCTTTTGTTGTAAATGCATCCAGACAAAGATGTCAGTGAGAAAAACCCCCCACTCCATCCTAACATCATAAAAGTCTGCTTTTCTGTCTGCTCCTGGGAGGCAAACAGCAGACTAGGTAGCTAGTTTTCAAAACTTCTCATGGGCTTCCTATGCCCGGACCAGCCCTCCGGCTAGTCCTGCTGCCTCCCTGAAGGGTGAATCAGGAGAGCCCTGTGCTCTTCTTTCCTGGTAGGAGAATCGCTTGAACCCAGGAGGTGGAGGTTGCAGTGAAACGAGATGGTGCCACTGCACTCCAGCCTGGGCAACAGAGGGAGACTCTGTCTCAAAAACAAAGAAGCAAGCAAACAAACAAAAAACTTCTGAGATTTGACGCTTTCATCTGTTTTTAGCATCAGGATTCTTTTTTGAGATAGGGTCTCACTCTGTCGCCCAGGCTGGAGTGCGTTGGTACAACCATAGCTCACTACAACCTCTGCCTGTTGGGCTCAAGCGATTCTGTCACCTCAGCCTCTGGAGTAGCTGGGACTCCAGGCATGCACCAGAACAGCTGGCTAACTTTTGTATCTTTTGTAGAGTTGGGGTCTTGCGATGTTGCCCAAGCTGGTATCTAACTCCTGAGCTCAAGCAATTCACCTGCCTTGACTTCCCAAAGTGCTGGGATTACAGATGTGAGCCACTGCGCCCAGCTAGCATAAGGATTTTTAAGCCATCTTTCCTCCTTCACTTTTGCCAGATTTTTATTGTAGCAGGGGTTATATGTAGGTTCCTCAAATTCAATTCTACAAATATGTAATCAAGTACCAGGCTTTACGCTGGATGTTGCTGGACTACAAGAAGGTGTCCCCTTACTTTCTGAGATTTTAGAAACGAACAAGGGGGAGCTGATCTTCGTCAGAGTTGCTGGCTCCTCTGCAGCCTGAGAATAAGTATTATCAAATACAATGTGCTAAAAGCAGAGGCAAGTGCGGGGGATGGAAAGATGCTGGAAAAACAACAGAACTTAAAGTGGGCAGTGGGGTTTGGACTCAGTAGAAAGGGCTGTGGGTGAGAACACAGGGGTCTCCATTCTGACTAGTGTTACGGACTTAAGTGTTGCTGGCCCAGGCTCTTAACTTCCCCAACCCTATGCCTGCTTTCCTGCTGGTGGTCAGCAAAGGCAAACCCAGGTTAAAATGAAAGAAAACCTGATTACATCATGTAAGAATTTACCAATCCCTAGACAGCTTGGTGCACGCGGGTAGACAAAACACTAGGAATCTAAATACCTAGGTTTTGATCCCGGTTCTGCTCTTGCTGTCTTTGTGGCCTTGAACAAATCACAGCACCTTTCTGGACCTAGATTTGACGGTAAGTAGAATGGTAATAGTAGTGTCTGCCATGGCTAGCTCCTAGGGAAGTCCTGGGGGTCAAAGGATCTTTGGGGGACTGAATGGGGTGTGCTGCCAGAAGTCAACAAACCTTCACCCCTGGCTGGGGTAAAGAGGAAGGGAGAAAAGGAATAGCAACTAAAGCAGGCTGACCAAGAGATGAAGATGACGGGGGTGAGCTGGACAGGAACCAAGCAGAAGCTGGGGAAGGAAGTCGTTTGAGCAGCACTGCTGCGAGCGAGTCTGGATATACAGTCAGCCACAAAGATCTGGGAAGTGTTTTTCCAGCGTACAAGTTGCTCATAACCTTGCGTGGCAGACATTATTTGTTTGTAATATGGAGATGCTATGCATTTTGACCTTTCTAGATTGTGTCTAGCTGGTTCATGCCCCATCAGCCCAGCCTGCCACATGCCTCGATGTGGCACATGTCAGATACACCTCGGTATCAATACAACTAGCATCACCACAGCCCTTTTCTCTGAGAGCTCTCCCTTTAGGGGAAAGTCCTCTATATTCTCAGTCCTTGGCACAGGGTAGGTACTGGGCAAATGTCTGTCAATTATGGATCTTGTGAATTTTGAAAGGGCCTGCCAAGTCTTTGGGAAATGATGAAAAAGATACCTGTCTGAAATGGGTTAGGAAGAAGTTTTTTTGAGGATAGGTTTATGACTCTTCCTAGATCTATGATCCCATTTTATAAATTAGAAAATCTACCATTTTGGGACTAACTCCTCAAAATAAGAGTCAACATACTTAATTTAAAAAAAGTTTTATTAAATCATTTAGACTTGAAAGAAGTCACAAGTTAACACACTTAAGTGTGTTCTGTACACCACCAACCCAAATGGATTGATTTCAGAATTTTTATAAATAAAACATAAACATATTTACAGTGAAAAATAAAAACATGTTAGCAAGTGAGATGATTAAACTGTTACCTATAATCAGTTTGGGGGAAGTACCAACCTACAGGATTACATATAAGACACTTAAGATTTCATTAGGCTTAAAAAGTCCATAGTTGAAGAAGTTAGTTGTAATATATATGATCCATTTCTTACTACGGCTTTTTTCCTCCCAAAACTAGACCTTTCAACCAATTTACATAAAAAGCTTCATTTTCCCTTTATTGGAGGTAAAAGTACAAAAAGCTGTAAACCCACCCTAGAACCATCTAAGGAATAAAGCTATTGAATGCTACAAATAGGACTATAAAACTACGGACATAAACCGTTATACAGTTTGTGCTACTTGTCCTCCAAAATAGTGCAGATTCCTAATTTACCCGCCAGGGACAAAAATGGAGTCAGCTTTTTCTAGAAATCAGTTTCAAAATCATCATATCTCTAGAAAGCATATTTCTAGAACAATACAGTTACCACACAGGGGGACTTTCCTTCTTCTGCATTATAAAAATATATCCATTTTAGTTCTCACTATATATATATATTAGGGATTGCTGCTACCTCCTTAGGCAAATGGTGAGGGCTATAAAGCTTGGCCAGCAGCCAGTTTCAAGAGACTAACAAAGAACAAAGATAGCCCTTTCCTTAAGTATAGCAAAACTCAGGAGTTGGCTCAAATTAGGTTATGCCCCCAAATCCAGCTTAAATTTGATATAAAAAAAGTAGTCCACAAAAAAATTGAGCGAAGAACAAACTTTTCAAGTCTGCAATTTTGGACAGGCATATTCTAAGAAGTAGGCTATTATCTGCATCACCTATTAGGGTTGCTAGCACAACTTAAGGCTAATTGCTTGGCAAAGGGCTATGGGAGTTGTTGGACTGTCTTGAATGTTTTGTTCCCGATGAACTCAAGGAGCGAGACCTCTGTCTGAGCACTGTTTTTCCTGGAAAGTCCAAGTCCTCAAATACAGCATTTTCAATGATGTTTATAGCTTCAGGTCGTTCCATGGGGGATGGAGAGAGCATGTCTTGAACCATCACGTACTGAAAATATAAAAATTGTTTTGTGATAAAACGGCCAGGTTTGATCACTGTACAGTTTTTAAAATCAGTGCTGGCAAAATATTTCTGTACATATTTTAAGCTTTTGAGCCATATTCGAGTTTTCAAGTCTCTGATACAACTACTCAGCTCTGCCGTCAATGCACAAAAGCATCCAGAGACAATTTGTAAATTAATGGGCATGGCTGTGTTCCAATAGAACTTTATTATAAAAATAGGTGGCAGGCTGGATTTGACCTGTGGGCACTAGTTTGCCAACCCTCATTCCAAAAAAACATGGACAATTTTTGGGTAATTTGATTTTCTAACACATTATAAAGGATTATTTAATCACATCCCTGAAACATAAATATGATTTTTAAAAATCATCTTATAATTGCATGTAAATCTACAATTATCTCAATAGAAATTTTAATTAGAAAAAATTATGGCAGAGATCAGCAACCAACACCTTTTCTTGGTTTTTAAAAATCTCTTTGAACGTAACATGTACTCTTATGAGCCACCCTGGGAATAGATTCATCAAGTTTGCAAAATACATGATGACAATTTTTAGTAAAACAGACTTAAGTATATGTAGGTATTAATATATTGTTATAAAGTCCATTTTTTAATGCAACCCTTCATTATAATACTGAAAGATAAATTTTGACTTTTTCCAATTTGAAAATGAACACATACTAACTCACTTCAACTTAATTACTTAAGGAAATTCAAGATTTATCAATATATAAATTTCACAGGTGCTACAGTGTGGAACACTGGACATTAGGCTGAAGGAGCCAGGCCCCAGCTCCAGTGTTTGGTTTTAACAAATTCTGGGCTCTTGGGAGCAGGTCTCTTTCCTCTCTAGACCTTTGGCTTCCTCATCTGTAAAATAGGGGAAACTGAGTCGACTGCTAAGGACCGCTTACGTTCTAAAGATGATTCTAAAGAAGATAAAAGATGAGAATTACACATACCTCACAAGGATATTTCTGAGTAAATAATGGTGGAAATTTGAGATTTCTTACATCAGTTAAGGTCTAAAAAGAAAAAAAGTATCACTTATTAAGTTTATTTTGACATACAACATGAAAATATTTTTTGATACTCTAACAAAATGACTAAGAGGTTGTACATCTATCAAATGGAAAATTTATCAATAGCTTTTCCTGATTTAATAACTACATATGTTTCCTGAGCACAGATGTACACTCCATCAAATATCCTCAAAATATACAGCTGGTCTTCCACATCCACAGATTCCACATCCAAGGATTCAACCAACCACAGAATGAAAATATTTAAAAAATTTAAAAATAGATGGTTGCATCTGTACTGGACAGATACAGATTTTTTTCTTGTCATTATTCCCTCATCAATACAGTATAATACTTATTTACATAGAATTTACATTATGTTAGGTACTGTAATTTACAGAAGATTTAAAATACACAGAATATATGTAGGTTCTATACAAATATTACACCATTTTATATAAGGGACTTGAGCATCTGCAGATTTGGTATCCACAGGGAGTCCTGGAACCAATCCCCTGTGGATACCAAGATGACTGTGTGTGTGTGTGTGTGTGTGTGTGTGTGTGTATGTACATTTACATATATGTGTATATATGTATGTGTGGAGGGAGGGAGAAAGAGAAAGGGGAGAGAGAGAGAGAGAAAGGGCCATATTAAAGCACAAAGAAAATATTGGAAATCTTTGTTTCTATGGAGTTGCCTCTTCTGAATATTTCATAAAAACTGAATGATATAAAAGTGGACTTTTGTGTCTGGCTTTTTTCACTCAGCATGTTTTCAAGATTCATCTACGTTGCGGCACATGTTAGTATTTCCTTCCTTGTAATGGTTGAATACTTTTCATTGTATAAAATACCACACTTTGTTTTTCCATTCATCAGCTGATGAGCATTTTGGTGGTTTCTACTTTTGGATATTAGAAATAATGCTCATATGAACAGTTGTATACAAGCTTTTGTCTATGTTTTCATTTCCCTTGAGTACATACCTAGGAGTAGAATTACTGGATTCTATGGTAATTCTATGTTTAACTGTTTAAGGAACTGCCAGACTGTTTTCCAAAGCAGCTGCACCATTTTACATTCCACCAGCAACGTATGAGGGTTCCAATTTCTCCACATCCTAGCCAACACTTGACATTTCCTTTTTTTTTAATTTTTTTATTACAGATACCCTAGATGGTGCTGAAGTGGTATCTCATTGTGGTTTTGATTTGCATTTCCCTAATGCCCAACGATGTTGAGCATCTTTTCACATGCTTATTGGCCATTTGTTTATCCTCTTTGGAGAAAGTTCTATTGCTTTGCCCCTTTTTAAAATGAGTTGTCTTTTTGTTGAGTTGTAATAGTTCTTTATGTATTCTGAATTCTAGACACTTTTCGGATATAGGATTTACAAATATTTTCTCCCATTCTGTGAGCTGCCTTTTCACTTTCTATTTCATTTAATTAATTTATTTAGAGATAGGGTCTCATGGTGCCCAGGCTATTTGCAGGCATAATCATAGCTTACTGTAGCCGTGAACTCCTGGTCTCAAGGAATTCCTTTTGCCTCAAGCTTCCCACGTAGCTGGGACTACAGGCATGTGCTACCACGTCCACCTTGTCTTTTCACTTTCTTGACAGTATTCTCTGAGGCATTTATAACTATATAAATTTTGATGCCATCTGATTCTTGATCCTTTACTTAGGTTAGACCTGTTTTATTTTCCTTTCTGGAAGCTTTTAGGGCCTTTATTTCTGGTGTTCTGAAAATGGTTATTTTGACTGTTTTTTTTTTTTTTTCATTCATTGTACAGAACATTTGGTAGGTCCTTTCGGTTAGAAGATATGAGTCATTTTGCTCTATGTGAGAACTACATCCTCTTCTACCATGGCCAGAGATCAATAAGTAAGATCTAAAACTGATAAAATAAGAAATAGTGACAAGAGCCTAAACTTTGAAAATATGGAGATAAGTACCAGGGACAACAACTAGAAGAGGTGAGGGTAGCTACTTATGAAAGATAGGGAAGAATGTGACAGAGGCCCACTTTATTTTCAGAGACAGGGTCTTGCTGTGTCGCCCAGGCTGGAGTGCAGTGGCACAATCATAGTGATCTTCCTGCCTTAGCCTCTCAAGGCATGTGCTACCATGCCTTGCTAATTTTTAAATTTTTTGTAGAGATGGGGTCTTACTATGTTGCCCAGGCTGGTGTTGAACTCTGGCCTCAAGTGATCTTCCTGCTTGAGCCTCCCAAAGTGTTGGGATTAGAGGTGTGAGCCACCATGCCTGGCCAGAGGGCTACTTTTTTTTTTTTTTTCGAGACAGAGTCTCACTCTGTCACCCAGGCTGGAGTGCAGTGGCGCGATCTCTGCTCAATGCAAGCTCCGCCTCCCGGGTTCACACCATTCTCCTGCCTCAGCCTCCAGAGTAGCTGGGACTACAGGCACGTGCCACCATGCCCGGCTAATTTTTTGTATTTTTAGCAGAGATGGGGTTTTACCGTGTTAGCCAGGATGATCTTGATCTCTTGACCTCATGATCCACCTGCCTCAGCCTCCCAAACTGCTGGGATTACAGGCGTGAGCCACTGCACCCGGCCCAGAGGGCTACTTTAAAATGACTTTCAGTCATCCCTATAATCCCAGCACTTTGGGAGGCCAAGGCAGGAGGATCACTTGAGCCCAGGAGTTTGAGACCAGCCTAGACAACATAGGCAGAGCCCATTTCTACAAAATGAATAAAATAAAATTAGCCAGGCATAGTGGCACGTGCCTGTGGTCCCAGCTACTGGGGAGACTGAGATGGGAGGATGGCTTGAGCCCAGGAGGTTGAGGCTGCAGCGAGCTGTGATCACACCACTGCACTCCAGCCTGAGCGACAGAGCAAGACCTTGCCTTGAGAAAAAAAAAAGACTTTCAGTACTATCTGCTTTAAAGGCTGTGGTCATGGTTTATTTTGAGAGGAAAGAAACCTAATTATGCTTAATCTGCCAGCTTTTAAATATATGAGTGTGTGGCCCCCATTACCTTGTGGTTCCCCTAGATTTTTACTTATAACAAACTTACTGAGTGCAAAACATTGTTAAATTATGATGAATTTAAGCAAAAACTAAGAACAAACAATCTAACCAAACAAGTTTTTGAAGACTGAGCTTTAAATGGAAGCAAATAGTCTAGAACTCCTCTCTGTGTTACTCACATCACCTCTTTCACTTTTAGTTAACCAATCTGCTGGTATTAAGAAGAACTAAGTCTTTAAAAAACTCTTTTGTAAATGTTAGATTATTTTCTGTTTGAAACTTTTTTTTTGAGTAGGGAGGGTACTTACCCTGACTCTCTCCATCTGAGTGCTGAATGGATACAGCAATTCAAATAGAATCAGGCCTAAAGAAAAGATGTCCACTTTATGAGAATAGCTGTTTCCATGAATCTGAAATCCCACATAAAGAAAATTTAAAAATTAACACAGAGACAGTACAGTTGATATTACAGCATTATTGAATCCCAAAGTTTACTTAGTCACTTCTTGGTTTAAATGCAAGTACATGTGTAAAAATGTTAGCAAAGAGTTAATCTCCCAAGTCTCTTTTCTTCACTACTACACCAAGAGTAATTAAACTACTCAGCATTACAGAAGGAAAGCCCAGGTATAGCTCTGAGATATGCATCAGTAAAACAGGCCCCTCGGAAACCTGGAGACTTGCCATGCTAAAAAAGTTTGTGGGAGCCAGCAAAATCTGCTCGACTACCCCTGAGGTGAGGTTTTTCAAAGGGAACGCTATCTAAAGCAAATCTTTCATTTCTAATCATCTTAGTCCTAACCCATTTTTATGAGAAAATCTTCATTACTCCAAACCACTAATCAACTGTAGTTAGCCTTCATTAGGGCACTTAATTACGGATACTTTGCATTCTTGGTTGTATTTTTCATGTGTATATTTCTTATTCTTCACAACTAGATTATCAAGTCCTGGAGGAAGGGAAATGCTTCTTTTGTGTTGCTATCGTCCAGCACTGGGGCTAAGTATAGAGAAGGCCCTCAATAAATACTTAGTTGTTAAAATGAACAAATGAATTACAACAGAACTACTCGACTAAAGAAAGCATTATTTAAATTAAAATTGACCTTTTGGTGACTCAGAAGAACCCCTTTATTTGTGAAAATTTCTTTAGAGATATAACATGACATTTGAGAAACTGCCAAAGAAGGGAACTTTGGAAATGCTCCATACCAGTACTTCTTAACTGGGAAGTAGAGGTGGTCACAGGGCAGTTGCCAGGGTTTATGATCCCTTCACAACTTCCCCTCTAAACCGTACTTGGCATCTGTCTCCCTGGCCTTCTGCGCAGCCTGCCTGCCTCTGTACTTATAGAAGAGCAGATGGAAAGCTTCAGTGACCACATCAGTGGCATCACCCTCTTCCCTTCCAAGAGACTGTAGCAATCTGAACCCTGTCTCACTTCTTATCCCTGGGGTTTTGGAAGTGTTAAAAAAAATGTGCAAAAACAAATCTTATAGGGGAACTGAAAAGGACACCCTCACACACTATTTGGAGAATATAAATAAACACAAATTTATAAGAAGCAACTTGGCAATAAATGTTTACTCCTGCTTAATGATGCCATCTAATTTTACCCACCCTAGGGCAGATGGAAATGTGTACAGACATTTGGGTATTTGGGTACAGGGATAGTTACCCAAGTGATATTCCTAATAGCAAAATTTACAAGTAATTAAAATGTCCCAAATGAATGTTGAATACTATGCAGCTGGAAATCTTTTCTAAGAATATTTAATAATATGGGAAATACTTATATTTTAATATTGTATCCAAAATGTTAGAGTAGAATTCCAATTTTATTTTCTAAAGTAAGGTGTATATAGATATACACACACACAGAGAGAGAAAAGGAAATAACTGCTGTTAATGTCTTACAGATATTTTTGGTAAGTGATTTTTACTTTTTTGTTATATGTCCCTATACTTTCTGTATTCCCTAGAGGACAGATAGATATATAATGTGTTACTAAATTTATTTATTGTTTCTAACGTGATTAAACATATTTAAAAAAAGAAATGTAGCCTCATGAACGCATGAAAAGTTATATTTACAAAATATCTAAAAAATAAGGAATTAGGACCTAGAATATATCCTTTGAATTGTTTAATCGCTGTGTGCAAATCTAGAACTTAACCTGTGTTTCTTCGTAATTACAACCAAGAACAAAGTAACCATGGGTCCTGCTCATTTATTTCAAGGATGAGAAAATTAAGAGAGTTCTAATAATAAATAATTTTAAAACAATGTTTTAGTATAGCTTCTAAGGCTTGGGTAAGATTGTACAATTCATACAGCCCAAATATTTTGTGTGACTTTTTAAGGAGCACTTTATAAAGTGACAGTTTCTATGTTTAAAGAGGATTAAGAAGATAATTAAGACTGTCCATTTTTAACTACCAAATTTTAACCACTATACATTGCCATAAAATTTCTACAGCTATCCTAATTTTCTAGTATTTTCAACAATACGAAATATAGCTTCAGTTGTCATCAACCTCTTCCTTTCTCAAATGGCAACCCATTTCCAAGACACACACACACACACACACAGCAGCCACAAGCCACACTACAGTCAGCACAGAAGTGTGTATGGGGTGGCCGGGACTACCTGGTGTTCATCTTTTCACTAGCATTCACCTTCACTCATCCACCAAACACTTATGAAACTATGCCACATTCTAGGTGTTGTTTCAGGTGTTAAGAGTAGAATGAGAGACAAGCTAAGTCCCTATACTGATAGTTTATATTTCACAGGGAAAGAAAAAAGAACCTCAAAGAGTTAAAAATGCTGTAAAAAGAAACCAGTGTAATGGGATGGACCCAGGCAGGGAGTGAAGGGAGAAGCATCTCTTTTAAATAGGACTGGGTGAGAGAGGCTTCCCAAGTCGTGAGCCTTCATTAATAAGCATCCAGATAGAATTCCTTTTATTTGTTTTCACAATATTTAAAATGTAAAAGTATTATTTCCAGCCTCTTAAATAATAATAAATTTTTAAAAACACAATTAAAAAGGTGTTTTTTTTTTTTTTTGAGACGGAGTTTCACTCTTGTTGCCCAGGCTGGAGTGCAATGGCAAGATGTCGGCTCACTGCAACCTCCCCCTCCTGGGTTCAAGCAATTCTCCTGCCTCAGCCTCCCAAGTAGCTGGGATTACAGGTGCCTGCCATCATGCCCGGTAATTTTTATATTTTCAGTAGAGACGGGGTTTCACCATGATGGCCAGGCTGGTCTCGAACTCCTGACCTCAGATGATCTGCCTGCTTTGGCTTCCCAAAGTGCTGGGATTACAGGTGTCAGCCACCATGCCTGGCCAAAAAAACTTTTTTTTTTTTTTTTTAAAGGGGTTTCACTCTGTCACCCAGGCTGGAGCACGGTGGCATGACCTTGGCTCACTGCAACCTCCACCTCCCAGCCTCAAGCGATCCTTTCTACTTCAGTCTCTCAAGTAGCTGGGACCACAGGCATACACCACCATGCCCAGCTAATTTTTGTATTTTTTGTAGAGATGGGGTTTCGCCATGTTGCCCAGGCCGGTCTCGAACTCTGAAGCTCAAGCAATCCACCTGTCCCAAAGTGCTGGGATTACAGGCATGAGCCACCATGCCCAACCAAAACTGTTTTTAATATCAATTCTGTTGTATGACTATGTAGAAAAATTGGATCATACAGAAAAGTCCAAAATAGATTAAAATTCATTTGAAGTCCCACTACTCAGAAGCAATGACTGTTGATATTTTATGGCTCTTCTAGTCTTTTTTCCTATAGATAGAAATATGTATTTATAGTATTTTGATATTTCATACAGTTTTAATTTTTCCTTTCACCACCCCTTGGCCAGATCATTTGAGCAGGATGATTTAATTACCAGGGCCAATAGATTTATTTTATTTATTTTTCTACGTAAGCCAGTTTGGATACTTTTGGTTGCAACCAATTGACTATATATGAAAGTCTCCTATAAATAAAAATCTCTTCTGTATCTCTTCTAATTTCTAAATTTATTTGTGATTTTCCCCCCTTAAGTAGGTATCTATGCTAGAGAGGATTATCTTTATTTTAAACTATTAGAAACAACCATGGTGATGCTATTTTACTGTTTCACCAGTATCAATTCTTATGTTTGTTTTCCATCTTCTTGGCTCCTCCCTGCCTTCTATTGAGCAGAATTCTAATCTCTTATACAGTAATGTGCTATGTAATGAAGGCCTGAAAATAAATTTATCTCCAAATGGAACTTTGAAAACTTCCTATAGATTTCACTATTTTTCATTTCTTTCATTTTTAAAAAAAGTTTTTTACATTTTCTTTTAAGATGGGGTCTATTTTGCCCAGGCTGGCCTGGAACTCCTGGACTCAAGTGATCCTCTCACCTCACCCTCCTGAGTAGCTGAGATTATAGGCTCAAGCCACAGTGCCCAGCTTCTTTCATCATTTTCTTAATACTTTGTATGAGTATTTTTACTTCATTATTGACCTGATAGTTATTTTTAAAAACTCTTTTTTTTTTTAAGTTCTGGGG
This sequence comes from Homo sapiens, assembly GCF_000001405.40. Classification (NCBI taxonomy): domain Eukaryota; kingdom Metazoa; phylum Chordata; class Mammalia; order Primates; family Hominidae; genus Homo; species Homo sapiens. The sequence goes on from NC_000002.12 coordinate 88,566,543, forward strand.
TACATGTGTAGGACGTGCAGGTCTGTTACACAGGTAAACGTGTGCCATGGTGGTTTGCTGCACTTATCAACCCATCATCTATTGACCTGATAGTTATTTAGGAGGGTTTTAAAATTTCCAGTTGGCCAGGCACAGTGGCTCACGCCTGTAATCCTAGCACTTTGGGAGGCCAAGGCGGGAGGATTGCTTGATCCCAAGAGTTCAAGACCAGCCTTGGCAACATAGTGACACCTCATCTCCACAAAAAACAAAAAAATTATCTGAGCATGGCGGTGTGGACCTGTAATCCCAGCTACTTGGAAGGCTGAGGTGGGAGGATCACTTGAGCCCAGGAGGCAGAGGCTACAGTGAGCCAAGATCACATGACTATACTCCAGCCTGAGTGACAAAGACCCTGTCTCAAAAAAATAATAAAATTTCCAGCCAGCAAAACAGAAGCAAAAGCAAAAATAAAAACAGACAAAATTATAAAAATCAATTTATACACCACTATACCCTTCTTTTAATATATTATAATCATAAAAAGGCATTTACAATATCCATGATATTTCTTTGTGGCCTAGAAGTTCAAAATGAAAGTAAATATAATTATAATTTATTCATCAATAAATCTTCAAATAGCAACTGTATATAAAGCTTAGTATTTTTTTACCTAGCTTCCCTTTCTAACCTTTTTTTTTTTAAATTATAATCCAACCTGAAGTTTCCCTTTCATGGGGATATTTAAACACATCTATTTATTTGTTGTCATAACTAATATTTGGCTTTAGCATCACTTGTATTTCCATATCCTTTCCCTTTGCTGCAGTTTGTGTTTGTCGTCTGTAAGTGATACAGAGGTAGAAATATTGTTTTATTATTCTATTTGCCAAACTTAGCTACATCAAGTACAAATCCCTATTCCCATCTTTATTTTCCATGTTCTTACCATCGTCCATTTCCTAATCTTTGTTAATTTAATATAGGAATGACAAACTCAGCTTATAATGATAAGCATACTTAAAATTATTTGTCTTTTACTAGGAATACATTTTGGATTTTATTCTCATTTTGGTATCAATATTCACAAGAACCATTGGCACATATCGTTCATTGGGTTTGATGTCTATTGCCAATTTTTATATATTTCTCATCTCAAATTAACTTTTAATAGGTAACACATTCAGATGGCTCAAAAAGAGCTAACAGTAAAAGTTCCCTCTCACTCTGTCCCTCACTGGCCTAGCCCCACCAGTTACTTCCCCTCTGCCACTGCCCCCATAGCCATTTGTTTCTTACACATCATTCCAGAGTTTTTTAATGTAAACATAAGCAAATGTATATCTATCTTTTCCTCCTTTACACAAAAGGTGTACACATTTCTGCATTTTGTTTTTTTTCACTTAAGATACTTTTTTGACTCTTAATATGTAAAAATGCTTGATTTCTTTTTTCTTTTTTTTGAGACAGAGTCTTGCTCTGTTGCCCAGGCTGGAGTGCAGTGGCAGGATCTTGGCTCACTGCAATCTCCTTCAAAGACGAAATACAAAATAAAAATTCACATTGCAAAAAAGAAACACTTGACTAAGGTAAACAATGCAAACACTTCAAAAGGATGCTCTATGACAGTAAAACAAACTTGCCCTCCTCAAAGGCAGTTCCTATTACTGGTCTCTGATATAATCTTTCAAAGATAGTCAAATCCAGTGGTTCTTGAAGTATGGTCCATGGATTCCTCGGGACCCTAACACCCTTTCAAAAGGTCTGCAAGGCCAAGACTATTTTCATAATAATACTAAGATATAATTTTTCACTGTGTTGACATTTGCACTGACAGAACCTAAGCATGAATCAAGCGAGCAGTGCCAAGCTGTACCAGTAGCAATTACATTCTTCAGCACCACGTGCTCACAGGCAAAACCAAAAAACATTTCACTTAAAATGTCCTTAGCAGTAGAAATTATTAATTTATTAAATCTCAACCTTTAAATATACACCTTTTTAATAATCTGACAAAATGGAAAATATTCAGAAAAACATTTATGCTCCATACCAAAGTACAATAGTTGTCTCCAAGTTTGATACCTTGGATATGCTAATAACCCTGATCCAATCACTAAATAGTGTATGTATTAAAACGACAGTATGTACCCCATAAATATGTACAATTATGAGTCAATTTAAAAAACAAACTAATTTTAAGAAGTTGAGACCTGCTGATGTAAGCATAGATTAGCTTGTGAGTATCATTAGCATTTGTGCAATTATTTGAGTTACAATATGCTCTAGCTGCTCTTTTCATAGAACACCATTTTGACTTGAAAGAATAATTGGTAGACAAACTACAGTTATTGAGACTTGGATACTTGACAGAGAGTTTTTTTTTCGAGATGGAGTCTTGCTCTGTCACCCAGGCTGAAGTGCAGTGGTGCAATCTCGGCTCACTGCAACCTCTGCCTCCTAAGTTCAAGCAATTCTTGTGCCTCAGCCTCCTGGGTAGCTGGGACTACAGGCATGCGTTACTATGCCCAGCTAATTTTTGTGTTTTTACAAGAGACGGGGTTTCACCATGTTGGCCATGCTGGTCTCGAACTCCTGGCCTCAGGTAATCTGCCTGCCTCGGCCTCCCAAAGTGCTGGGATTATAGGTGTGAGCCACTGCGACTGGCCGAGGGACACTTTCTTAAAGATGAACAATGAGACCGGGCATGGTAGCTCACGCCTGTGATCCCAGCACTTTGGGAGGCTGAGGTTCAAGGATGGCTTGCGGCCAGAAGTTCAAAACTAGTCTGGGTAACACAGCAAGACCCCATCTCAAAAAAAAAAACAAACAACATTTTTTTTTTAAAGAGAAAAAAAGATGAACAATGTGAGAATGGCATTTCAAGGAAAACTAACAGTATTTGTTGCCAATGTTAAAAGTTGAGCTTTTAAGTGAAAATTAAAATTTTGGAAGATTTCAGTCTACCAGTGGGAATTTGATAGCCTCCTAATATGTACATAAAGCCTTTTCTGGTGAGATTGGTGGTTGTATTAACCAAAGTGACTTTTTATATTACATAATGAACTGTGATGACTTTTGGAATAGTTGCCAAACTTAGGGAACCAATAGTTTCCAAATGACTAATGCACAATGTAAAGTCAAGCATGGGTAAAAAGATCCATTCAAAGTACAAAATGGACCAAGGGATGTTAAAAGTACCAGAGTACAAAATATTCATGAATGGTTTTAGATTCCACAGTGTAAATGACTTCTAAGAAACTATCATTTACTAAGTTTTGATATACTATCAAAGACAAAATATCTACAATTACTTGAAATGAAATATTGCTCTTTTTTCCAACTACATATCTGTGCGAGGCCAGATTTCCTCATGTACTTCAGCCAAAATAACATACTGCAACAGATTGAACACAAAAGCAGATAGAAGAATGTAGCACTTTTATAAGTTAGCTTTAAAGAGACTGGCAAAAATGTAAACAAATGTCACTCTAATTTTTTTTTTTTGCAGGGGAATTGGTGCCTGTAATTTTTTTTTGTTTTAGAAAATACTTATTTTTCATAAAAATATCTTAAGATGTGATAGGTTTCATTGTTATTTAGTTGATTTAATAAAGTTTTATAAATTTCTCTTTTAACTTCTAATATAACAAATATCGATAGATAAAATTTTGTTAAGAAAACCTTTTGGGTTCTCAGTTATTTCTACAAGTGTAAGTATGTACTGAGCCCAAAACGTCCGAGACCCGCTGCTCTAAGCATAGAGAAGCTTGTGAAGATCATTTGCCTGGTGGTGGCTGAGCATGCTCGCCTGATGCTTCCAGGATGCCCTGCTCCCCCAGCTCTTCCAGTCCCTGCCCTGATTACAGTGCTTTTCCTGTGAAGGCCAAGCAGCCCACAAGGCAACACCTGCCGGCCTGTGTGCCTCTATTTCCTACTGTGGTACATGCTGGAAGTTGCCTATGAGTGACCACAAAGGGCAGCTCAGTATAGTACCTCTGGGTCTAGCTGGCTCTGAAAACAGTTCCAACACAGTCTACACAAGGCAAACGAGTTAAGTTTGGGAGGGTGGCATTCAAAGTCTCTTTCCAAATTCCTGGTTGCTGTCAGGTGCTTGTTCAGGGGGTGAGTGCATTTTATGTGTTGTATTTTTCTTAATCCAGCCCCAATTCAGGTTGTAGAAACTACATCTTAGCTGTGTCACTATTCCACTACTGGAACACTACTGCCAGTTTTCATAATTTTCAGACTTACTGGGTTTTAGATTACTGGGTATTTTAATGAAAACATGAGAAGAGATTCATCAGGTACATCTGCTGCTGTGCTAGTAAGTAAAGGTCTGAAAAACTCACCTGCTCTGGGCTCATATACAGTTTGGTCCCTACTTGTCCTGTGTGTCTGGCATAAGCTGGCATTGGGGTCAGAACCGTCTGCTCTTCCTCATCCTGGTCCATTGCAGTCACTAACCCAAAGTCTCCAACCTTGACCACATCATCCATTGTAAAGAATATGTTGGATGGCTGGAAAGAATACAACAGACAAAAGTACAGTGGGTGTGCATGGAGGCGAAAAAGTAAAGAGAATTATTTAAAAGACTACAAAGAAAAAATACAACAAACTAGATATTTTCAAGCATATTTCTTTTTAAAATGGGCTAACAGGAAAATAGTGACAATTTTTCTGTGCCAGACAAGTACTGCTAGTAAAGAAAAGGGAAGGGTAGCAAAGAGTGCTAGTATTTATTGAACATCTACTTAAACCCTTTGAGGTGCACATTCCCTAGGGATCATGGTACTTAATCCTCAATCTTATTATTCTATATATTCTTCCCAGGCAAGCATCTCTACACTTATGACTTAAAGCCTTAATAATTATAACTAATAATAACTAGTTCATAAATAGAACTTGCAATGTGCTAGGCACTGTTCAAAGCAGTTTACTACTACTAACTCATGTACTACAACCCCATTAGATGAGTACTAACCCCATTTTACAGACATAGAAAGTGAGGCCCAGAAGTTAAACAAATTGCCCAAGGTTACCCAACTAGCAAGTGGTGAAGCAGGGATTCAGACCTGAGCAGTCTGGCTCTATGAGGAAAGGACCTTGTGATCCACTGCCACGTGCCCAGATTTCAGTCCAGTTCTTGCTCTATGGTAGCTAATTACTATTTGGTGAATGAATGAAACAGACTGATCTTTTGGTTTGCGTCTGAGGGGGATATAGATTATCAGAAGGGATAAGAGCTCTTCACTACTACTCTATGCTGCCTCTCGTAAAACCTCTATGTTCTCAAGACTATATCTACTCCCAGATCTCTGCCCTGAGTTCTAAACTCATATTACACTGTTTATTGAATACATCTAACCAGAGGTCTCATGGGCTTCTCAAACCCAAGGTGCCCTACATGAAATACATCACCTCTCCCTCAGAGTCTACTCTACTCTGCGGGTAATATGACCACCATTCATAGCCCTTGAAATGAGGAAAAAGGAAGCCATTTAGCTCATGAAATTGAATTTCATCATGTTTCAAATACTGCCAGAAAATAACATTGCATTCCCAAACTCTAAAATACCATTAAACGATTTTGACTTGGAAGCATGAAGTTATTGTGTATAAGATCTATGGTAATAATCTGCAGCTCTCCAATAAATAACTTTGTACCAGAGGCAATAATAGACTATCCTGCATTAAATGTCATCTTTCTTCCCAACTCCCAACATCTGATGGCAGTTGTTATTTACTGAACCCTATAATAGACAAGCTTTTTGGCTCTCCAGTATCTATCTCCCTGTGCTTCCAGCAGAAGTATCTTGACTTTACTTTGGGAACTTCCTTCTTGCTGACTGTGCAGCAAAACCCCACGGTTAGTGTGGAAGGCATCCATGCTCTAAAAGTTGCTTACGCCAATCCATGGAATCCCATTGCCTGGCTAGGGATTGTTGAGGGATGGGTAGGTGTCCTTGGTTTAAGTAGAATAAAATTTCTGATAGTGGGAAAAAGCAATACTTTTCTCTCCACCCTCTACCCCACCAACTCCAAAAGACTTAAATAGAAACAAGAAATGGGGAGGACAGAAACCAGGTTCTGGCTAAATCACTTGATCTCAGCTAAAGCTTTACCTGAATTCTCAACAGTTTAGCCATGTGGGCCAACAGATTTCCTTTTCTGGTTAAGTCAGTATAAACACTTTTGAGTGCAAAGAAAATAAAATTCAAAATAAATGGTATGACCATCTAGAACATTCAGGCATTGTACTGAGACTATAACAGGTAAAAGAAACAGATATGGTTCATACCCCATAGAAACCACAGAATAAATAATCCAGGTGTGATGAGAATAATGAAGAAGGACCAGGTTTCTGTCAGAACAGTGTATATCAAGAGGAACTGAGAAAAGTTCAGAGTGGAGAAAATAGAAGACTAGAAGTTAGTCTGAAGAGGCAGGAGCCAAAGTCCTGAAGACAAAAATGTGACCAAAATATAACAGGGGGAGAGGGCCTAGAAGGTTTAACATTGAGCTCAAAGATTTAGGTCAGAACGTAGCAAAATGTACAGCTTTTTCACCCAGGAACAAAAATCTTGGCTTTTTTTTTTTTTTTGGTTGGGGGTGGCGCACTAGAAATCTTTAAAAGGAATTGTCTTCTATTTAGAAAGGAATAAAACTTTCTGATTTCTAGAAAAACTAACAGGAATATTAACTTTCTTCTTGCAATTTTTCTGGTGCATAGACAATTACAGAAAAATCTTTAGACAACATTGTAGCATTAAATGGATATTTACCAATATCTCATTTACATTATAAAATTAGCAGAAGAATATTCATTATTAGTGAAAACATGATTCATTGTCTTTCAAGTTGGCATTTGTGTGTACAGCAAGTGTTAAGTACAAGAAGAATGTGTATTTCAGCTAGCTGTTTCCCACCTAGTGATAAGCGTTTACTATATTCAAACCTAACTGCTAGTATTCTCTCAAATTAGGGGTGTGTGGTCTCCTGTAAACTGTCTTCTCCAATCCAACCAAATAATTCATCTCTGAACTTTTCATTCAGTGCAGAACAATTCTTGGCAATCAGTTTGGGCCCACGTCAAAATCACTGAAGCATAATGATTTATATGACTAAATAACAATTATATTAAAAAATAAGAATTATTTCTAATTCCTATTCTTGTTACCCTAAAACTCTTAAAATATACCCAAGAATTTGAAAACCTACTGCTGATTTTAGAAGAAAATAACTTGTGTCCAAATAGCTACTTTTGTGCCTGAAACAAGTCTGTTTTAAGTCTGAAAAGACTTAAAATGGATCCACATCTATCAAGACTTTAAGCTACTTTCATCAGAAAAGTATTTATACATTCACTCCACATCTACTGGTGATGGCTAAGAGTATATGGAATGTGGGAAATTAGTTAAATAAAAGTTCCATGTACTTATTTTTAGAAACACTACTACGGAAATGTCATGTTTTAGTAAGACTCTTTAATAATTTTGCATATTATATTACTGCAAAATTCACTACTGAATATATTGAAAATAGAATCCAAGGTTTTAGAGCTGTAAACAGTCATCTGTTAACTATTTGCTACCTTTCCCCATTCGGCTTCTTACCCCTTCCCCCAAAGTCTAAACAGTTCAGAAAAAGAAGCAAAAGTGTGGAGATTTGCCCCAATTCAAGCTGGCTAATGAAGGAACCCATGTCTCTCCTTCCATTCGGATCCCTTTCACCATGCTGCTTCAGAGCCCTGGAGGTATTGGTGTCAGGGTTACTCAAAACCATAGAAAAACAAAAACAAACAAACAAACAAAAAAACAGGCTATATCTGCTCATGGTGGATTTTACCTAAAGATTCTTTTTTCTTTTTTTTCCCTCACCTGGACTACTGAGAATACCTTTTACAGTAAAATGAACACAAACACATTACTGAAGACAATGAATGCATGGTTTGCCTAAAGTTTTCAGACATAAGACTTCTTATTCTTGCAGCAGGCCCCTTCGAGGCTACTTTCTCAGACCTCTGCTCTCAGATGCTTTTACTCTCCCCAACTCTTAAGGATCCTTCAGAGTACTGCAAGTACTGCTCTGAATCACAAAACGTCAGATTGAAACCCCAAGGGTGATGCTCCACAAATACAGACCTTGAGGTCCCTGTGCATCAGTCCTTTACTGTGAAGAAACTCCACTGCCTCTGCGATCTGCAGGAAGATGTGCAGACACACGCTCCTCTCTCTCTCCTCTATGGTACATCGTCCATTCATCCAGTCTTTGAGGTTTTCTTTTCTGCACAGCTGCATTTGAATGTAAAGATACACCTTTGGTGAACTGGGCTGGAGTTTTTCTGTGGTGTTTTTAGTGAGATCTAAACTTAAAGTGGTTGGTCTTGGAGGAGAAATAGACAATGTAGCTTCAGAAGAAGATTTGCTACTGGTGGGCTTGAAAGCAGTTAGTTTATTAGCACAATGGTTGCCAATATGCAATCGATTAGTTTTCGGCTCTTCTTTACTGGAAGCATTATCACAGCCAGAATCTTCAAATACTATTGAAGAGGAGGTTCTCTCCCTTGACCTTACATAAGGAGAAGCTTCAGAAGGACAAAGTTCAAAGGAGTGCCCCTCATCATTGCCATCCATAGTCCCATCTTCCACATCACAGTCTGTAAGGCAACTGTCCTGGAGGTTGTATGCTGCATCCACTGACTCACTGATGTCCTCATGGTCCATTCCTGAGAATTCCAGTGGTGAGAACTGGCTCTCAGATGAACTTGTCTGGTCACAGGAAATCCCTACTGAAAAAGACCTGCTTCTTTGTGGTGAAGGAGCTATGATTTCAATATGTTCTTTTGTAGCGAAAGGATCCATTCTGCGTATTTTAACTGATGGTGCATCCATTGGGCTAGGAGAGCTGAGTGGCCAGTCTGTGCTAAAAGTGGGAGAAATACAAAGGGGTAAGAGTGAATATATATTGATTCAAGTACCTGAACTGCACCCTCTGTTTAAAAAGCTTCAACTGTAATAAGGCCACTTACCAAATGACAACAAAACAACATACAAACTAAATAAAAACATGCAATGTGAGATACAGAACATCACATTCCATTCATTCCTTCTAAAAAACTTAATTTTAAAGCTTAATTTTATACATGAAACAGTTACCTGGGACTGTCTGGGGCTGCCAGAGCAGCCAAAGCCTTTTATGCAAAGTGAGGACAGGATTCCTTGGTGGCTTAAAATTAACCTAAAAGGGCAGCGCCTCACAAGGCCTTGAGACATGGGGCCACTTCACTTGGTCCTTCTATGGCTTAGTTATTGGTTGAGTCTATAATAAGCACCACTTTAACAAGGTACCTCACGTGGATCTAATGTTGCTTAGATACCTGTAGGTAGGAGTTTCACTCCAGTTGTTTGGTGGCAGTCTATCTACACATGCTTCCTTTTTCTTCTCCTTTAATAGTTTTTAAAGGGCCTTCCTTCCTATAGCACATCATAGTTAATATGGACAATATATTCAGGCTAAGTTTATGTATTTTTAACTGCAAATAGTTCAAAACTACTTAAAAAGGAGCTGTAAATTGTTAACTGCTAAGAGAACTAAATAACAAACATTTTTAAAAAATGGAGACAGAAGCAGATACCTTATACTGAGAAAAGTCACTATAAATCCCTCAATCAATCACAATGTATAGAGTCCTATCAACTAGTAATTTTTTAAAATGTAAGTTCTCTCTTATTTTTTCTAAGAGACAGGGTCTCACTATGTTGCTCAGGTTGGTCTTGAACTCCTGGGCTCAAGCCATCTTCCCACCTCGGCCTCCCAAAGTGCTGGGATTACAGGCATGAGTCACCCGTGTATGTTCTCAAAATCTAAACCAAAATTTCACAAGTGGCTAGAGAACTTTTCAAAACATGAAACAACAGAACTCTGCTGTTCCTTTTCTTTAAAAAAAAAAATCCCTAAAGTTATAAAACTGACATTGTAATCACACAAGCAAAAAACTAGCTTAAGTGTATGTGTAACAAAGTTAGTTACCTTTCATCTTTCAGCCAAATTTCATCCATCTTTTCTTGCCACTTCTCTGGTGGTGCTTCGAGCCAGGCATTGAAATATCTAACAATGCCCGGGTGTTCAAGCTTGGCTAAGGCTTTAACTTCTCGCATTACCTTTTCCCGAGCCAATTCCCTGAAAGAGAGAAAATATTTAAGGTGATGGATATTCCAATTACACTGATTTGATCTTTACAAATTATATGACTTATACCCCTAAAATATGTAGATGTATTATATACCAATAAAAAAGGAAAATTAAAGAAATAAAATTAGCCTGAAAAAGAGAGAAAGTAAGACAACACTGAAGGCTGTTCATATCTGAAGTATTCATATCTAATAGTGAAAACAGAAAAATAATAAAATAGGATCTTTTCTTGAAACTAAAATTAGAAACAGATGAGTTAGCCTAGGTTATACTTTTTTTTTTTTTTGAGACAGGGTCTTGCTCTGTCACCCAGGCTGGAGTGCAGTGGCGCAATCTCGGCTCTCTGCAACCTCCGCCTCCCTGGTTCAAGTGATTCTCATGCCTCAGCCTCCCGAGTAGCTGGGATTACAGATGCGCACCACCACACCCAGGTAATTTTGTGTTTTTGGTAGAGACAGGGTTTCACCATGTTGGTCAGGCTAGTCTCGAACTCCTAACCTCAGGTGATCCACCTGCCTTGGCCTCCCAAAGTGCTGGGATTACAAGTGTGAGCCACCGTGCCCGGCTAGCCTAGGGTATACTTCTAAAAGGCCACACAAGTCCTGTATTTTAAAAAATACAAGTATTTCAGTTTTGTTTGTTTTTCTCTTCTGGAAATAAATGCTACAAGCGCATCTACTGCACGTACAAATAAAGTTTTAAAATCCCAACTTCTTTGCTTGGCATTTAAGGTGCTACAAGCTATCTTTTTTTTTTTTTTTCCTGAGACAGGGTCTCACTCTGTCACCCACGCTGGAGTACAGTGATGCGATCTCAGCTCACTGTAACCTCCAACTGCCTTTTAGTAGAGATGAGATTTTGTCATGTTGGTCAGGCTGGTCTCGAACTCCTGGCCTCAAATGATCCACCCGCCTAGGACTCCCACAGTGCTGGGATTACAAGCGTGAGCCACTGTACCTGGCCAACCTATCTTTTTCTTCCTCTCTTCCATCCTCCCCTATTCTTACCCTTTGTTCCATCTACTCCAGAACTCTCACCATTCTCCATACCACCTCCAAGTGCTTGTGAGAGCCTTTGCTCGGGCCATTTCATGCACTTGGCCATCCCTCCCCACCTGTCTCCTACTGAGGGAAAGGCTACTCTTGAGCACCCAGAGCAAATGCCGCCATTTCTAAGAAGCTTGACTTCCTTGACTGCCTTTTGGCCACATCTGCTCTTCTTCATGAGAAGCTATTAATATTTACTAAGATAAGGCAAAGGTCAAAATCTTTCTTGCATTGTATTTACTTGAGTGTACATACAGAAGCACCAAAAAGGTACAGGCTTCTTGAGGGCAGAAACCTTGCTCAGTTTTTATCACTTATGTAGTGCCTGGCACATATGAATATTTAAACTACTCAAAAGTTATTTACCAAAAGAAAAAAAATAGTTCCCTAGTACCCAAACCATCCAATTCCTGTACCTACCAGACAGGAATTTGAAAAAGCTGTGACTACCAGATATGATGACAGCACAACAATTAGTGTGCATTTAATCAAGAATCAACAAGAGGCCAGGCACAGTGGCTCATGCCTGCAATCCCAGCACTTCGGGAGGGCAAGACGGGTGGATCATTTGAGGTCAGGAGTTCGAGACCAGCCTGGCCAACACGGTGAAACACTGTCTCTACTAAAAATACAAAAATTAGCCGAGTGTGGTGGTGCATGCCTGTAATCCCAGCACTTTGGGAGGCCAAAGCAGGTGGATCACCTGAGGTCAGGAGTTTGAGACCAGCCTGGCCAACATAGTGAAACCCCATCTCTACTAAAAATACAAAATTAGCTGGGTGTGGTGGTGGGTGTCTGTAATCCCAGCTACTCGGGAGGCTGAGGCATGAGAATCACTTGAACCAGGGAGGCAAAGGTTGCAGAGAGCCGAGATTGTGCCATTGCACTCCAGCCTGGGTGACGGTGCAAGACCCTGTCTCAAAAAAAAAAAAAAAAGCAACAAGGGCCTTCTACATAGTTAGAATAAAAGGTATTGCTGGAACCCTATCATCTTAAGCATCACACTGTTCTGAGCCAGAAATCACACTTCTAGGAATCTATCCTAAGGAAATAGATATTGTCAAAAGGTACATAAAAAGATGAATACTGCAAAGGTTTTTTTTATGGTAAAGTTATTTCTAATTCTAACAAATTAGAAACCAAATTGTTTAACAATAAGAAATGGTTAAACAAAATATGGCACGTGTATTAAATGGACTATTACCAAGCCATAAAATACTTTTAATATATTTTAGGATTCTAATAACATATTCTTAATAACATGAAAAATATAGAGGATATGATGAAGAAAGCAACAGACAAAACTGTACAGTACTGGCAACTGGCTACCAGTTAGGTAAATATATGACCAGAAAACAAAATCAAAAGGAAATACTCTAAAGTGTTAATAGTTATTACCAGGTAGAGACAATATAATTCAAATGTTTTTGTTCTAGTACTTTTCCTTATTTATACAAAAATATAGAATGTTTTAAAATGCTGCAATTTACTGGTCTACAGTTATTATAAGCCACTAAACGAAAGTCCTGAGTTAATAATAAAAAACAAGGGCATATTTTAAAAGTAGATAGAAAGCAACCTATAGAGATAACAACTTTTAGACAGCTGGTTAATTGGCAGCACTTAGAACCTAAGATTTGAAACGTCTGAAACTGTTTTCTATGGTGTTTACAGAGTACAGTAAGAAGGATATTTTACCCATGAGATTAGATCACACTGTGCTGATTTCAAGTTTACTGAAGGTACCACCCATTACCTATTGGGGAGACGGATCCTCTTGATAGCATAATTGCAGTCATCTACTTTGTTTTTAGCTTCAAAAACAACTCCAAAGCCACCACGTCCCAGGCATTGAATTGGCTCAAAATCAGTTAGATATCTTTAAAAAGAGATAAAATTTATAAAGGTTTGCAACAGTTTTAAATTTTGTGGTAATGTGAAAATCAGTTCAATCTTATGACACATAAAAATGTATAAACTCATAGAACTCATCTTAATAAATAGTATATTTTGAATTTGATTAACAGCATTTTTAGTCCTGTTTGTATAAATGAAGCAAACACATTCTTATGTTTCCTAGAAAAAAATTAAAAATAAAAAAGACATGTTTAATTGGGAATCACTTGTTAATCACTTTTTCTTACAACTGCTGCACTAGTGATGTGTGCTGTCCAATACTTCCTATCATCTACCAAAATATCATATTCCTAATCCTCATATCTTTTACATTCTGTGACATTTTGTAATCAATTACAGAAAATGTGTTTTTATCTTAGCTAATTACCTGTCAATTTTATGGGAAAATTTTAATCAGTCCTATTATACCCAGGTACTATTTTAGCCATAAACCTTCCTAGGAACCAAAGCTGACATGGGTTGGGTTGCCCCACGAGTCAGTGTACCTACCACTGGAGGTACCAAGTCAAACAGAAGCCAACTCACCATCTGTCACTCACAGGGGCCTCCACTAAGCAGCCTGTTTCTCCCTTTAGTGCTGACTTCACTGACCTGCACTGTATCATCCAGTCAATTTGCACCATGCTGTCTCACAATTCAAGGTTTTGCTTCTGCTGTCTGCTCCACTGGGATGGCCTTCCTCTTTGCATTTAATGAACCCTATTCTTCTTTCATTCTGCTCATCTCCTCACCTCTGTAAGGCTTTCTTAGACCCCTGTCTTGACATTCCCATAACACTCTGCACATAATACTTTGAAGTATTTAAACTTAATCTTAATTTTTTGCAATTATGTGTAAGCAGCTCCCTTCTCCCACCGCCACTGTATTTTGGGGGCCATGAATGCAGAAAATCATTCTTGTTTCTCTTTGTATTTCCAATGGGTGGGCACTACCTGACAAACCGAAAGTCTAACAAATGTCTGTTGAATAAATGCATGAATTAATGAATAAATTAGATGATGTCTGATATCCCTTATAAGGGTAAGTTTATGACTTACATACTCATTATTTACTTTAAGACTTACATTATGACTTACATACTCATTTATTTAGTAGTTGCCTCAGCTGGTTAAAGCATGGAGTTAAGGAGAAGCAATAGATTTCAACGTTCCATGGGCCAATTCCTTTCATAGAAAATGAAGAGTAATAATCTGTATTCCTAAAAATAGCCAGTCAAGGTACCTCAGTACAAATCAGTCTCCCCAAATGCAAAAGCCCACAAACTTCATATCCTACTCCTGGAGGGCCAGCTGAATTATCTTCCCATATTAAGGAAAACACCTATATAAAAACGGATTATCTTCTAAAAAGAGTAACATCTTATATGTGATTACAGACCCTAGAAATGTAAGTATCATCTTGCCTAAGTTGTCAGCTGATAAATAACAGAGCTGAGATTTGAACTCATGACTGAATGCAGAGTTCATGTTCTTAACAGTGCCTAGGACATTGTCGCCACTAAAAAACATTAGGTATTATTATAGAACTCCCATATTAAAAAAAAAAAAAAAAGACCCAAGAGCTGCATTCTTCATATTGAATAAAGTTAAACTGACTTAAGTCTAATTCAATTTTGAGTATATTTTTCTAATTTTCTTGACAAAAGCCTGACAAATACATCTTTATTCATGATACCGCATTTATTCTACTCCCCAAACCTCATCTCTACTTGCCGAACTCTCACAATTTAAAATTCAGTTCAAATATGACTTCATTTATGATGTCCTCCTAGATCATCACAAACAGATTTAGTGATTTGGTTCATGGCTTTCTTCTTACATGCTTGTTTTACCCAGTAGTATCTTTCCCATAGACTTTAAGCTTCTCCAGGATAGGAGCAGTCTTTTTATTTCTCCCAAAGCCTGAAATATTGTCCTGCACACAGCTGTTCCGAATAAATGTTTAATGAACAGTGAATAACTTCAGTAGTAGACTACCTCATGGGAGTTGTTGGATCCTTTATTCTTTCTCTCACTGCCTGCTGGTGTTGACAGTCACTGATATATTAGTATTTTTATTAGCAAAGGTATTAAAGTAGCCTTTAGCATTTGTTAATCACCTAGTAAATTTTGCTTTGTTTATGAAATTGACTGTTTTTACCTGTTCCCCACCATCCTGAAGCAGCTGGTTTGACAGAAAGGTAGAATGGCCTTTTAAGACTCCATTACACTGCCAGGTAGGTACCTTGCAGGGCTGGGCCAGGGTTCTCCAGAAAGCTGGATATGCTCTGAATCAGTGTCTAATATATTATAGCATGGTTTCTCCCATAGCCAGTATTTACAGGTCCAGGGATCAAGGGATGGAAATGCGAGTGGCATCACCCACCATTACCACCTAGTGATCCACTGGCAACATTTTTGCTTCCTGTTCCTGTGACCTTATGTTCGGCAGGCCTAGAGGTCTTTGTCTAAGGGAGAGGAACACTTCCACCAGGAGATACAACAGCAACTTTGAACTCCTCATGCCTTCCAATCAACAAAGAAGACAGCTACTGTGCTGGCTGGATGACTAATCCTGACTACTAAGGGGAAATTGGATTGCTGTTTCACAGTGGAGGTGTAAGAAAGAGTAGGTCTGAAATACATGAGATCCCTTAGGGATCTCTTTGTATAATCATGCCTTGTGATTAAGGTCAATGGAAAACTACAACAATCCAATCCAGGCAGAACTACCAATCTCCCAGACCCTTCAGGACTGTGGATTTGGGTCACCCTACCAGATATAGAATTACAACCGGCTGAGGTGTTGTTCTCCAATGGGAAAGGGAATATGGGATGGATAGAGGAGGAAGGTACTTATAACTACCAGCTGTGACCACATGACAGGTATCAAAAATGAGAACTGTAATTGTCACAAGTATTTCCTTAATTTGTTGTGAATATGCTTGTGCATCTATATCTATATAGAAGTATATATATAAAGATATATGCCTATGTATAAGATATATATGCACATCTTGTCATTTCTGTTTCCTTGGAGGGCCCCAATATACATATTTATCTATTATTTTCAATCTTTTCTGCCATAAAATCATTACCCTAGATATTAAGCAGTATAGTTCCACGTCTTTTCCTTGTCCCCATATCACTAAAGTGATAAGAAGTATGCTATCAAGACAAAGAGAAAAATAGGTATAATCCATGTAATATGAAAAATAAACCATAACACCATTTCCAGTTATCACAATGCATCAAAGGTGACATTTTATACTTGAGAGATTGCTAATAGCTTCTTTACTTTTATTTAAACTGCCTACTTTTAGCTAATCCATCTCCCCCTTCTGCTTTTAAAAACTATCTGTTCTATTAGTGTTTTTTTCCCTATATTTCTACTTCCTATTACAGATAGAACAATAATGAAAATAAATGAGGATTCCGAAACGTGGAGACTCATATCACACTCTTATAAACCTAATTATTATCTGGTACTATAAATGCTAATCCTAGTACATAGTAGACCCTAAATAACTAAGTTACTTGAATAAGAACTTAATTTGGTAGCTGAAATTCTAAATTCCTATAACACTCTATTTTTATCTTTCTTAGGGTATATACCACTTTTAATACATTTAAGTTACCTGAATTTATTTATTTATTGAGGGTTAAGCCTATGTTTTATTTTTCTAGATATCCACACATTAAAAAAAAAGTTAAACAAGATCTTAGGTCATTTCTTCTTTGATTCAGATGGTTGTATTTTATAAGACTCTTACCGTGATATATATCCAGAGTTTTTTATGTCATTCCAGCTACTGTCATTGGCTTCACCACTTACAGAATCATATTTATTTTCAGTTTGACACTGAGTTTCAGACTCCTTCCTTTGCTGATAAGGTGAAAAACAAAATCACTACCAGTACAAAGCTGAACTGAAGTTAGCTAACAATTTTAGGTTATAAAATAAACAACACTGAAAAATACATAAGTAGCATCAAGAAAAATAAAAGCATTATGAAAACAAAGTGCAGCATTTTGCTTTATTATAAAAGAAAAAAAGTTTATCTTCCCACTGCTATCCCTCCAGTCTTTGAGGGGATTTTGTTTCTTTATAATGTGGGTATGTCATATGTACAGCATGATACATAACTAGATAGAAAGACAATGCACACATGTAAGCATAAACACAAACTCCTGGGCAAGACTAGAGTGATTTCTTTTGACAAAATAAGGTAGGGAAAAAAAGCAAACAAACAAAAAACCCAGTAACAATAACAACAACAACAAAAAGACTAGAGAGATTTCCTTCCTAACCAGTTTCATAGATTGCATTAAAATGCTTTTAAGAACAGGAAATTAAATCAGGCAATGCCTCTTTACCAACATCTCCTAAAAGATGTTTTAGAGGATGTTAATAATTATCATGGTCAAATTGGGGCACTGTGGGTCACCTGTTTAGTCACTGATTCTTTCAACAAATCTTTACTGAGCTCCAATTATGTGCCAAGCACTGTGTAAGGGGCTGAGGAGATGGTGGTAAACAGTGTAGACTGGTTCTTGTCCTTAAGAATGTACAGTCTAGGCCAGGCGTGGTGGCTCATGCCTGTAATCCCAACACTTTGGAAAGCTGAGGTGGGCAGATCACTTGAGGCCAGGAGTTCCAGACCAGCCTGACCAACATAATGAAACCCCATCTCTACAAAAAATACAAAAATTAGCTGGGTGTGGTGGTATATGCCAATAGTCCCAGCTACTCGGGAGGCTGAAGAACAAGAATTGCTTGAACCCAGGAGGCGGAGGTTGCAGTGAGCTGAGATGGTGCCACTGCATTCCAGCTTGGGTGACAGAGTGAGATGAGTGAGACCCTGTCTCTGAAAAAAAAAAAAAAAAAAAAAGAATGTACAGTCTAGAGGTAGAGAGAGAAATTAGGAATTACCTATTAAATATTTTAGTAAATACTCTAGTAAGAGGAGTACAGAGTGTAGACATAGGCAGGAAATCTAACTCAGAAATAAGAGGTTAAAGAAGACTTCCCAGGGGACGTGGCAACTAATTTCAAACTAAAAGATATTACCCAGGAGTTAATTATTTGAGAGGGAAGGGAGAGGAGGTAAGGAACAAGGTTCCAAGGCGAGGTTAGAGGGATGAGCACCACCAGGCTAAGCGAGAGCACGGTCTACAGGAAGGACTGAAAGCAGCTCAGCCTAGTGGCTGAGCACGGTGGAGGGGAGGAAGGGATTAGGGTACCAGTGAAGGATGGGTCACGTGCAGGCAGGGTACGAATCATTCAGAACCTTGCATGTTTTAAGAAGGTTGGACTTGAGCCTAACAATGGGGAGGAGGGTCAGGTATTAGAGGTTTTTAAGCCCAGAAATGCAGCTAGAGTTAGGGTGTGGAGAATGGACTGGAGATAGCCTGAGGACTAGGGGCACAGAGGCCAGTTAGAAGTTATTTCAGTGATTCAGGAGAGGTGTGATGATGGTATTTGTGCTGTGGAAATGAAAACTGACACATAGAGAAGAAGAAAAATGTGAAGATATCTAGGAGGAAGGATTCGACAGAACTTGGTGACTGATAAGGGAGAGCAAAATGATTTCATGGCTTTCGTGACTGCATACGGCAGTACGTTTCTTTGAGAGAGAAAAATGCTAGAACAGGCTGGGGAGGGGAGGGGAATGGGAGGGGAAATGAGGACAGTCTGAGATATGGCTCATTTGAAGTGCCTGTGTAGCACTTACTAGATAGCTGTTCCAGAGAAACAGATTTGGGAACCATTAGTATATAAGAAGATTGGAGCTGGGAAAGTAGGGAAGACCATCTAAGGAGAGTTTGTGGGATGAACAGTGAAAAGAGGGAGTGCTGAGGAATACCAACAATACTGAGAGGATGAGAAAGATCAGGTCCTGAAGCATCCACATCACACCCAAGGAGACCAGGAGAGCATGGTGTCAAGGAAGTCAGGCAAGAAAGGTCAAAGGGAGATGTTCAACAGTGTCAAATACAAAGAGGTTCAGTTAGATAAGGACTGAAAAATGTCCATTACATTTAACACAAGGAAGATCACTGAGAACTTTGGCAAGAGTAGCTTTGGTGGAGCAGTAGGGATGGAAGCCAGACTGTGATGGGTTGAGAAGCAAATAGGAGGTGGGGAAGTGGAAACCAGACAGTAAGCAACCATGATTCTTACCCTGTGAGGATGAGGATGGAAAAGCCTGCGCACAATAAACGTTGTTGCTATGATACAAAACAAAATCGTTGCAACTATTTCTTTCCACCAGTGTAAAAGAAGAACAGGATCCTTTTTGCGGATATTCTTGTTGTAATGTGGGTTGTCGAGGAATCTGACTGTAATCTGTGTGCTTCGTTTGTTCCTCTCCCTCTTGTAGTATGGTAGATAATAACCATTATCTTCAAATAGAAACATTAAAACGTTTTTTTTAAAGGTAATCAAAAATAGGCCCGTCTTTAACTATTAAAATTTATCCATTTTCCTGTGACTTATCACATTAATTCCTTTTAAGTTTTGTCTCTCTTCTTTAACGTATTTTAAACATCTTAATTTGTCTCATTTTTCTCCCGTAAATATAGACATTTTCCTTTATCCTATAAGCATATTAAATTTTCTTTATATTAAGTAATAAGACTAGAAAAAAATCTTAAGGGCTACTCCATTCATAACCTCATTAATAATTCAATTCTTTAAATATAAGAATTAATACTCAATCTTCCTTCAGGGTATTTTTAGCTTTCTTTTTGTTTAGTTATCAATAAAATACCAAATTTTACCACCAATCATTCTTCACAAAATGAAAGGAAAACATCCATGCTGTTTGGTTCAGTTTAGGCTGTCAAAATGAGTTTGTCCCAGAAAAATAGCTTGTCTTTTTTTGTCTTCTATTTTGTACTACGTGGTCAGACTACACAGTTCTCTTTTATCTTGCCTTTTTTTTTTTTTTTTTTTGAGACAGGGTCTTGCTCTGTTGCCCAGGCTGGAGTGCAGTGATCTTGCCTCACTGCAACCTCTGTCTCCTGGACTCAGGTGATCCTCCTGCCTCAGCCTCCTGAGCAGCTGGGACTACACATGTGTACCACAATGCCTGGCTAATTTTTGTATTTTTAGTAAAGATGGGGTTTCACCATGTTGGCCAGGCTGGTCTTGAACTCCTGACCTCAAGTGATCCACCCGCCTCAGCCTCCCAAAGTGCTGGGATTACAGGCATGAGCCACCACTCCCAGCCTAACTTGTCTTTTGATCAATATCAAGATAAAGGAGCCGGGCACAGTGGCTCACGCCTGTAATCCAGACACTTTGGGAGGCCGAGGCAGGTGGATCACAAGGTCAGGAGTTCGAGAACAGCCTGGCCAATATGGTGAAACCCCGTCTCTACTAAAAATACAAAAATTAGCTGGGCGTGGTGGCGTGCATCTGTAGTCCCAGCTACTCGGGAGGCTGAGGCAGAAGAATCGCTTGAACCCAGGAGGTGGAGGTTGTAGTGAGCCGAGATTGTGCCACTGCACTCCAGCCTGGGTGACAGAGCGAAACTCCATCTCAAAAAAAAAAAAAAAAAAAAAAAAAAAAGATAAAGGCTGCTGTTTCTAGTTCAGAGCCATTTTTTTTTAATCAATTTAATTTATATAATAACTTTCCAGTGCTAACATCTAGGGTAACTGATGAGTCGTCTACGTGTTTACCTGATACAGATTTGAGGACTTCTTAATTACACAACTGTTTAAAAGGCTTTCATATCTGAATATATCCTAACTTCAAAAAACTGCTGCTTACTAAATAGAAAATGTATTTCATGCCAAATCTCACCTATTCTTGACTTTTGCACTAATTTCTCTTGTCTGAGTAAGAAGATAACCTCATTGTGCATCATTTTCATGTAGTTTTATGAAAAACACATTTTCTTCATTATACAGGCAACTATACAGCCTACATAATATAGTCTGATAAATAAGAGCTAATAACGAGAACCAATGTTTACTGACACTATGTGCCACGTATGATGTTAACTGAGACTTTGCCTGCGTTATCTCATTTAGGCCTCACAACAACTCAATACATAGATATTAGGATTATTATTCTAATTTTACAGATAAAGAAATTGAGACACAGGGGAGTTAGATGTGCCCAACCTAGCATGTGGCAAAAATGGGATCTGAACCCTGGCAACCTAACTTTGGAGCTTGTATGCTTAGTAATCATTCATGAAATTGTCTCCCAAGATGTTTTATTGTCTATACTCTAATCGACTTTTCTTCATTTGAATTCTATTAATTTCAAATTAAAAAATAAAATAAATAAAACTCAGTATTTTCACTTACCATATGGATACTGCAAGATTGAAAGTGCACCATTACTATATTCTTCATGAGAAAACTTATCATTACTGAGACATTTGTCAAATTCATCAGATCCTACCAAGACAGGAGTTCTGGAAGGAGAATCTAAAAGAAAATTATTATTTTCTTAATAATAATATTTCTTAAGTCTGAACTGTTATGACTTGAATAAAAATGCACGTGCTTAATTGAATAAACTGATATTCAACCATAATTCAATTCAAACATATAAGTTAAACAAATGGCCCAGAGCTCTTGCCTTTGAAAAGCACAGTTTTACAGAGAATCTGAGTTGTTTAAACAAACAATTAAAATATGACATGACATATGTAGTAAAAAACACGTACAAGGTTTAGAAAGATAATGAAAGAAGTAGGTGCACAGTATTTGATTTCTATTCGTTCAGTCTCAAAGAATATGATGTGCTAACCAGATAACTTTTGCCTAAACAGTCTTAATATAAGTATGTTAAGCGCTAAATGTTACTTTGGCATGGTCAGGGAATGATTAAGAGTTTTTCTAAGTTGTATAGAGAAATATTTGATTAACATTTTTTAGAAGCAACTGCTGCTTCCAAGAAATGATGCTCTAAATGAAAATAAAAATTCATTATTAACATCTGAAATACCATCATGGTTTATCAATAAAATATAAAGTATATAACAGTTCTTATCTCTGCAGTATTCAAAACTAGGGCAAAGACAGTCAGGATTAGGTCTCTGAACACTAACAGTATTTAGAAAAGTTTACAATTCACTTACGAATTAAGGGTTTCCATTTGATTGTTGGTAAAGGAATAATTGCGTTTTCATTAGTGACAGATTCCAAAGCCTTGGGACTTGAAGGAAACTTTTCTGAAATTCTGACTGATGACTGCAGATACAGCTGGCCTCTATACATTCCTGAATCAACCAGAACATTGTCAATTATGCATTGATTTTTTTAAAAAGGTTTTTTTAATTAAATAAAATTACATTAATTCCAGTTATTTCTACATACACCACAAAACTCTTGTCAAAGAAGAAACATGCTTGAAGCACTCAAAGATAAACTCAATGTTTATTCAACAAAAACAGGGAGGGAAAGTTACACAAAAGGTCCATATGATATTTCTCACTGAATAATAGCACATTTTCAGTAATACAGGAAAATTGTTCCAGTAGAAAAATTCAAAGATAAGTCACTGTACTCTCACAAAACAAATAGCTTACACTAAGTAACTTTCTCAAGAAAGTTTACCTAAACACCTATAATTCTAGAAATATTGCTAACAATTCAGTTAAATACTATCATAACACAAATGACATGTTATTCCTTCAAATTCTTGCTTTTCATTCAAACCAACAGGTGGATGGCACATTGTCAGAGCTTATAGAATTTTATGAGTATTTGATGATGCAGACTAGTTCAAATTAGATCCAAGAGTTTTCAAAATTTATAATATTAAAGGCTTTCAATTGCCCAGAAGCACACCAGAGTTTTATTTTTTAGATCAGTTGTACAGATGCACTGATAAAAAAGAAAGAAATCTAATCTTAAAGAGGGGAGGGTCACAAACTAATATGGATGCAAATACAAATACAGAAAATTATAGACTTTGAGGATATATACCTAACTATATATTTTATATGTAATTACATATAAATAATTATATATGTAATACATATATGTAATTACTTATAAATAATTATATATATATAAACAGACAGAGTGTTGTCCTGTCACCCAGGCAGGAGTGCAGTGACATGATTATAGTTTGGGGTAGGCTCTAACTCCTGGGGTCAAGCGATCCTCCCATCTCAGCCTCTGGAGTAGCTAGGATTACAGGTGCGTGCCACCATTCTTGGCTAATGAGTAATTTGAAATCATGTTATATAATGAGAATATTTCTAAGCCTTTCTAATATAGACCTCAGAGAAAAAGAATATGCGACAGTAATTAAAAATTTCAGAATTGGGCTGGGCGTGGTGGCTCATGCCTGTAATCCCAGCACTTTGGGAGGCCGAGGTGGGTGGATCACCTGAGGTCAGGTGCACTATATTCTGGCCAATGTGGTGAAATCCCATCTCTACTAAAAATACAAAAATTAGCTGGGCATGGTGGCAGGTGCCAGTAATCCCAGCTACTTAGGAGGCTGAGGCAGGAGAATCGCTTGAACCCAGGAGGCGGAGGTTGCAGTGAGCAGAGATCATGCCATCACACTCTAGCCTGGGCGACAAGAGTGAAACTCCATCTCCAACAACAACAAAAAAATTTTCAGAATTGGACAAATGGAAAAGTAGCAGGAATGGAAATCGAAGTATAAATCTCAAGGGCAACGTACATCAGAGATGATATTAGGATTTAAAACTACTACAGGCACTCCTGAAGTAGGAAGGAACAATGTAAGAAGAAAATCTAGATGTCAATGTGTACTATCGTTAGATAAGATACATTTACTCACCCAAGTAAACACTGTTTTCTGTGGCTCCTCTGGCAGCTTCTACAATGTCTTCTTCATCTTCTAAAACATCATCATTAGATGTATAACTTGTATCATCAAAAAGACTGATGGGAATGACTTTCCCATCCTTAAGTAACCAGGCAGATGCAATTGGAGTACAAAACTAAACAAAAATGGAAAAAAGGTCTTAAATAATTCAAGCAGTAGTTATATAGTTCCAACCCATAAAATACCATTTAAAATCACAAATTTATAAAAGCACAGAGAACAAGCTGAGAGCCCCAAGTAGTAGTAATTTCGTTCCACCCAATCAATAAGTTTGGTCAGACTGGGAGAGGAAGAACCGTATTTTAAATCCTCAGTGGTGTTAGGTACCTGGTACTCCCATTCCAGATGTCCTCCCTTCTTACTGAATGCCATAACTTTCCAGTCAGCAACCGAAACCTTTATCACTATGTCCATTATGGCAGCTTCCTGTTCTTCCACATCTGAAATAATTTTAGACTCTTCTGTGTTCTCATTGGGCTTAAAGGTGCTTTCAATAAATCCGGCTCTCGTTTCCATGTCTGGAATATACCGAAGTTCAAAGTGGCCAACACTGAAATTCCACCTTAAATTTACAAAGGTGTGTTTTAGAAATTTACATTTAAAGAAAGGGACAAAATAATATAGAACTCTTCTAGATTGAAGAAGCAAATACTAAAATTATGTGATGAGAAAACTAACAACATAACCTTCTGGAAAAGAGTGCTCTACTGATTTATGCCACAAGAGGGCCCACAAGAACTTTGTCCTGACCCTTCAGACACAATGGTTTTGAGGGTTGTGGACTGACTTGATGTGTCCCTTACAACAGCTAAGGGACAGATTTTCTCTCAAAAACTTACAAATGTTTGTACTTCTACATCAGAGTGATTTTCCCCAAACACATCAATGTCACCTTAAAATGAGGTAGCACACAGTCTGCCTTACCTCTTAATTAAAGGCAGGATACATTTCATTAAGTGCAGCAAAATTAATATGCCCTAACAAACCAGTGTAAAAGTCAAGATGAATGCACCAGTCTTAAATTCATACTAAAACATGGCCTCAAAAAGGCAATGTGATCCAGGATACCTCAGCCCCAATCTTGGATCTCCACTGAACAAGATGTGGCAAGTCATTTACCCTTTCCTAAGTAAGTTTCAGCAGTCTTATCCTAAAGTGGCAGTAATAATGTTTCCTCTATAATTAGTAAATAGAAAAATCACTCAACTACTGAGAGTATTGTGTCTTTTCACTTAGATATAAAATGGCATAGTTAAGAATTCTGACATTTATGGAAATAATTATATTTTAAAGAATCATGGATCTTAGAAACCCAGATCCTTCCTATTCTGGTAACTCAAAAATCTGTTAAGTTGGACATCTGCTGCTATGGTGGCTGAGCTCCCAGTAAGCACTCAAACACTTAAAAAAACAAAATCCAGTCAGGATAAAGAAGGTCAAGTTGTCTGTAAATGCAAAGCCCTATTCATAGTCCAAAGTAGAAAGAATAAATGCATTCTTAACTGAGTTTGAGAAAACAGTTTTCAGGAAAGGAAACTGAATTACACTGCATCGGATCAGACAAAACCCGAAAGTCTGGTTCATTTTCAAAAGATAAAGATGGAATCTAAAGTTATTTTTACTACAAAGGCAATTTAAAACTTAAATATTAGGTTTAAAAAAAATCAAGCATTTGATGTAGAATCAGCGTATCTAATCTAGGTATCACATTTTTTAATCACATATTTAAATATAAAAATTACATAAGGGGTTCATTATTTAAAGAAGGAAACAGAAAGGTATTAGGCTAAATAAATGTTTTAATACTTCAAGAAAATTGAATAAGATGATTATTATTTTAAAATTGAGATAATCAAACTATGAAACTACCTACTAGACATAATTAGAGAGTCAAATAAGTTCAAGCTCAAAGAAACACATCAATTTTGTCTTAACATCTTTCTGTATTCAAAGAACTTTGAATGATGAGATTGCTATAAAAAATATCATTAGGCCAGGCACCGTGGCTCATGCCTGTAATCCTAGCACTTTGGGAGTCTGAGGTGGGTGGATCACCTGAGGTTGGGAGTTTGAGACTAGCCTAACCAACGTGGAGAAACCCCATCTCTACTAAAAATACAAAATTAGCCGGGCATGGTGGCGCATGCCTGTCATCCCAGCTACTCAGGAGGCTGAGGCAGGAGAATTGCTTGAACCCGGGAGGCAGCTGTTGTGGTGAGCTAAGATCATGCCATTGCACTCCAGCCTGGGCAACAAGAGTGAAACTCGGTCTCAAAAAAAAAAAAAAAAAATCATTAACCTGAGACTAAACTAATAGTTATCATATGAGAACCCCTGTGGTTATCATATCCCGAAGCATATGGTGAGAAGTTCAGTTCAGAATTTGTTAATAACCATGAAACCATTTTTATTTTAGGACCCACATTGGATCACCTGACGTCGGGAGTTGGACACCAGCCTGGCCAACATGGTGAAACCCCGTCTCTACTAAAAATACAAAAATTAGTTGGGTGTGGTGGCACGTGCCTGTAATCCCCGGTACTCGGGAGGCAGAGGCAGGAGATTCGCTTGAACCCAGGAGGTGGAGGTTGCAGTGAGCCAATATCACGCCACTGTACTCAAGCCTGGGCGACAGAGCAAGACTCCGTATCAAAAAAATATATATATATATGCTTTTAAGGCAACAAAATAGTCAAAATCTCCACAAACAGAAATCTGATAAATTTTGGTATTAGGTGTATTTCTAAATAATACCAACAGCAACATTATCTGAATACACACTTCTCATTGCCACTGCGAGGTCCGACAGCTCTAACAGTTTTTTGGGTACGCTGTAGAAGCAGGATGTCTTCCTCTTGTTCCATTTCGTCACTATCCCATTGGCGACAACCCAGAGCTGAACAGATATACCTCACCTGAAAAGACAAAATTAGATACAAAATTAGTAAAAGGAGACAACTCATAATAGATCAGAGATATTAAAGGAATCTGTAATTTTTAAAAAGTGAAAGGAAACTAAGGAAATGTGTATGAAGTACTCAAGTCATAAGAAGCATCAGTTAGATTACCAACTCCTAAAATGAGTTATTTAGAACAATGACAGTACCAATGAATATTTATTTCAGGGAATGATTTTAAGGATTTACATAATTTTAGCCTTACTTTGGAGATTTCCATAGAATATACAAGAAGAAATGGATAGCTACTTGTGATAGCTTTTCTACAATATCATTAATAAAATTTCAGGTGAGTTAAAAAAAAAATCAACCTTAGAGTTTCTGTATAACAAAAGTGTTTGGTTTTTAAAAATTTGAAACTTTTCTGAGAGCTTTTTGTATTCAAAAGTAACTGCCTCAAATTTTCACTAAAGAAAAAAGGAAGAGTTAATATGATCCAAACTAAAATCCTCACGAAAAGCATACCTTCTACAATACCAGAATTATGTAGCAGCACATCAAATCGGAAAACCAGGTGATCGGGTTCAATCCTGTTGTTTACAGATGAGACTACCGAAGTAAACAGAGATTGAAGTGCTTTGCTCAAAAAACGGCCAGATAGGATGGCATGGCCTCCTCAACACAATGCAGATGCAGGTGGGTGGAGAAGGCAGAAAAGCATCTGCAAGAGCAAGAAAGTGCTATGGGCCTAACACTTAGATAAGGAATTGTTAAAGTTGAAAAATGCAAGAGTAAAAAGACCACGTTTCTATTCTTCCTTATTTTAGTCCAAGTCTGTATATAAACCGTTTACACGTCACAATGGTGTGATCTCAGCTCACTGCAACCTCCACCTCCCAGGTTCAAGTGATTCTCGTACCTCAGCCTCCTGACTAGCTGGGACTACAGGCGTGCGTGCGCCACCATCCCCAGCTAATTTTTTTATTTTTAGCAGAGATGGGGTTTCACCATGTTGGCCAGGCTGGTCTCGAACTCCTGGCCTCAAGTGATCCACCCACCTTGGCCTCCCAAAGTGGTAGGATTACAAGTGTGAGCCACCTTGCCTGGTTGAAAGGATGCTTTTAATTAGCTACTCTTGATAATGGATTTATAAGACCCAATCTTAGAAGCAGATTATATTATGATTATATCCTAAGAGCTAATGTTGGAGAAAGTCTAGATTATTAACAGCATGACTTTGTTGTCAGATAGATCTAAGTTAAATGTGACCCTGGAAGTTTCTGAACCTTTTAAAGTCTCAGTTTCTTCATCTGTAAAATGAGTATAAACTTTCCTCTTGGATCACCTTATTATAGGATCAAACCCTATAAATGAGTAGTATCAATTATTCTTATCATTAGGATTACTATTAATCTTTATAAGGTTCTTCATCTGTCAAAATGTAAAAAAAAAAAAAAAAAAACGAAAGTTACACTTAGGAAGACTGTGAAGATTGCAAAATAATGTATAAAAAAAAGAACCTGAGGCTGGGCATGGTGGCTCCTGCTTATAATCCCAGCACTTTGGGAGGCTGAAGTGGGCAGATCCCTTAAGGCCAGAAGCTGGAGACCAGCCTGGCAATACAGTAAAACCCTGTCTCTACTAAGAATACAAAAATTAGCCAAGCATGGTGGCATGTGCCTGTAATCCTAGCTACTCAGGAGGCTGAGGCACAAGAATCGCTTGAACCCACTTGAACCTGAGGGGGTGTGGAATGGGGTGGGGGTGGGGATTGCCATGAGCTGAGATCAGCCTGGGCAACAGAGTGAGACTCTGTCTCAAAAAAAAAAAAAAAAAAAAAAACACCTGAGACACAGTAGACCATATTTATGAATTCTCTTCCTCCTGCTATTCCTGGCTCTGCCATTTATTCTGTTATTAGTTTCCCCTTCCTACCTCACAGTTCTCTTATTAAAACAAATGACAACCTCAGGGGAAAATTACAATAAAACTCAACTAATAATAAGTGTAGTTTAATAAATTACTTTTTCTACCCTAATTTACTCTGATTTCCCCAAAGTAAATTCAGCATTTTCACTTACCTTTCCACTATATGCACTGAGTCCATATGTAGTCAGAGATTTTCCTCCAACCAAAACAACATCATCTCCAAATTTATAAGAAGATTCAAGAAGTGATTCAACTGTGAAAGGAACTGTTTCCATGCTTTCACGGTCTTGGTCCCACTGGAAGAGGGCTCCATCCAGGGAAGGAATGATCATCTTATTCCCAAATACCTAAAACAGAAGCTAACTTTTTAAAAGGGCCATAACATTAATTATTATTTTTTTCTTATTTCTCCCAGAAAAATAGAAGCATCATACCTTTAAAAGAATAATAGTAATTAAGAGCTGGAGTCTTGATCCTGATGTACTCCAGCCTCCTTCTGAGTAGCACATGAAGCAGTGCAGTCCATCAACCAAAAGTAATTTAAAAGAACTGCCAATCACTCCCAGGCCCTACACATAGTACTCTAGTAAGATTTTTCTCAAACTCAGTTTACCATGGGCCAAAAGGGTCCCATAATGGTAGGTGAGTTACCAAAAGAGAGTTTTATGATCAAGTGAGTTCAAGAAGAGGTTACTATAGGAGCTCTTATAGCAATTAGTATGTTAATGTGTAACATGATTATGTGTAATATGTGTAATATGAATATTTAATGTGTAAATAGATAATATATGCAGTATTTTCTAGGGCTATTTTTATCAAGGCCAATTACTGTCATAGACTCAGCTCCAAGGAACACAGGTTTAGAGATACTGATTCAAGTAGTGTCCCATCCCTTCTTTCATTTGCTTTCTCAAATCTGCAATGAGATAGAAGCCTAGTAAGTAAGCTTACTGGTTTTGTGTTCTCGGTTGCCCTCCCTTCTTTTAACAATGCTTATTAAGGGCTTACCTATGGCCTGGCACATTCTGATGGTTGGGATAGATTAGCGAGCAAAGCAAACAAATCACTGCCTTTGTGAAGGTTAAACTCTGGTGTCACGAGACAAACAACTTAATAAATAAGTAAATTATATGGTATGTTAGGTGATAAATGCCGTTAAAAAAATGGAACAAGATAAAGGGAGAATGGTAAATACGCATGGGGTGGAGAGGGGATTATCAATAAAGAGCTTAGGGTAGACCCCACTGAGAAAGTAACGTTTGGGCAAAGTCTTAACGTGAGAGAGTTAACCACGCCAGGCCAGGCTTTGCAAAGGCTCTTAGATGGAAGCATACCCATCATGTTTGAAAAACCACAAGGAAAGTGAACAGGCTGAGAGGCAAGAGTGGAGGCAGAGAGAGCAGGCAGAAGGTAAGAGGTTAGTTGATAAGCAGTAGAGCTGTTTAAGGTAGTCAGGTTTGGGATATAATTGAAAGGTAAAGCCAATAGGATTTCATGGTGGATTCTCTTTATGGCATGAGCAAAAGAAAGGAGTCCAGGATAATTCCAAGACTTCTGGCCAAGAATATCTTATTTCTTCAGTAAGAGTTTTAGTACATGTCTTTGTGACATTGACCTTTGGCATTTAAAAAACGCATAATTTGACCTACATCAATTAATGACACAATTATTTTCCTGATTATCCAGGCTCAAAACTTTAGGAAACAGGAATACGAGAGAAGTAAGAGTTAACAAAATTTTTCTACATAGTTTTTTGTTCTTTAAGCAGCAGATTGCTTTCTTTAAAGGGATACTTACTTGAAAACTCGCATACAGTAACTGAGAGTTCTCATTTGGTGTTCAACTCACACATCTACTTTGCCCCAAACCTGGGGTTTTGGAAGACAGATTAAAAACCACTATTCTAATTCACTTCTTTCTTTCATTTTCCAGTTCAAATCCTTATTATTTTCCAGTTCAAATCCAGTTCAAATCCTGCCTTAACTACTATAATAGCCTCTTTACAGTTCTTAACTGGAAATTTCCTTAATCTTCTATGTATCTTCCAGATTAATCTCTTTCAGTCAGAGTTAAGCTTGTTATGACACTATTCAAAAATCTTCAACAGCTATTATCTTCTTACTAAAGACCCCAAATCCTAAAGATCCAAAATCCTTTAGAGGACATTCAAAGTCCTCTAAAACTGACCTTAAATAAACCTTTCATCCCTGTCTTTTAGTTCTCCCCCAATGGGTGGAAATCAGGCATGGTTATTTAAACACAACATTTAAAGTTACTGATATTGTTCAGTTATGTCATTGTCAATGTCATTTCTTCTTTCTGGAACATCCTTCTGTACCAACTTTGTCCACAGAAATCCTATCTAGCCTTCAACCTAGCATCATGTATTTTTTTGCTTTGAAATCTAAGAAAATTTTGGCAATGTAAGTTTAGTGACAAAAATCTTCCCATTCCTTAACTTTCCTTTTTGTTGTCACTATAATCCGAGACACCGTGATATCCTCAAAAATTGTTCACTGTACCTCCAAGAAATACTTACCAGGTCAGCTAATGTTTATATTTATGTTTATACAGTGGCTGTAAAAGTAGTGCACTCATACCCGGTGCCCAAATTTTGTTATCTAATTTCATTCTCCACCAAAAGGAACCAGGGCTCCTCAGAGAAATGGCAGATTCCAGGGCTGGGGCAGTGTAGATGTGAGATGAGCCTTTACCATCTTATTCTTTCAAAAAACAAGGATGTGCTTGAAAAGGGTGAGGGCCACTGGCCAAATCTGGGACAATTAAGCACCAAAATAATTAAGTACTGAATTTTTAAAAATAGGAATTCACATGTTCATACCAATAGCAAACAGATAAAATAAATAATATATGAGGGAAAAGGAAGGGCTGGAGTTGGAAAAATTAGCATTTTGCCACCATCACAGTAAAGACTGGGTCATACCAGAGTCAGCAATGGTGCTAAACTGAGGTGGAAACTTTGATGAAGAACAGAATATCTACATGTTCTAGGGTGTCTCCTTACAGAGTACTTATTAGTTACAAGAAATTAAAAAACAAAAGTTATATATTACATAGTGGAGATAATACCTTGATTGGATAACCAAAAGTAAAAATCATCAATGAGAGTTAGATGCCCTGAGAGAGACTGCATCACCTATGTAGTATTCCAGCCAAGAATGCACAACCTGAATCTCAGCACAAAGAAACATCAGGCAAGCACAAAGTAAGGAAAATTCCATTTTAAAAATAACAGAGAAACCATATTCTTCAAAAATGTCAATGTCAGATAAAGAAAGGGCTGTGAAAAAAAAAACTAGATTAAAAGAGGCTAATGTGACAAATAAATGCAATATCTGACCCTAGACTAGATGCTGTACTAGGCATAGAGGATGCTATAAAGGATATTATTAGGTCAACTGACAAAACTTGCATATGGATGGTAAGGCATTGTATTAATATAAATTGATAATGCTTATAACTTTTGTAGTTATGTAAGAGAATATCTCTATTAGGAAATATACACTGATGTATTTAAGAGTAAAGGGCCATGATGCATATTTAACTTATCCTCAAATATTTCAAGAAAAACAAGTGTGTATGAGGGAATGGGGGAGAAGAGTGAGAGTGGGCAAGAGGACACGGGCAAGCATATAAAGCAGGCAACCAGGTTGGGGTAGGTAAAGTCTGAGCACATAAGGTTTTTTTTTTTCTTTTTTGGTACCACGTTTATTGTACAACTGTCTGTAGTTTGAAATTATTTCCAAACAAGAGTTTAAAAACAAAAGAAAGGTACTCAAGAGTCTTGCAGGAGCTCTATAATCAAACTCAAGACCATACCATTAAATGAAGGTTTACCATAATTCTAGACATTTAAGGGTTCCTATTACTCATTACTGAAAAAACATTTGATTTTCAGTAAGTTCTCAAGTGACACTGGTATATACCTTACCTAATATTACCTTAGAGTCTTAGCATAACTATTTTATTCTTTGTTTCCTTCTATTTCCTGATAATAGATAACAAATTTTATTCTCAAAAATTAAAACCTTTATTTTTATCTTTTGTAGAATGTCCAACTTGAAGTTGCCATTAGAACAAATTTAGGTCAGAGTATGCACATACCCTATAATAACAATAAGTAGTATTTAGCCGATATGATCTTCTATTTTGAGTTACATATCAGATAGAAAATCAAGTATTTACCATTATCTACCTCCATATTATGTTAAATATTCTATATTTTATTTACCAGAACACTAGATTCAAATAATAAAGTTAAAAATAGATATTTTAATTGGTCATCTCAACAGTAGTATTAGGTTAAAGTATAAACAGAGAAAGCAGGTGTGCATGACTAAAAGAGGAAGAGGAGTTAAGTGTGTCTGCAGTAAACAGATAGCGTTTATTTTGACTTATTTCCTCTTCCATTAAAAACCTCTTTTCCTCTAAAGCAGTAGCGGGTCCTTAGGGAATACAATGTCTCCTAAGTGCAAAAATCAACTGCCAAACTAATATGAAATAGAATCCATTTTTGCCCTAAGGATGGTCTCTGCAACTCCAAAAGTAAAACCAGCCAATCAACCAACAGACTGACCAACCAACCTTATCTTCAATTAAAAATATAGTTTAAAGATTCAAGATTTGATATCATTGACCATACTGAGAAAACTTCCTTATTTTAAAAGTTAAATGCTCAACAGCATTAACTCAGTAAGTGCAAAACACAAAACAACAACAAGGCATTATGATTCAATAATGAATCATCATGTCATATTTCTGGATTGTGATTTTAAAAGTTCACTTTTAAATAGCTGCTCTTCGCTAATTGGTTGCTTA
This sequence comes from Homo sapiens, assembly GCF_000001405.40. NCBI lineage: Eukaryota > Metazoa > Chordata > Mammalia > Primates > Hominidae > Homo > Homo sapiens. The sequence continues at coordinate 88,600,156 of NC_000002.12, forward strand.
TGAGTCATACACATGGCTGCTGACCTTTGTGCCAATCTTGTCAAGTCTTTCAGGCTGCATATGTGAAAGCAGATGGAGCTTTTCCTTGAGAGCCACAGAAGCAATATATGCATGCAGTTCAGGTACAGAGATGACATCACCCTTCACAATAGCATTACCTCACCCCCTAAGCATAGGAATGAGTCACCCGATAGTCAGCTGCAAATCTCTTGGTAGAAAAAAATGTAGGTTACGGTGATGCATTTTCACATCCCACTGATTTGTTCATGTAAGCAGCTATTTGTTCTGATTCGCTGCTCTGCATCTCAAACTTATTGTGTGACTTGCTTCTCCCTTAAGTCATTTTAAAAAGTCTAAATTTTTGTATTTATTTTCTTTATTGTTTTTTCCCTGTTCATAATTTAAAATAAAAGGTGCTAGCAAACTCCCAGAGTCTATCTGTGTAATCATAAAGCAGTTTAGTAAAGTAATTCCGTTTCTGTTTCTTAACAAAACCTAAGTGGTACAATGAATACCAGTGGCACTTGCAATCAGGGACTTCTATCTGAAATTAAAATGTGAAAATAACTTTAATTTTAAAGTGGAGGAAGGAATTTCATATGAGAAAATAAAGGAAGTACTACTACTAAAATGAGCACTACCAGCATTAAAAAACAAAAATTCCTCTAACCATAAGAAAAAATGTTTTCCATTTGATTCTTCCCTATTTTTCTATGCAGCCAACCCCTCTCCCCAACTGACTCACACACTTTTTGGAGTACATTCAACTTTATTTTAACTGGTTATAAAAAATTTCAAGCATATAGAATGTGGAGATTAATAAATCCCCATGTATCTATCATCCAGTTCCAACAATTATCAACATTTTGCCAACTGTTTCATCTATCTCCACTCACCTACTATATACTTGTTTACTGGAGTAAAATCATCAAATTTTAAAATTTCTCCTATTATCTCAAAGATCTACTTTATGATGAGGAATTCCAAGTCTACATATTACATCTGATTCTTTTCCCTCCACAAAGGAACTTCTTTCAACCCCTTTGTTATGCACTGATTTACTTGAGAAACCAGATTATCTGTCCTATAGAATGTCCCACAGTCAGGATTCTACATGTCATTTAACTTGTTCCTTTATTTCCTATATTTCCTGAAAAGTATGATTAGACTTGGAGCTTTGATCTGATGCAGGTTCAGTTGTTTTGACAAGAAGCCTTCGTATCTGGTGCTACGCACTTCCTATTACATTAGGGGTCTACAAACTACAGCCCATGAGCCAAATCCAGCCTAATGCCTGTTTTGTAAGAAAAGTTTTATTGGAACACAGCCACACATTCATTCATTTATGTATCTGTCTATGACTGCTTTCCAGCTGCAACTAAAGGCCACATGATCCTCAAAGCCTAAGATAAGCACCATCTGGCCCTTTACAGGAAAAGTTTGCTGGCCCCTATGCTATACCATATTAGGAGGCACATAGTGTTTGCATGCCCCACTTTTAATGATGTTACTATCAATCACTTGAGTTTGGGGGAGTCAGCCTGATCCCTCCATTTAAAGTGTCCCATCAACTTTTTACCATTTTAGTATTGCTTGATGGCCTACTATTTCAATAAAAGAACTAGAATAGCAATTTCTAATTTTGTCATTCTTTCTGCATTTATTAGTTAAGATTTTTCTTTTTTTTTTTTTTTTTTTTTGCTTTTCTTTTTTTGAGATGGGGTCTTGCTCTGTCACCCAGGCTGGAGTGTAGTGGCGCAATCTCGGCTCACTGCAACCTCCACCTCCCAGGTTCAAGTGATTCTCCTGCCTCAGCCTCCCGAGTAGGTGGGACTACAGGCGCCTACCACCATGCCTGGCTAATTTTTTGTATTTTTAGTAGAGACAGGGTTTCACCATGTTAGCCAGGGTGGTCTCAGTCTCCTGACCTCGTGATCTGCCTGCCTCAGCCTTTCAAAGTGCTGGGATTACAGGCGTGAGCCACTACTCCCGGCCTAGTTAGGATTTTTCTATAAAGAACTTTTCCTCATTCGGTTTTGGAAGCCAGATTTGCATACACTAGCATTTTCTTGATTAGTGACTCAGGCATTAAACACTCTCAAATCCCAAAAATTGTATCCAGAAGTAACTCACCCACTATAAAACTGAAAATTGAAAAGGGTTCAGGAGACTTGGTGAGACCAGTGTGTTCCCTAACCAGGAACACACTGGCCCTGATAGTTAACAAAAGCCAAGTTCTGTGTATAAGCTAAGAAGCAACAAGGTTTAAAAAGGAGAAGAGGGGGTAAGAAAAAGAGTGTGGCAAGATGCAGACTCACTGAATGTAGAGATAAGGAAGAATGAACATAGGCCATGAAGAAAGAGAGTGTAAAACACCAATTATCCTAGAATATTTATTAAAGGGGCACACATCCCTGTCCCACCTAAGAACCCCAGAGAGCATTTCTAGGATAATACAATAACATTCTTACAATATTTACAAATAAATAATTCTTACAACTTACAAATAAAAAGATACAACTCATTAAGATTGGGAAGATGTGAAATACATGAATACACCATTAATGTTCTCACTTGTAAGTGAGAGTTGAACAATGAGATCACATGGACACAGGGAGGGGAACAACACATACTGGGGCCTGACGGGGGTGGGGAGCAAGGGGAGGAAGAGCATTAGGACAAACACCTAATGTATGTGGGGTTTAAAACCTAGATGATGGGTTCATAGGTAAAGCAAACCACCATGACACATGTATACCTATGTAACAAACCTGCACATTCTGCTATATCCTGGAACTTAAAGTAAAAAAAAAAGAAAAATAAAAATATGCCATTAAAAATGCTAAATTGTTGACTTTTTTATTATCTGGAAGTCTCCTTTGCCTAGAACAATTACTTTCCTAGCCATACTAGTTGTTTTGCAAACCAAGGTGATGGGGCAACAGCACACATCCAAAACATAAAATCAAGATGTATCCATACCAACCAGACCAGCTGACTGCACCTCATCCAGCCCCATCCCCTGGGTCCCTGACTCTACTACTCATTTACTATGTGACCTCGGATAAAAACGAACACTTCACTGTTTTACAAAATGTCTCACGTTTCCTTATTTCACTTGATTCTCAAAATCGCTCTCCACAACTAACTTAAAAGGGATTCCTTTTTGGTCTTCAACCACTGACTAATGCTTTTATCACTTTGGGCATCCACAGGCTTCCTGCTTTTTCCCACTGCTTTCCAAGTTCCCCAGTTGACAGTGGAAAGGGTTTTCTGATGTTCTGTTTTGCTGCAAAACTTTCAATAAGACTAACAAATCAAGGAGTTGTTTGAAGAGGCATTTGCATTATAAATCAGTTATCTCTAATTATGGAAGTATTTATATTTATACATATTCATAAAGTCTTCACACCAAGTAGCAGATGCAAAAATCTGAAGGAAAGCAGGATAATCCCTAAAATCCTACTAAAACAAATCTATCATTGAAACACTTTTTCTCTCAATTTTCTCTAACTTATCAGTCTCTCTCAATTTTAAAATGTTGGACTTCAAAGCTTTGGTCATAGGTCTTCTCACCCTACTTTCTTTCAAGGTGATTGATCTTCTCAGTTCCCATGACACAAGCAATTCTAATTTTAACTTCAGCCCAGACTTTTCCTCTGTCAGCACAAGACCCATAAAGTCAAATGCCTTCTTTAGCATCTCTGCTTGGAGAGCTCTCATGGTCTCTCCCAACTCATATCTAAACAACACATGTTCTTCCTTTCTATACCTGTTCTTAATTTACTACTAAATCCTCCTTTGGTCTTGTAATTTTATCTTCCTCGTTAAACATCTTTTGAATCTGTCACTTTACTTCACTCATTTCCACTGTCTCCATCCAGTCTATCATCCCCATCTGGATGACTACCATGCAGTCTCTTAACTAGTGTGGGAGACTAGAAATAGTCTCCCAATTTCTGCTGTTGTTTCAGTCCATTTTCTACAGTCAGAGTGATCTCTTCCACTTAAACCTTCAATGGTTTCTCATGGCTCAGGATAAAATCTGGAATGTCTAACATAGCTTACTAGACCCTGCATAACCTGATCCTGGCCCACCTCAATGGGCTCATTTCGGCTGCTCTCTCCCAACCCTCATTCCTGTTGCCATCCTCAACTTCTCTCAGTTCCCCAAACATGCCATGATAACTCTCGCCTTAAGGCCTTGAGATAGGCTATTTCCTCTCCCAGCATAATCCTCCCCCTCCTCTCTATCCATCTCTTGCCTCAGTAACTCCTGATCATACAAGAGAGGCCTTCTTTGACCATCAGGCTAGGTAAGCACTTATGCTTGTTAGAGTCTTTCTTTGTGCTCTATCCTGCCTTGTGCCAGTTACCACACTCAATTGCATTATTTGTACTATAATTATTTCATATTTGCCTCCCTAGCTGGCTCCACACAGTACCTTATAAGTTCTAGAAAGGCAAGAATCACATCTGTCCTGGGCAGTGCACAATTCTGCACGCCTCCCTCCTGCAATCCCGCAATGCTGAATTCAGTTTTGGATGTGTTAAGTTTTGGTGCCTGTGACTATCCCACTAGGGTTGTCCTAGAAGCAGTTTAGATGCTCAAAATGTGCTGAGCTACGTGCTAAGTATGCTGTACGCAAGATGTCTTTGAGTAATTAATCTCCATAAAGCACATGAAGAATTATTAGTAGAGAAAATACAAATAAATTGGTAAGCATTAAGGTATTTTAAAAAGCATTAAATGTTGGAAAGAGGGAAAGATGTAAGTACAAAGATCTCGGGTTGAGTCTCACCTTTACTATATCAGATAAATCTCTGAACCTTTTTGATCCCCGATTTTATCATGCAAAAAATTAGGGTTAATAAGAATATTTACTTCACAGGGCTATGTAAATGACTAAGAATAGATATCACTTTACAAACTATAAAGTGCTACTCAAACAAAAGTTTATGATCCAGGGCTGCTTACTTTGAACTTCTAAGGTAATTTGTATGTGTTTATGTGTATATATACATGTATACTTATGAAAGAAAAAAGTTAAAAGCAAAAATATAAACTCAGTCTAGCTCATGTGACTACCTATAATTCATTGTGAGCTTTATTTTATTCTCTATTGGAAACTTCAGGAGAGAACTATTATTCATGAATACAAAATTTCAAAAATAACAAAAGCTTTTTGAATTCTAGAGAATACCTGCTCCACAAGTAAATTAAAGGCGGGAGCAGACAGAAAGCTTAATTATGCAAGGTCAGTTATTTCTTTCCCAAACATGGATTCACATCTGTTTAAAAACAAGGCCTCAAAACCAAATAAAGATTAATTCAGTGTAGAATATATCAAACTGCTGCAGTTTTTGATTTATCAGAAAGCTCTATCAAGCCTAAAATTCTTTGATTGTAACATAAAAACTCTAACGGATTGAAAGTACTTTATTAATCAATAAAGACAATCAGTGCTAAAGAAAAATTAACAAGTATATGTCTGTATATTTTAATTCTTCAAAAATGATACACTTGAATGGAACATAAACAGTAAATCTTAATTAACCAAAATGAGCAACTGACTACACTACTAGATATCAGAATTGACTATTTGTGACTTAAAAAAAAAAGATGCTTCAACATTGTTGTATTATGGAAATATATATTTTTACTTCCCTGGAAACATTGGGGAAAGTAAAAGGAAGACTGTTTGATAAAAGTAAAGGGTCTCCAGGAATCATACCTGAAAGACAAGGGAAGGGGCATCACCATTAGATGATGATGCCCTAACGGGAGGGGTAATGAGATTGTTCAGCAGATCCGGGTATTAGTCAGATTGCATCCCAAGTGATATGCTATATGCTTAAATGTTGAGAAAAACCTCTGCAATGATTTGGTATTTATCTTAAAAAATGTAAATTAGTACTCAAGAGCAGAGAAATATCAAGTTGATAACAATTGTTTAATTCTTTTTTTCACTAATTTAATCAACCTACAAAACAAAATGCCTCAAGGGAAACTACCAGACTAGCTTTTTAAGCATACTTCTCACAGTCATGATAAAAGAACACTGATTTTAATAACTATCTCTGCCTTCACCTAGATTAATATATATTCATGACATAAACAATGTACATGAAGAGTCAATTTCCTAAAAAAATAAAATAAAAAATAAAAAAAACAGGGCCAAATCAGTTTCTCCTTTGGTGACATGCAATGCTGGGATAAATTAGCTTAGTTCACAGCACTGCTTTCAGCCATGCTAAGGGATTAATATAACAAAATTAAATTAAAGCACTGTTTCATTTCTATAATTAAAAGAAAAGCAATTAACCCAGGCAATTATTTAAATATTGGCTTGCTACATGATTGACAGCTATGCTTCAAAATAAACTGCCATCTTAGATGACACAGACTCAAAATGTGCTAGTTTGCGTGCAAATGAAAAACTGCAAAACAACTTGGACAGCTTTCAGTAAAAGTAAGAGAAGCTTTAAAAGAGATTACAGATCCTCTTTTAATAAATACTTAAAAGGGTCTACTAATAGACTCTTTCTAAACAAATCAGTAACCAGTAAAGCTGTACCCTTTTCAAAGGCAGTCCCACTTTTCAAAGCCCTTATATTAGTGGAATGTAGTCTGATATGGGGAGGGGGAGGAGGCTGGAGAGCACCAGCATCAGAGCTGTCTGTTTCTGCACCTGTCTGAAACAGAAAGGCGGTGTCCCTTGGGGAGAAACATGCCTAAAATAAAGCAAAACCCCAAACCTTATCTAAGTTTAGACGATAGAGTTGTTTGTTCTTCTTAAGAGGAAAAAAAGGGCATATTTAACAGAAAACCAAAACAGAAAACAAATATGGTATCTCTAAATAAAGATAAAGGTATTCATCTAAGTACAAATTAGTTATATATACACAATTACAATATGCATTCTGAATAACAATAAGGAAGGTCTTCATATTTAAAAATGAGTTCCAAGACATAAAGAAGTAGATAGTTCAATCTACTTAGATTTGGTGAAGTGATCCAAATGTAGCCCAGAGATCCTAAAGAAAAAACGATGCTCATGTGTTACAAAACAAAATTTTAAGGCAATCAGTGAGGAATCACAGACAAATTTCCTTAGTGCTTTTATCAAGGTTGAATCTGAATATAAATTACTAGAGGAAAGCAAATCAGATTTCACATCTGAAAATTAAAAACAAAATTCTTAGCTACTATTAACTGGCAAAAATATTATGCTTAGAACCTAAGCACATCTGTTAAAGCTAATAGAGTGAACTTTAGGTGCATTATTTATTCTAAGACACACAAACATGCACCTTAACGGTTTTAGCTTGGTTATGTATCCACACTCTTTTCAGGAGATAGTGGCAAATGAGATGTGTGTCCCAAGGTACACAATTCATACAATTCATTCTAAATGTAATTTAAAACATCTGTTCTTAGTGGAACTGTCAATTTCCCTTATCTTCCAGGAGCTTATTTTTTCCATTGACGTAATCAAAATCCCACTAAAGCAACAAAATACACTATTCTGTAAGCCTTTTGGATCAGAAAAGGTTAAGAACATCAGAGCAAGCCAGGAGGCAAGTATGTACCTAATGGTAATTCCTAGTGAATTTGTTCTTTATTTTCAGAAGAATCCTTAAATGTAGTAAAAGGGAAAGTTCAAAAATTTCTCCAGATAATTTACTTGGGTGTTTCATGTATGTGACTGTACCTGATGCATGAAGTTAGATTATCTTTAGAGATGTAGTCCAATTCTATAACTTTACAGAGAAGGAAATTAAAGCTCTACTGATTAAATAATTTAGCCAGTTCACACAGTAAGTTAATGGAAGAATTAAGACTAAAACTGAAGCTCCTGAATCCTAGTCCCTCCTCCACAATACCACACAGTCTAAAAAGTTCCTGTGTGGCTTTAGTATTCCAGCAAAAGTACATGGGATCCATAATCAATTCCTTTATCAATAACTTAAAAATTATTATACAGTCTATCAAATCCTTTATCCTTCAGCTTCTCAGATTAATAAGTAACTTTGATAGTTGCAGAGAATACATCTTCTCTGGTCTTCTGAGTTACATCTGTTTCCTCGTCATAAGACAGGGTTGTGCTATGTGGCCCAGGCTGGCCTCAAACTCCTGGGCTCAACTGGGCCCAGCCTCCTGAGTAGCTGGGACGACTACTCAGGAGGCACGTGCCACTGTGCCCAACTTTCATACCATTCTTGATGAAAGCTTGGAGAAACTGACATTCTAACACAGGAGTCCCCACAGGAAGCCATGAACCTATTTATTGTTACCTGGGAGGTGACACCTGCTATATATCCATGCCAGCTCTTTCTGCCTGCTACAACTGGCCCTCTTCCCTACACCAGCCTTTACAACCAAACACACTGGGTTTCTGAGAGAGGAAGTTAACTACTTTTAAAAAAGTTAACTATTATGAAGGTTAAGGACCTTAAGAAAACACTGCACCAGATGCATTTTGAAGGTAGTATTACTCTATGCATCCAGTTCACAGCATTTCAAATGGCAGTTTTTGATTTCTTTTTTTTTTTTTTTTTTTTTTTTTTGAGACAGGGTCTCACTCTGTCACCCAGGCTGGAGTGCAGTGGTGTGACCTGACTCACCGCAACCTCCGTCTCCCAGGCCCAAGTGATCCTCCCACCTCAGCCTCCAAAGTAGCTGGAACTACAGGTGCATGTCACCACACCTGGCTAATTTTTGTATTTTTTTTTTTTTTTTGTATTTTGTATTTTTTGTAGAGATGGGGTTTTGCCATGTTGCCCAGGCTGGTCTAGAACTCTTGACTTCAAGCAATCCACCTGCCTTGGCTTCCCAAAGTGCTGGGATTACAGGTGTGAGCCACCGCGCCCGGCCTTGATGATCCTTTTGTGGTGTTTTGTCCAACTTTTTTTTTTTCTAAATCTGAACTGGACAAATGTTCAACTTTTGAACATAACTTCTAGATGCTGAGCAGCACACACCTTGCTGAATAACAGATGACTCATGCTCACAATACAGTCTTCTCTCCTTGCTAATATGTTTATAATTTCACAAATATTCTTATATTTCTATCATATACCAATTAAGTAATTTTCAAAGTATGGTTCGTGGATTCTTTCAGGGGTGCAAAATAGCACACAGTTTTCAAACAAGGTGTGATTTGCCTTTTCACAAAGGTTGCTATTTGCCCTGAAGGTATAAAAGCAATGCTGACTAAAACTGCCGGTGCCTTGGCACAATTCAGGAACCAAACTAAGAATACAATGGTATTCTTCACTGTCATACACCTGAACTAAAGGAAAAAAACAGAGACAGTTCCACTTACAAATGTTCTTGATGAAGCAATAAAAATGACTGATTTCATTAAATCTTGACCCTGAGTAACACATCTTTTTATTATTCTGCATGACTAATTAGGAAGTATGTAACAAGCCTTTCTCCACATGCTAAAGCATGTCTTGAGGAAAAGCACTTCTAGAACTGAGTTGTGAGCTGAACTAGCAGCTTTGTTCATTGAGCTCCAATTTTACTCAAAAGTCAACTGGGTATTTGGTAGACATTTTCTAAAAAATGAACAAAGTGAACTTTTTACTTCAAAGAACACATCTGACGGTATTTGTGATAAAATTTATGTTTTTAAGTGAATTCTAGAATACTGGAAAACTTGGGCCAGGCATGGTGGCTCATGCCTGTAATTCCAGCACTTTGGGAGGCTGAGGCAGGAGGATAGCTTGAGCCCAGCAGTTCGAGATCAGCCTGGGCAAAATAAGAAAACTCCATCTCTACAAAAAAAAAAAAAAAAAAAAAAAAAAGGTAGCTGAGCTTGGTGGCAAGCGCCTATAGTCTTAGCCACTTAGGAGGCTGAGGTGGAAGGACTGCTTGAGCCCAGGAGTTGGAGGCTACTGTGAGCTATGATCACGCCACTGCACTCCAGCCTGGGCAACAGAGTGAGACCCTGTCTCTAAAAGACAAAAAACAAAACAAAACAAAACAACTTGGATCTGCCAATTTGCGCTTCACAGCTTCCCAGTACTTACAGACTTTTCTGATGAGATCAGTGGTAACAGCAACAAATTTGTTTTTTTAAAAAATATTCTATAAGGAAATATGCCAACATTTAAAAGATCTATGTAACTCAGTCAGTATTTTCTAAGTTATAAAATCATGCATGAGTAAAAGGCAAGACAGACCAATGGATGTTAGTGTTCAGAGTATAAAATGTTCATTGATATGGTTTCTGATTCCACACTGCAACTAACCTTTAAAAAACTTCCACTTGTTTTGGCAGATTATTAAAAAAGAATGGCCTCAATTATTTGAAAAGGCTACTAGAATATTCCTCCCTTTTCCAACTACATTTGTATGTGGCTGGATTTTCTTCTTTACGTAGTTAAATCAAAACAACAATGCAATATATTTAAGGCAGACGCGGATACAACTGTTTTCTATTAAACCAAAAATTTAAGAGACTTGCAAAAATGTAAAATGCTACTTTTCTCATTAAATTTTTTGTATTAAAGAATATAGTTATTATTCATAAAAATGTTACGTTATTGTGGAGTGGGTTTATTGTTATTTCTTTAATAAAATACATGTTTTTTAAACATTTGTTTTAGGCTGGTCGTGGTGGCTTATGCCTGTAATCCCAGCACTTTGAGAGGCCAAGGTGGGAAGATCACTTGAGCCCAGGGGTTCGAGACCAGCCTAGGCAATATCGAGACTCTGTCTCCACAAAAAAAAAAGTTAGCTGGGCATGGTGGTGCATGTCTGTAGTCCCAGCTACTCAGGAGGCTGAGGCAGGAGGATTGCTTGAGCCCAGGATTCAAGGCTGCAGAGAGATATGATCACACCATTGCACTCCAGCCTGATAAAAAGCTCTTTAGAGCCCTCAATAATTTTTTAGAGTATAAACAGGTCCTGACACCAAACAGTCTCAGAACCACTGTAGTCTATGAAGAGCCTGAGCTTGTAAAGAAAGGGAGGTATATACAAGGTGGCAAAAGGGCTTCAGAGCAGGCAGAATGGAGTACAGTCAGGCAATCTCGGGCTCAGTTCCAACTTCATCCATATATATAGCCGGTCAGCAACCTCAAGCAAATTTATTTGAGCTGCAATTTCCTCTTTACAAAATGGGACCAACTTATCAACCTCAGAAGGGTTACTATGAGGATTACACTGTGTAAGCAGCATCGAGTATATGTTACAATGCTGGGAACAACGTTATATCATCAGTATCTCTACATATTAAACATCCACTCTCAAGAAATGGTCCCAAGAATTTGGGGCAGCAGTAAAATCTAGTTAATCTATCATGTTATCGCAGCTGTTTCAATACCTTCAGATTTTCTTTTTTTTTTTCTATGAAGTAGAAAATGAAAATCTAGATAATGCAAAGAGGTATCAGGATTCTTTTCCTGCATGAAAAGCGACCAGTGAGCTTTCTGAAAAGGCTTTCGATTCAACATTTCTTTTGCTGTTGTTGTTGTTTGAGATGGGAGTCTTGCACTGTCGCCTGGGCTGGTGCACAGTGGCACGATCTTGGCTCGCTGCAACCTCCGCCTCCCAGGTTCAAGTGATTTTCCTGCCTCAGCCTCCCAAGTAGCTAGGATTACAGGGGCCTGCCACCACACCTTGCTAATTTTTTGTATTTAGACGGGGTTTTACTATGTTGGCCAGGCTGGTCTCAAACTCCTGACCTTGTGATCCGCCCGCCTCAGCCTCCCAAAGTGCTGGGATTACAGGCATGAGTCACCACGCCCGGCCTACGATTCAACATTTCAAAGCAAAAATTTTATCCAAAAGATCTAGGATTGGGGGTGGGTGGGTGTGAGAGAGGACACTGAAAACAAGGGAGCCCTAATAAACCACAGAAAATGGTGCGAACTAAAGACAGTAAGAATGTTGAACTGTAGTTTTAAAAACAGCTAATATAACGGCTATGTGTAAGAAAACCTTCAAATACAACTAGCTGCTTATAACTCAAACACACTTACTAGCACTCAGGTTATTACAACTATTTGCATTCTACTTTGCCATACCATGCAACTTATCTTTTTGTACCTATATATATTTCAGTTTGCAAACACACACATGCTTTGAACTACTACAACACACTGTGATATTACCTCAGATGTAAGCAGCTTACAATCTTCTCATTTTGCTGATCATCTCTTATGTCTAGTTTAAAAATAAAGTAAAACATGCATACCCAAGCATAATCCCAGCAGAAGAAAAATAAACAAGTTTATCTTAAGTAGTAATTCACTTGAATACCATACTCAATTATAAACTTAATGTAATTTACAATCAAATTGCTATTTGTATTAATAATTCATAATACAATAGAAGTTCTCTATTCTCAAAATATATTTTCAGTATACTGAGAAACAGTAGCCACTTATAAAGTCTACTCAGGGTTCAGCACACAGCAAATGTGGAAATTTGGCAGTGTTGTTTCCTTAAATATCAGTTTGGGTGCACCAGAAAAGATTTGGGCTGGGTTTACTGGAAAGCACAGGAAAGTCTGTTATTATAGATGCGTCACTGGTAGCAGTTTCCCATTGGAAAGTTTGGTCACCAATATTCAGGTCATTCTCAAACCCCTCATGTACGATTTTGTCTTTTCCATACTTAATATCAGCTAGGAAGCTTTTTAAAGAAAAAGACTGATGACAAAAGAGAAAAAAGACTACCCTAGGGAGTGTCCTACAAGAACAACTCGATATAAAAGAAGGCCACAGGCATTCTGGAAAACAGAGGTGACTGCTTCAATGTTAGTAGTCACCACTCAAAAGATGGACTTATTTTTAAGTAATTTAAACAACAGACTAAAGCTCCAGAAAAGCAGAGAGACTTAATCCATCAGAATTGAAACTAAAGGTGAGGAAAATCAGCTTCTCTTATTTAATCTCCCCCATCTGTACCCCATGCGGGCAGGCTGTGTCCTCACTTTATTGATGAGAACAACTAAAGCTCTGAGGGGCTTGAAGTCATGTGACAGAGTAATTTTGGAAGCGAGGTCTCTTTGAATCTATGCTCTTTCCCCTCTACTATTCTAGAGCTCCAAATTATTAAGTACACTTTTTCTGCAAATAATCAAATTTACCTGGAATTACATTACAAAAAAATTTCAGATGAATTCTGCTTATAATTAGGGAATAATAATTTATGGGATTTTGCAGCACAGATTTCTAACTAGTAAAATTCAATAAAGTTTTTATTTATATTTATCTTATTATTCCTAGAGATCTTGTGATGATAATAAACAATCATTTATAGCTCAGATAATGTGCTTTGCTGATATGGCAGATAGTATCCTCAGCTGCTCACTTATAGGATTAACTCACTTAATGCCCCAAGTAATCCTAAGAAGATGTTATTATCCATCTCATTTCACAAGAGGGGAACTGAGGAATAGAAAAGTTAAGTAATTGCCCTAAAGGGACACAAACTGTAAGAGGCAGACAGGCCTCAAACCTGGGCAATAGGGCCCCAAACTTCTTAATATCAGCAATTACTCATTAGAATTAAGTTTTCTAGTCAACAGTTAACAGAAAATTCTTACCTCTGGTTTGCTAAGGCTGGATGACACCAAGGAACCGGATCCCACATCCAAATCCCACTGCTTTTTACCATGATTTTCAGGATCCAAGGCAGCAATTCTCCCATCTAAAGTGCTGATAATTACTAATGACCTGTAAATATTAAAAATATTTTTAAAATTAACAGATATCTAAGATATTGGGCACTTATCCCACATGCTCAAAAGAAAACCAGCCCATGTCCAGGCCTCTATTCGTAGAAAGGAAGAGGGGGCCTTCTACCACTCTTGCCACCACTGTCTTTGGACCAAGACAATTTCAATATGCCCTTTATCTGTTTATGTAACTTATGAAAAGCCCCTGACTCATAGGTCACCCTTCATTCCACACTCTAATTCCCATAAGGAACACAATGTCCCCTGGTATGTCCTCTTCTACCTACATACCTCCTGAAAGCCTTTCCCCTGAAACACTGTCTTCCCTGATCGTTCACTTATCTTTTTGCTCTCATAGAAACCGGGCTTTCCCTGAGGATATCGCTTCCCTACAGAAGCACAGATAATTTTTTTCTCCCATAACCCTTGCTCAGAATGGGGTAAGTGGACTCCATGTATCTCATTGCCATTTCCAGACCACTTTTTTCCTCTCCTCTCTGAAAATCCTCAGGATCAGACTGTTTTGTCCCTTACCCCTCCTAGTAGACATCTAATTGACCCTTAGGTAACTAGCCCCATCCTGGAGGATTTCAGCTGCTGGTTTACTGTCACCACCTAACATATTTAACATACTTCTGCCTCAATTCTTTGGGTTTTCAATATCTATCTACCTTGCTTCAGCTGCTCCTGTGGTCAGACTCTAGACCTTGTCATTACAAATCACCGCAACCCCCTAACCACCAACCCCTCTCTTTTCAGCTCACTTCCTCTACTTCCCTGACTCCAAGAAACTTCTGACCCTATGAGAACCTACAAGCCACTGATACTACAACCTTCACTACCACCATGCCCTCACTTCTTTCTTAACCAGTTAAAATCCCACAGTCCTTCATCTTAAGCACTACTTTGCACACACCTCAACTCCCTACCCTGCCTCTCACATGTCACACTCTGGAAGAACTGGTTAAAGTCAATCTTCTCCCCTTTCTCACTCCTACATCTGTGCAGTTGAACGTATCTGAAGAGAAACATACCATGTTGACTATCCTCACTTTAATTAACGACCACCAACCTCAAAAAGGCTACTAACAATGCTCAACAATCATAACACCCTTCCCTAGTCTATCCATTATGCCACTGAACCATGTTAACCATTCATGTCTCCCTGTTCCTCAAACTTCTGATGCCAGCTCTTTCAAGCTCACACATCTTGGTGACTGTGCTTCCTATTTCATAGGGAAAAACAGGAGAAATCAGCTTGTTTCCCCCTACCACCTCTATCTATGCAACAGTACCTGGACCATGGGTTCCACCTTCCCTCCTGTTAGTGCAAGTGAACTGTCCACACTCCCATCTACCGCCAACACCTCCACTTAAGCAACAGAGCTCCCCCTTACGCATTCGTGAGGTCTTGCTCCTGCAAATGTCTCCTGTCACTCCCACACCATCAGTCATTCCCTACTAGAATATTCCCATCAGCATTTGCTATAAACTGAACTTTTGTGTCCCCACCAAAAAATTCATAAGTTGAAACCTAATCCCCAAGGTGATCATACCAGGAGGTGGGGCTTTAGGAGGTGATTAGTTCATGAAGGTGGGGTCCTCACTTATGATATTAATGCCTTTATAAAAGCAGCCCCAGAGATGCCCTTGCCCCTTCCACCATGTAGGAGTGCTTCTGTGAAGAATCAGTCTTCACCAGATACTGAATCTGCCAGTACCTTGATCTTGAACTTCCCAGCCTCTAGAACTATGAGAAATAAAGGTCTGTTGTCTATAAACCACCCAGTCTACAGTATTTTGTTATAGCAGCATTCAAACCTGCTACTATTTTCCCCAACTTAAAAACCAAACCAGATCAAACAAAATGAATCCTTCTCCTCCTCAAGCATCCAATCTACTTCTTGCCCCTCTGCAACAAAACTCCTTGAAAGAGTTGTTATATACTGTCTCCTAATCTCTTCCTCTCCTTCTATGTTGAACTATTTCTAATCAAGTTCTCGCCCCTACCACCTCACTAAAATGGTTCTTGTCAGAGTCAAGAATGACCTTCACACTGATAAATCCCGTGGTCAGGTCTTGCTTCACTTGACCACCCAGCAGCACCTGACCAGCCATTTCTGCCCTCCATGAAACACACTCTATATGGCTTCCAGGTCACCACGCTCTTTTTTTTTTGGACTCAGTTCTATGCTATTCTGTCTCAGTTTCATTTTCTGGTTCCTTCTTATCTTTCCTATCTCTTAAAATAGTCTCTACCTACATGTAATTTTTTTGGTGATCTCATCCAGTCTCATAGCTTTAAATACCATCTATATCCTGGCAACTCCCAAATTTATATCTGGTTTCAGGCCTCTCCCCTGAACTGCAGACATACATACCTAACCACCTACCTGATTTAGACTGTCTAACAGGCTTTTCAGAGTTTGCATATCCATAGACAGACCCCCTCAACTCTTCAAATACATCATGCAAAATTTTTGCTTAGGGCCTTTGCATCTACCGTTCCTTCTGCCTGGAACATACACCTCCAGCTACAGAGCAGACTCTCCATAAATTATTTATTTGTTTTTATTTATTTATTTTTTGAGACAGAGTTGCGCTCTTGTCGCCCAGGCTGGAGTGCAATGGCGCAATCTCGGCTCACTGCAACCTCCGCCTCCTGGGTTTAAGCAAGTCTCCAGCCTCAGCCTCCCAAGTAGCTGGGATTACAGGTGCCCGCCATCACACCCGGCTAATTTTTATATTTTTAGTAGAGACGGGGTTTCACCATGTTGGCCAGGCTGGTCTTGAACTCCTGACCTGAGGTGATCCGCCCACCTCAGCCTCCCAAAGTGCTGGGATTACAGGTGTGATCCCACCTGCCCGGCCTAAATAGTTGTTTAAAGGATGACTTGTACAGTTGTTCTATGAATTCATTATGTGTATTTATCAGCTTTAAAGACCATGCACACTGTAAGCATGTATAGTTATATTCCTGGTCAGGAATACAAGATGCAACTTTATCTCTTCTATATCACTTGATGCACAATGTATATAAATTCAAAGTAAAGCCGCAAGTTGACCAAGACTCTCTTGCATTACAAGCCAGCTGTAGTATTCATTATGGGCTCCTCCCCAGAAGCATGTCTCTGGAATGGAGGCACCCCTTCTGCTGTGGTTGGAATTAAGAAGCACCACCGGAGCAATAAAGATTTGCTACTATACCTAATCACAGTCTAAGAAAGAGGTGCTCATTGGCATAATGTAGATCAAGAAAAACATCAAGTAGACAGATAATGCTAAAAAACAAAGTCCTCAGGCTGAATGCAGGGATGACCAGAGGATAGCAATGAGATACAGCATTTAGTGCACTATTCACAAGAGCAAAGACACGGAATCAGTCTAGTGCCCATCAGCAGTAAACTGGATAAAGAAAATGTGGTACATATATACCATAGAATACTATGCAGCCATAAAAAGATGAAATCATGTCCTTTGCAGCAACATGGAGGGAGCTGGAAGCCACAATCCTAAGCGAATTAACACAGGAACAGAAAATCAAATACTGCATGTTCTCACTTATAAGTGGAAGCTAAATATTGAGCACACATGGACATAAACATGGGAGCAATAGACACTGCAGAGTACTGGCCGGGGGTGAGTTGAAAAACTACCATTGGGGCCAGGTGCGGTGGCTCACGAGGTCAGGAGATCAAGACCATCCTGGCCAACGTGGTGAAACCCCATCTCTACTAAAATATAAAAAAAAATTAGCCGGGCGTGGTGGTGCATGCCTGTAGTCCCACCTACTCAGGAGGCTAAGGCAGGGGAATCGCTTGAACCCAGGAGGCAGAGGTTGCAGTGAGCCAAGATCACGCCACTGCACTCCAGCCTGGCAACACAGCGAGACTCCATCTCAAAAAAAAAAAAGAAAAACTACCATTGGGTACTATGCTCACTACCTGGGTGTAATATACTATGTAACAAATCAGCACATGTACTTCCTGTATCTGAAATAAAAGTTGAACTTAAAAAAGGTATGGCATTTAGAACAAACACAGCCAGGTGCAGTGGCTTTCCTTTGTAAACCCAACACTCAGGGAGACTGACGCAGGAGAACTGCTTGGAGGGCCAGGAGTTTCAGACCAGCCTATGCAACATACTGAGACTCCAAATGTACAAAAATACTTTAAAAATTAGCCGGGTATGGTGGCAGATGCCTGTAGTCCCAGCTACTCAGAGGCTGAGGTGGGAGGATTGCTTGTGCCCAGGAGGTCGTGGCTGCAGTGAACTGTTATTGCACCACTGCAGTCCAGCCTAAGTGTTAGAGTGAAATGCTGTCTCCAGAAAGAAGAAGAAACATAAACAGAGATAAAAAGTGAAAAATGAACACCTCCCAAAACAGGAAGAATATAAGGTTATTTATCTCCCCAAGACCACTTGCCCTATTTTGAGGGTTCCAAGATCAAGATGAAAAACTCTTAACTTATTCAAGAATTGAAGGAACTGCAGAGACAGCTTTTCCAGTGGAAAGAACCAAAGCCTAAGTCAGACCTGGGTGTACATCCCCAAGGCTCTCCTCTCATTCTCCTCATGGCTTCATTCGAGTTATTTTTTCATAGGCAAAATATGGTTATTTCACCTATCTCAGTGTAACCCAAGTGTACCTGATCATAAAAATAATCTGGAGTGCTTGTTAAAAACCATTAAAGGTTCCCACGTCTCATCCTAAGAGGGAGACTGGGAGAATGTAGCCTAACAAGCACCCCAGGTGAGTCTCATAAGACCAGTTGTGCAAACACTGTTTTACCTTAGTCATTTCCATAGAGAAAAATTAAATTTATGATGTGGATGAAGAAGGCATATTGAACATCTCTGTCAGTAAATACTTTGGAGACTTCTGTCTCTCACTTACATTTTGCTGTAGCTTACAAAAGCATTTATTTGGATGATTCCTCAGCAAGCCCTGAACTCTCACCCATGATCCAATCCTTGGAAGCCACTCTCAAGAAAGATTTTCAATGGTTTCCTAACTGCCAGATTCACTCCCCTCATCAGGCCTGTCTTCACAAAAGCCACCGTTGTGGCCAGCTCCTCATTCTGGACATTTTTCTTTCCTGGTTTCTACAGGACCAGTCCCTCCTGGGTCCTCATCTATCATTCTTTTTTTTTTTTTTTGGGGGGACGGAGTCTTGCTCTGTCGCCCAATGGTACGATCTCTGCTCAATGGCAACCTCCGCCTCCCAGGTTCAAGCGATTCTCCTGCCTCAGCCTCCCAAGTAGCTGGGATTACAGGTGCCCACCACCATGCCCAGCTAATTTTTGTATTTTTTAGTAGAGGTGGGGGTTCACCATGTTGGCCAGGCTGGTCTCGAGCTCCTGACCTCAGGTGATCTGCCCGCTTCAGCCTCCTAAAGTGCTGGGATTATAGGCGTGAGCCACCGTGCCCGGCCTCACCTATCATCCTTATAGTTTTCTATCTATAGAGCAGGCATTTTCCTGTTTGTACTACATGTTCTACCTAGATGGTCAATGTCTACAGCTTCACCTCCATCTATAGTATGACAGCCCCCAAACCTGTACAGGATTTATAGTTCACCATCTCTCCCCTATCCTAGTTCTGCATCTTCAGCAGGATCTACTTGTTATCACCATAACAGGCTCAGGAAACTTCTTTCCCACAATCTATTCCTGCCACTTAAAAGGGTAGCCATCCATCCTATTACCTAACATTTAAATCAGACATCAACTCTTTGTGCTCCCTCATCCTCTACATTTAAACAACAGCCATGTACTCTTAATTCTATTTCTGAAGCTTCTCTTAAATCTTTTCTGGCTGGGCACGGTGACTCACCCCTGTAATCCCAGCACTTTGGGAGGCCAAGGCGGATGGATCACCTGAGATCAGGAGTTCAAGACCAACCCGGCCAACATGGTGAAACCCTATCTCTACTAAAAATACAAAAGTAAGCCGGGTGTGATGGCATGCACCTGTAATCCCAGCTAATTGGGAGAGGCTGAGACAGGAGAATCACTTGAACCTGGGAGGCGGAGGTTGCAGTAAGCTAAGATTGCACCACTGCACTCCAGCCTGCACGACAGAGCGAGACTCCGTCTCAAAAAAAAAAAAAAAAAAAATCTTTGCCTTCTTCATTACCACAGCTCTTGCTCTAGAAGATTCTCATTTCTCATCAGAACACCTTAAAATGCTTTCTAACACATTTTCCTGCCTCAGGTTTCTTTCCCCTCTCTTCTTCCCACAGTTTTGTTTCTGTAATAGAGATCTGATAAACTTCCAAGGTTCCCTGTGCCCACTGAAAAAGAAAGGTCACACTGCTTGGTGTGGCACATAAAGCCTTTCACAATTTGGTTTCGGTGTACTTTCCTAATCTCATTTTTCTGCCTCTTGTACCAGCCCAACCCTCTCTCCCCTCTCCTTCCCAGCTCCACACTCCCCCCTTTCCATGGGGTGAACTTTTCAAAAGTTCTCTTGTCTATATTTTCCTCCATGTCTTAAATTATTCCACCTGCCAAATGAACACTGTGTATAATAAATTCTCCCATCTTTAGAGGAAATACTTAAGAACCAATCAAAATATTCAACATTTCTTGAAAGAACTGTAATTACTATATAAGGTTTTATATAATTCTAGTTCAAAGCAAAGGAACTTCACTTTTTAATGTACCTTCTATTAAATATTTAATTTCCATTAGGTTATTTTAAAATACTGGCAGTCTCATGGATCCCCATTTTTATCTTTGCAGATCTGTAGGGGTCCTGGAGCCCTGGCTTAGGAACCACTGCTCTGTGCTCACTGTACAAACTCCCTGCTCTGTGCCCTTGCTCACACTATTCTGTTGCCTACACTGTCCTTGATATTTTTCTCATTCCGGGACTCAATAACTTGCCACTTCCATTCTTTTCACTCACACTACTTTTATGTCACTTATTATCCATTCGAGGATAGTTAATTCTTTAACACAATGATCTGTCAGGCTTGGAGCTTCCTACGGAAAAGACATTTATCTACTCTCAGGGCCTAGCAGTACCTGGGCCCCAGTAAAACTAAATAAATGTTTGTTGAATGAATAAACCTTGGTAGGACAAACATATTATCTACACAAAACAATCACCACCAAAAAGGCTGAGAAGATGGGAAAAGATGTGATTTACCTAAGGTTATGCACCAAATACAAAATTTTGAACAGGAGCAGAAATTCAGGTTTTTAACTCATTATTCTGTTAACTGTAAGTTTGCATAAGTGGCAACTACTATATTACTAAAACGTGCAGCTTTTTATTCCTCTCAGAAATCTCATAGATGTCGTTCATCCTGTAATTGCTCTGATTATGTCCTCAATCCAGGAGAAATGACTTTATGCCACAATGAATACGCAATAAAAAAAGAAAAACTGTGCTGACTTAAGTTACCCAGAACACCTGCCTATTTACAGTTAAGTTTATCAAATTCTGATAAGTGTATGCTAAATTTCTTCATAAAATCATTTTAAAGGAACTTTTATTTCCTGTGGAAGTTTCCGATGTGAAAGAAGACAAGCAGGTGATAGGAGAACATTGTATGGATTAAATAGTTTCTACATTAACAACTGCTTATTTTAAAATTTCAAATATCCTTTCTGGGGGTTGGGGAGAGGGCGTTATTTCACAAAACTATAAATGTGATTTGGTTGAACCTGTTTTTTTGGCGTAGCTGAGAATCCTTTGCCCAAACTTGTGCCCTCACTAAAGGAGGCATATGTTCTTGTTTAGAAACAAAGTAGTACTGATTAGACTATACTTCCTGGTCCTCACCTACTAAGTAAATCTTCAAGTCAAACCTCCTTTACTTAAACATATGACAAGACTAGCCATGCCCCAAATCATAACAAATATATCAAAAATTACCAACTATACTTTATAACTTTGGCATATCAGCTAGACCTTAAAGACATACAATCTAAGTTTTCAGTGGTACAGGTTTAACATAAGCGTAACAGATATCCTTTTCCTGTTACATTAAAACATTTTTGAAAGTACCTTTTCTACTTTATTCTATAATTTTTTTTTTTTTTTTTTGAGGCAGAGTCTCACTCTGTCACCCAGGCTGGAGTGCAGTGGCATGATCTTGGTTCACAGCAAACTCTGCATCCCGGGTTCAATTGATTATCCTGCCTCAGCCTCCTGAGTAGCTGGGACTACAGACGTGTGCCACCATGCCTGGCTAATTTTTGTATTTTTAGTAGAGACAGGGTTTCACAATGTTGGCCAGGCTGGTCTTGAACTCCTGACCTCAGGTGATCCGCCTGCCTTGGCCTCCCAAAGTGCTGTGATTACAGGCGTGAGCCACCACGCCCGGCCCTATGAAAGACTTTTAATCAAAATGGTCATTTACAAATAGAATGGAATTAAACACACAAATTTATCTCCTCCCCTCACATTTAGCTCTGCAACTTACAAGTTTTCTCCTTTGTATTTTAAAACAATTTGTAATAAAAATGTATAAGAAGTTCCCCTCTTACAAAAAAGGAGAAAAGCAAATGGAGTTATCAGGCAATGTTTAGGGAGTAAAGAGACACGCTGAAGCTACAGCTCACAGCAACTGATAAAGACAGGTCCTCTCTGCAATCTGGAAGATGCCTATGAATGCAGGGACCTGAGATCAGATAAAAAGCAATCTCCCATCCCTGTCCACATAGTCTAAGCACAGTCCTGGCATCAATTAAGCTAAAGACAATTGCAGACACAAAGGATAGTTCATTACTTGCCTGAAGTATATTTATTTTGGCTTATTACTTGCTTTGAAAGTTCTGTGTAAATTCTTCCTTAAAGGTGACTGTTAGTTAACTTTAAAAGTCTGGAGTTGGGTGAGTGAATAGGAATAGGACTATATGACTGAGCTTCCTTTCAACATGGTATTCTGATATGCTACTATTCAAGGGTCCTAGTAGTTAAAAAAACAAACAAAAAAATGATTATAAATCTGAAAGTCTGAGGAAGACTAGATTTCTGTACCTTTGTTTCACATCAGATCACTTTGTAAAACGACAGAGGAAAAAAAGAGAAATTATATCATCTTATATTTGCAAATATTTTCATGTTATCTCATTTAATAAAAAAATCAGTTTGCAGATGCACAAATTGAAGAAGCACCAGAGATTAATGTCAAATTTAGAAATACTTTTGTTAGAGAGGAATTAGAGCCAGAGGAAAAAGGAACATGTACTTTGCAAATTAGTGATAGTTAAGATAAAACTAGTTCTTTAGAACTTCTGAGATTGTCAGAATGTCTTCCCAACCCATCCCAAGAACCCCAAGTAACACTTTGCAATTTGCTATTTGTGTTGAAGTCAGAAGACTGGTAATTCACAAAATTACATAAACATATGTAAAATCTAACAGTGAGGTGATGAGACTTTCTTCCCAACTTTCTGCAATGACCATCCCACTTAAATATCAACTAATGTAATGTTTAGCAGAAGAACATGGACAACGAGATTGGTACCAGAAAAACAAGTTTATTTTAGCTAACTTTTAAAGAAAATAAATAGCTTATTCACTCATTCACATGCTTGATATGCAGAGTAAGCACTTAGAATGAAACTTGAAAATTCCATCAAGAGAAAAGTATCAATGAACTGGTGAATCTCGGATTGCTTCTTGAGTATCAAAAGACAACATGCAAAAATAAAGATAATTCCACACCTCCTCCTTTTTAAAAGTTTTGCCAGTACTGCAGTTCTTCACAGCTGTTCATAGTAAACGCTTGGTTAATTCAAATCTGTTCCCCTAATACTCCTTGAAACAAACAGAATTACCGGTCTATTATTACTGAACTAATTAATATTCTCTGGGTTTTTATCTTTTTTTAAGAGCATTTAGAAAAAACTTTTATAAACTGCGTATTTATCTCCTGTTGACTATCAACTTATTCAAGGTTTCTCAAACATTCCACACTATCTTAAGTCCACACTACAAGGCAGACCCCAAAACTGGGCTCTATCTCTTCCTAGGCAATTCTGTTTGGTGATCATGTATGCTCTTCAAGCCAAAATTCCTGTTTTCACTGCAATTTATGAGAAAGAAATGATCCTCCTGTTTGCTAAGTGGATCTTCTCTAACTACCTTCACCTCATCACCTGTTCCTTTCATTTTCCTTTTCTTTTTTTTTTTGAGACGGAGTTTCGCTCTTGTTGCCCAGGCTGGAGTGCAGTGTCACGATCTCAGCTCACTGCAACCTCCGCCTCCCAGGTTCAAGTGATTCTCCTGCCTCAGCCTCCCGAGTAGCTCGGATTACAGGCACCCGCCACCATGCCTGGCTAATTTTTTGTATTTTTAGTAGAGATGGGGTTTCATCATGTTGGCCAGGCCGGTCTCAAACTCCTGACCTCAGGTGATCCACCCGCCTTGGCCTCCCAAAGTGCTGGGATAACAGGCTGAGCCAATGCGCCCAGCCCCTTTCATTTTCATTCTATCTACACAGGCTCCCTCTTTTCAGTACATAAGTAAGTTCGGAGGTTCCTTCTCCTAAAAATTACCTCATCAGTGAGGAAAGGAGGGATTGGGGCAGAAGGGCCTGAATCTTTAACCTCTTGCAATTTGAGTATTGTCTCTGCTGCTTCATTTAAACTCTTTAAGTGTGCTCATCGCCAAATCTTTCTTCCCAGTCCTCCTCCTGTACCTCCAACCTAGCCAGCTGTATTTCTGTCTCCTTTGCTGGCTCATCTTCCTCCCTAAAATAAAAGGCATTTCCTGAGGTTTTCTCATGAGCTTTCCCTTTCCCACAGCTTCACCTATTCATATTTATGCTGCCTTCTCACTGGCTCTAGTCACTCATTTCCACCCGCCTACCTCCCTCTGGATGTCCTGCCTGCACCTCCGAGTCACATGTCCAACACCAAACCCCTTACCTTTTCTTCCCTGCTCCCTTAAACCTCTTTTGTCAACTTCTGGCCACGCAGTCTCAATCTCTGGACAAGGGTACCAAGAAAGGAAGAATGCATTCACTTGCCAGGAACCTAGATTTTGCATCAAATATCTCAACTCTGTCCCCTCTGTCCTATACCACTTTACACTAAACCTCTCATCTGAACTGCTATAACACTCTCCTTTTGGTATTCTTAACTCAAGTTTTCAGTACACACTATTGCTAGAGAAACATTCCTTAGGTGTAATTTTGATCAAGCCTGGCACTCAGGATACTCTACCCAACATTTCTCAAACTTTAACGTGCATGTGAATCACACGGTGATCTTGTTAAAATGCAGATACTCTCATTCAGGGAGTGTGGGGTGGTGCCCCACTCCGGAGTTTTAACATACTCCCAAGTGACAATGATGCTATTAGCATCAGACTATATGCATATACAGTCGGCTCTAACCTATTTTTTCTATCCTCATCTACTTCTCCCTGCCTAGCATACATATGTGCATGTCTATATCGCTTACGTACACACACACACACACACACACACACACACACACACACACACAGACATACACAGAGACAAAATGTTTTCCAAACATAATCTCCGGCCTCTGTGCCTCTTGCTGTTTCCTCAAGTCCAGTGACTTTCCATTACAATTTTACCCATTTTTCAGGAACCAACTCATTCTGCCACAACCTTCTCTTATCTTCTTACCTACCCTCACTCCCATACCTCACCTAGTAGAACACCACAAAAACCTTGGGACATCCCTGACACTGGCACTGTTTCTAGTCTGTAATGTTGTTATAGGTCTTCTCGTTTCATCCGTACTGTTAGACTGCACACTCTCCTGGAAGGCAGGAACTACCTGCCTAACCTCTGCCACCCAGGGCATCCTTGGGCTCTTGTTAACCAGTAAGTACCTGTTGAAGTGGATTTGAATTCTAAGAAAAAGAAAACGTCTCAACTCTACTTCATGTAATTCATTTTGAGCAGGAGCTTCAGAAATTTATGATAAACAAAAACACTCTTCCAGGAAAACTGACTCATTAGCAAACCTAAGAAAACTTTGTTTTATATATATATATTTACAAATGTTTATATATTCAAATGGTGCCTAGAGAATTTTAGTACTTATCCTATTTATAGTAGTCTCCAGATATATAGATCAAAGTTCTAATATTAATTTAAAATTAAATCTAACTTGTTACGATCTAGTAATGACTATAAGTCTAAAATATGTTCCAATCCAGAGCCCAGCCTTCCCTAGTTTAATTTACTTAATGCTCCCTTTAGCACTCCATTTATAAAATGGGACATCACTTTCTCCACGGGTGTGATAAGATTGGCTGTCCCCCAAATTTACTGTTAACATGCCTTACATTGTGTCTAGACTTTGAAAAGTGCTTTAAAACAATCACCTTGAAGTAACATTTTTTGAATGCTGAGAAACTCAAAGAAAACCCTATATTAAATGTTTATACAGTAAACCCCTTATTCAAGAACCTAACCATGGCTCTTAGGTTCAAGAACCAATATTCAAGAATCTGACTATAGCTCTTAAACTTTAGCGTGCAAGAATTATCCGGCGTGCTTGTTAAACACGCAGATGCCAGGCTCTTACCCAGGGAATGTCTCATTCAGTAAAACTGGGGTAGGGCCTAGAAAACTGTAGATTTCACCAGCAACCCCAGGTGATTCGGATGCAGGTGTTCCGCAGATCTCAATTAGACACTGATCTCAATCCTTGTCCGGGGGCACTACAGAGTTGTGTTTGAAAGAAAATGCAGACGTCTTTTGCTAAAGTCCTTTCTCAAAACAGCTGTCACGCCAGCACAGACAGGAGGTGATGTGCGTAAGGAAAAAGAGGGAAAGGTTCCTTGGAAGAGAATCAATGCCCGAAAACAATGAAAGAGGGGAAGTGGCGTTTCTTTGCAACCCTGGAATTCCATTCTCCCGCACCTGCGAGGATGCTGCTCTGACCCGTCGGCCAGCACCAGGCCCTCGGGAGCCGAGCCCAGGCAGGTCGCTGGCCGGGGGATGGGAGGGCGTCGTGGCCCCGCGCTCGTCCCCAGGTCGCCAGCTGCCCTCCGCAGCCGAGGGAAGACGCCCGCCCGGGTCCCGGATCTCCGCCCCCCTACACCGCATCCTCCGCGGCTCGCGCGCGTAAACAAGTTGCCTCCCCCGGGTCGGCAGCCCCTCACCTGCCGCGCGGTCGCAACTCTGTCTCATCGTCTGGTTCCGGACCCCGAGGCTCCTGCTCTCCCGCGGCTGCCGGCAGCGCCTCAGCGTCCTCCACAGTCACCTCGGCCGCAGCCACGGCGCCCGCCGCCGGTACTCGCGTCGCTGAGGTGGGAGCAGCGGCCGCCCCGAGGCCGAACGCCGCCTCCGCCGTCGGCGCTGGGAGGCCACGGGCGCGCCCCGCGGCCACCGTCCTTGCCGCGAGCCCCAGCAGCAGCAGCAGCAGCAGCAGCGCCCGTACCAGCAGCCCCGGGCTGATGGCGCGCTCCATCAGCGTCCCGCCCCGCGCGCAGGCATGGAGGCGCAGCCACTGACGCCTGCCTCTCCCGCCGCTTGGAGCTCCCAAGAAGGCAAGGACGTGCTAGGGACCCTACTGCCGCCCCGACGGCCTGGACAGCCAGCCGTGTTCCCCTGGCCACGTCTCAGCCCGGCCTCTGCCGCTGCCACCTGAGTGACAGCCTATCTCGGACATCGCCCATTGAGCAAACTTTCCGCGCGTTTGCTCTCTCATTGGCTGCGGCCGCTGCCACTCCATGTTCCCAGGCTGGCCTTGTTGGGGAAGGTGGACTTTCCCTGGTGGTCAACATCGCACCTACCAATCAAATCGTAATTTCGTCGTTCGAGGCCCGTCCCTCTTCCGGACGCAATTACCAATGAGAAATGCCCTTCCCCGACGTCTTTTTACCTGATTGGTGCGCTCATCAGTTCCCGGAATACCTTTCCTACAACAGATTGGCCATCGCGGTGGTTGGCCTCGCCCCACAAAGCGAGGCGCTGGAGAAGACTTGAAGATCATTGGTGGAAGTGGATGTCCCTCAAAGGTCTGCGCTAACTGCCTCTTGATTGGTTGGAAGCGGCACTTACTACGTGGCGGATTCTGACTGTGAAGAGGACTGTCCCAAGTGAAGAGTGGGAGGCAAGTGCCTTGTGACCGGGAGGAGGTCGACCTTAAAGGAGCTGGTATTGTAGCTCTTCTAAAGCCTAGTCTACTTAGGAAGGCAAAAGCGAAGCAGCAAGAAGTGGCCACAGAAGCCGTGTGGTCCCTAGAAGTAGAAGGGTAAGGAGGATGCAGGAGATGGTCCTACTTGTGGCCGCAACGGGGCTCAGAAGTCCGCTTGTTAGAGATGGCAGTGACCTGTGACAATCCAGTCTGCCCGACACGCCTCCCGCCTCCTTAGGAACGGGAAGGAGCCCCGGCCCAGTGCACTGACGTAGTTAGCCTAAGATCACGTAGCTGGTTGGTCACAGAATCATGACTTTAATTCATGTCTTCTGACTCTGACCTGGCACGCTTTGTACCTCACCAAAGACAGTGATGAAATTGCAAAAGGGCAGAGTGGAGAAGACTGGAATGTTCAGCCAAGGCATTTGAACTTTTAATGCTGCAAGTCAAGACTTCCTGAAGATTTTTGAGCAGATGAGTGAAGTGATAAGAAAATGCATCTTCAGCAGTGACAGCATCAACGAGGAGGAGACTGGCCGGGAGGCTATTACCCGCATCAAAACCAGTGAACATTAAAAAAAATTTTTTTTTTAGAGAGAGGGTCTTGCTCTTTTGCCCAGGCTGGAGTGCAGTGGCTTGACCATAGTTCTCTATAACCTTGAATTCCTGCGTTCAAGCGATCTTCCTTCCTCAGCTTCCGGAGTAGCTGGGACTACAGATGCGTGCCACCATGCCAGGCCAATTTTTAATTTTGTTTTGTAAAGATGGGGTTTCTGTGTTGCCCAGGTTGGTCTCAAATTCCTGGCCTCAAGCCATCCTCCCGCCTCAGCCTCCCAAAGTGCTGCAATTTACGGGCATTAGCCACCGCACCTGGTCCAAAACCGGTGAAGATTTGTTAAGGTGTTGGCAATATGGGTATACCTAGATTATCCTTCATCTGCTAAAAACATGCTCTAATCTCTCCCCAGCCCAAAACAAACAAGAAACCTCTCTTCCCCTTCCAGCTCCTACCACGTGTCTTTGCTCCTCTGTATGGCAAAACTCAAGTGTTCAAAATTCCTTATCTTCAATTCCTCTTCTCCCATTCCCAAGTACACTACAGTCAGGCATTCACACCACCAAAACTGCTCTCGCTGAGGCCACCAGTGCTGTATTCAAAGGATAATCTTTGTTTTATCAGCTGTATTTGATCCAGCAACTCAAGTTTTTCCTGTCTAGAACACCTTTCACCGGTCTTCTTGCTTCTCCATAGTGCTGGTCGTAACCCTCAAAAGGTCCCCCAGTTCACTCAGGATAAAAGTCAAGTCCTTAAAATAGACTACAGGGTGCTACAGCATCTGGTTCCTATGGCTTTTCTGATCTCATTTCATACTGTCTTTGCTCACTCCACTGGGCCAATCAAGACCCACCTGGGGGGTTTTCCTTTGTTGTTTTGCCTGCCTAGGAAACTTCCCAGGTATATGAGTTTGCTAGAGTTGCCCTAACAAATACCACAGACCAGGTGGCCTGAACAAAACTAGTTTATTTTCTCGAAGTTCTGGAGGCTAGAAGTCCAAGATCAAGGTGGGATTCTGAGGCCTCTCTCCTTGGCTTGCCGATGACAGCCCTCTTACTTCCTCTTCCCTCTGATGTCTCTTCCTATTCTTCTAACACCAGTCAGATTGGAGTGTGGGGCTACCTTTAACAGCCTCATTTTAACTTAATCACTGCTTTAAAGATCTTATCTCCAAATACAGTATAGTTATATTCTGAAGCACTAAAGGTTGGGACTTCAACATGTAAATTTTGGAGGGACACAATTTAGCACATAATACCCAGGTACCCACAAGATATGTTCCCTCACTTTATTTGAGGCTTTGCTAATCCCAGTGAAGTCCCTCCTCACTACCTTATTTAAAATTAAAACCTCCACCACCTTCCTTCCTTTATTTCTCTCCTGCTTTATTTCTGCTTAGCCGATACATACATTACAAATATGTAAATACTGTAATTTACATATTTGTTTTGTTTATTGTCTGCTGTGTTTCCTTCCACTTGCATGTAAATTCTGTGAAGATTTGCTCATTGATGTATTCGAAGACATAAAACAGTGCAAAGTGTTTAGCAAGCATTTAATAAATGTTTGTTGAATGAATGAATGAATGAATGAATACCTGAGGACAGAAGGAAAGAGACAACTGGAAAGGAAGAGACTGCAGTTGCTGTAGACAGAGGGGGTTGATTACGAGAGCAAGATTCCAGAGTATCTGGAGGAAAAGGGGCAGCTCTGCCTTCCATGTTGAAAGTAGAGCGTAGGAGGTATTCCTAGAGAGTAAGTTATTTTGAAAAGTAGAGAAAATAGATGAGCGAACTCAAACCAATTGACCATTATCTACTCAACAAAATAGGAGATAAAATTGCCCACCTAAAAGGGATTATACTAGTTGGTATGAGGAAGGTGTCAGAAAATTAACATAAGATGAAAAATGATTGTTAACTACCTGTTTGAAATTAGTGTATATATTTTAGTGGGCCTGGTCTTCATGGTTTTGTAATTTTTTCAAAAAATGATCATGGCATGAACAAGGCTATTAATCTGAACTAATGAATTAGGAGTCTACTTGCCACCTGTAAATACTGTGGAAGTTTTATTTATTCATTTAACATTCAGGGATTCCACATGACCACCTGCAAATAATGAGAATAAAGATATGAACAAAATAGATGTGGTTCCCGCCCTTCTGAAGGTTAACACCTATCTAGTTAGGGAGACAGACATTAACAATCACACATATATTATTAAAACTGAGATAAGTGCTATGATGAAAAAGGCGCGGGCAGAAGAGCACAGTGGTGGAAAATGCCAGTAAGGAGAGTCAAGCTTTATACTTGGGAACAAAACACAAATTTTCCATTTTGGAAAAAAAGCCTGAGTCGAAGTGTGCTGACTGGGAAAATAAATTAAGGAGAGAAAAGAGAGTCTACCTGCTTTAGGACAGCATGGAGCTTCACAGTGACTTTGTGGGAACTCTGGAACCTGGGTGCCTCAGGGAAATGTAAGAAAGTGGGGACCGGGCATGAGAGCTGGCCCGTGAGGCTGGGCCAGGAAAAGAAGCTGGTGCTCAGGTACCCTGAGCCAGGGTTGCCCAAAACAACCAAGATTCTACAACTGAGTGTGGCCCAAAAAATCAGCAAAATAGGTCTGAGATTTAGAAACAGTGAGTTCAATCCCTTAACAGAGAGAGACTGCATCTGTTGAAATGATATTTGATTGTGAATAACAAAAACGTTGCCATATAGTGGGTGAAGCAAGAAGTGGGTTTTTTTTTTTTACTGACACCACAGCTCTACAGTGATGTTTTATTTAAACTTATGCTCCTTCTGTTTCTCCATGCTTCATGGGTGACTTTGTTCCTTTTGCCTGTCGTCTCACTGTTTTGGGATGGCAACTCCAGTATCATTTCTTTATTATAGGTAGGACAAAGAGGAATGACAAAAGGCATGTAACCACCTGAATTTGCCCCTATCAAAGAGCTCTCCAGGAAGCACCACCAAGGAATTTTCACTGACATTTCCCAGGCCAGACCATGCTGCTGCTAAGCAAAATGAGGATTCTGCTAGTGAGGATGAAAGGAAGAATGTGTAATCAGTTTTCTTGAAGTATAATACATGTACAATAAACTGAACCTATTGGAAATATACATTTGGATGAGTTTTGACAGATGTATATACCACAGTCAAGATACAGAACATTCCCATCACTCCAAGAGATTCTTTGTGTCCCTTTGTGGTCAATCCCTCCTACACGAGGCCCCTAGGTAACCGCTGATCTGTTTTCCATCACAATAGATTAGTCTGCATATTCTAGCATCTTTAATAAATGCAGTCATACAGTATGTACTTTTGTGTCTTACTTTTTTCACTCCATATAATGTTTTTAAATTTATTCATGTTGTTGAATGTAGCAATACTTAGTTCCTTTTTACTGCTGAGTAGTACTCTGCTTTATATGTTCCATGTTTCTTTATCCATTTACTTGTTGGAGTACATTTGGTATATTTTCAATTTTTGGCGATTACACATAAAGCTACTATGAGAACATTTATGTACGTACAGGTCTTTTTGTAGATGTAGGTTTTTATTTCTCTTGGGTAAATACCTAGATGTGGAATAACTCGCTCATATAGTAGATGGATGTTTAACTTTATAAGAATCTGCCAAGCATTTTCACAAAGTGATGTACCATTTTATACCCCCACCAGTGGTGCACGAGAGTTCAAGTTGTTCTATATCCTCACCAACATTTGGTAATTGTCTTTTTAATTCTAACTATTCTAGTAGGTATGTGATGCCATTTCATTGTAGCTTTGGTTTGCATATCCCTGACGACTAGTGATTTTGAACATCTTTTAATGTGCTTGTTGGACATTATATATCATCTTTTGTAAAATGTCTATTAAAAGTGTTTATAAAGAGAGAAATGTTTATGGGTAGGCACTCTTGAAGAGTTTGCCACACAGTGAAATTTGTTGTGTTGTACCAGTTAGCTATTGGCATAGCAATGCTGTGTAAGCAACCATCCCAAAATTCAGTGGCTTTAAACAGCAAAAATGTATACTCTGACACCCTTCACCTGGAGTTGCCTGATCTAGCTAGAGCACGATTTTCTTATGGCAATGGAAGAAACACAATTAAGATGGGTGGAAACTTACATGGCCTCTTAAAACTAGTATCAGAACTGGAGCACTTATTATTGGAGCAGGATGGACTAAAGCAAGGCATATGACTAGGCCTAACATCAAAGAGGCAGGACAACATGCCCTGCCTCTAGTGAAAGAAACTGCAAAGTCATGTGACAGAGGGCATGGAACTAAAATGTAATTGTAGCAAGGAATTAGCTCATCAATGTTTCTTAAAGTGTGGCCCTGGACTGACTTCATCAGAAGTTCAAGGAATGGGGTCCAGGAATCTGCAGATTTTCCTTTTTTTTTTTTTTTTTTTTGAGATGGAGTTTCGCTCTTGTTGCCCCGGCTGGAGTGCAATGGTGCAATCTTGGCTCACTGCAACTTCCATCTCCCGGGTTCAAGCTATTCCCCTGCCTCAGCCTCCTGAGTAGCTGGGATTACAGGAAGGCGCCATCATACCCGGCTAATTTTGTATTTTTAGTAGAGACAGTTTCTCCACGTTGGTCAGGCTGGTCTCGAACTCCCAACCTTAGGTGATCCACCCACCTCAGCCTCCCAGAGTGCTGGGATTACAGGCGTGAGCCACTGCGCCCGGCCTAAATCTGCAGTTTTAACAAACACCCTAGGAGATTCTACCACAAGTACTATAAGAGTAATCAGTTATATCTGTTCCTGAACCTAGCATGAACAATTGCTCCACAATGGCTTCACAATCGCTCATGCTAGGTTCAGGAACAGATATAACTGATTGTACATAATGAGATACTACTCCATATATATTAGAATAGCTATTTTTAAAAATACAATATCAAGTGCTGGCAAGAATATATGAGCAATTCCTCACACATTGCTGGTCTGAAGGTAAAATGGTACAACTATCTTGGAAACAGCTTGGCAATTTCTATTACAGTTAAACATACACTTACCATATGACATGGTTTGGCTCTGTGTCCCCACCCAAATCTCATTTCAAATTGTAATCCCCACATATTGAGAGAAGGACCTGTTGGGAGGCGATTAAATCATGGGGATGATCCCCCCATGCTGTTCTTGTGATAGTGATCACAAGAGCTGATGATTTTAAAGTGTGGCACTTCCTTGTGCTTTCTCTCTCCTGCCACCTTGTGAAGAAGGTGTTTGCTTCTCATTTGACTTCCACCATGAATGTAAGTCTCCCGAGGCCTCCCCAGCAATGTGGGACTGTGAGTCAATTAAACCTCTTTCCTTTATCAATTACCTATCTCAGGTAGTATTTTTTTATTTTTATTTTTTTGAGACAGAGTCTCGCCTTATCTCCCAGGTTGGAGTTGCAGTGGCATGATCTCGGCTAACTGCAACCTCCACCTCCCAGGTTCAAGTGATTCTCTTGCCTCAGCCTCCCAAGTAGCTGGGATTATAGATGTGTGCCACCACACTCAGCTAATTTTTGTATTTGTAGTAGAGATGGGGTTTCGCCATGTTGGCCAGGCTGGTGTTGAACTCCTGACCTCAAGTGATGCACCCGCCTTGGCCTCCCAAAGTGCTGGGATTACAGATGTGAGCCACTGTGCCCTGCCCTCAGGTAGTATCTTTGCAGGAGTGTGAAAACGGACTAATACACCATATGACTCAACAATCCCACTCCTAAGTTTTTACTTAAGAGATAAAAACGTATATTTGTAAAAAGGCCTGTAGGCAAATGTTTATAGAAGCTTTTTTACATAATTGCTCCAAACTGGAAATGTCATAATGTCTCTCCACTAGTTAACGGGTAAACAAATTATAGTGCATTCATATGCTGGAATACTACTCAGCAGTAAAAAGGGACAACCTACTGATGATATGAATGACAAGGGTGCATTTCAAAAGTGTTGAACCAAGTAAAAGAAGCCAGATACAGAATATTATATACTTTATGATTCCATGTATTGACATCTGCAAAAGATAAAACCATAGTGACAAAGGAGATGAGATTGACTAACGAAGGACACAAGGAACCTTTCTTAGGTGACGGAAAGATCCCAAATCTTATTGGTGGTGGTGGTGATGTCAGTATATAAGTTTGTCAAACTTATAGAAGTGTATACGTAAGAAGGGTGAATTTTACTGTATATAAATCATATATTAATAGACCTGACTTAAACAAAAAGCAATACAGATTTTTCTCCTCCACTTTGCCCCAAAAAAGGCAGAAGGATGTGAAAACAGATTTTGTTTGTTTAAAAACTGAAATTTCAAAGATTTTAACCAATGAAGTGACAAGACAAACACAAAAAATTAAATGTAGCTTGCTTTGATGTGACATACGACACATCAATAAGGAGTTTTGGGGTGCACTTTAAGCACTAGAAGTTGTTTGAATAACAAGGATGGAAAGAGGAATTCAGGAGGTTCTGCTTAAAAAATGCAGAGCACATAGCAACACGCCTGGTCTTCTGGTGGCTATTTCAACATTTAAAAGGACAATTATAGTTGGATCATGTGTAAAATGGGCCTGAAATATCCAAATTCCTACATGAAAGACAAGGGGTTGTTGTAACCATAGCAAGGAAGCAGCTTATCGATGTTTCTTAAAGTGTGGCCCTGGACTGACTTAATCAAAAGTTCAGGGAATGGGGTCCAGGAATCTGCAGTTTTAACAAACACTCTAGGAGACTCTTACGTATACTAAAAGTGGAGGAACATGGCACTTTGGACTTAATATGTTTGATAAATTGTGGATTTTGTGAAATTCATAATTTTTCTATATGCCTATAATTTATTTACATGTGCATAGTTTATATCAGTAATTCTTTACATTGAAGTGCTACTTGAGAGTCCATTATCACTCCCAGCAATCCCCCACCAATTCAGAGGCCTTTAATTTCTCCTTTACGATGTACTAGAAAATTCTTCCTGGCCATAGCAAACTCATCTCAGATGTTTGCAACTTGACTGTGGGTCATGACCACTTCACTGTAGTCACTGCACAGAACTCCTAGACACAGCCCCTAAGTAGGAGGCTGCTCTTCACCCACAGCTTCCAACCAAACTTTATTTTCTATACCCACCACACAAGACTGCATGTGCAGATCAAACTTTGCTGAAAGGATGGGCTAATTAAAGCAGGAACTCCCAAAATTAATGCTGCCCTTGGGGGTCCCCTCGCATGCATGCTTCTATTCCTAACCCGGCTTTCTGTCCTCTATTCTTCTGTCTTGGATACATTTACTTTCACTTCTTTTCACCTTCTTACCCACAGAAATTGGTCTCAGCCCAGGACTCACTGCCTCCCCCATTGTATTTGTCAGCTATTGTCACAATAATCTTTATAACAAACTACCCTAAAACTTTAACAATAATTTGTAATACTATTTGTTTAACAATAGTAATGTATTCATCTTCATAAGTCTGCATGTCATTTGGGGCTTGGCTCCAAACTAAGCTGGACCCAGGTCTACTCCACTGGTCTCTCATCCTCCTTGGAAGAATGGTCTACCTGGAGCATGTTCTTCTCATGGCAATAATAGAAATACAAGAGGGCAAGGCCTGCCACACATATGTATTTCAAGTCTCTGCCTTCCTATGTCTATGAAAAGCTCTGTAGCCAAAGTATGTCACATGGCCAAGTTCAAAGTGCAGGGATTGGAAAGCACACTCCACATACCATGAGGTCACAGCTAGAGTGTGGATGTGTATGCTGCCACAGGGGAGAGAAGCATTGTGACCATACATTCAGTCAGCCATACCCGTCATGAGTATTTCTCTCCTGTCTGAGTAACTAAGTCTAGAGAAATGCCTTGGTGCTTCACAAGGACAGTAATTGATAATTATAAACCCTTGAATTTATATAGTCTGGTCCAGTCCTGGGCCAATATGGATGATCCATTCTGTTCCTTTTGGTGAGTGCTCCAAAAGGGGGATTTGCAAGCATGTATGCATAAATGCAGAAACAAATGCTAACACATGTGCCTGTGCACACTTATATACATGAGCATGTGTACATGTGAACTCTTAAGTACAAACAAGAGGATTTTCCTAACTGCTTTATAAATTGCAAAGAATTCTATTTCATAATGATTTCAGGACTTCACATTGTACTGAGAAATATCAGTGCCTTTTCTTCAAACTTGCCTCTTCCTTCTTCATAACCAAACTCCAGGAGCCAGATCTCTGGACCTCTAAATAGCAAATTCTCTTAAATGCACAAAGCCCCTTGCAAAGCTTTGAAAATGCCGCTGTAAAATTCTTACCCAAAGTCTTCATTACTTTCATTTTCTGTCTAGGGGGAAGAGAGGGAGTAATTTTATTTTTCCAGTTGTTTGTAATTCTTCAAATTCAGGAAGAAATAGAGGCAATGTAGAGCATAGCACTGACCCTGGAACTGCCAAGTAACTCGCCGTGTGCTCTGAAAGAATCTGCTTCTCCTCTCTAAGTCTCACAGTGTTTTAGGTGGCATCTTGGACCAGGCACTGCCTTGGTTACTTATACCAGGGACTCTCAGCGGCCATTTGTACCGGGTGGACTCTGAAGTCAGTTTCTTCCAGTGTTCTCAATGGGCACTTACACCAAGGGCTGTCTTTAGTCACTTCATTTCCATTTTCTATAATGTTCTGCCTCTTTTCTCTGTAGAGAATGTTTACACAATTTTATAATCAGAACAATCTAAACAACCAGGTGGCAATAGTAAGCACAAATGCGAAGTATCACTTTGTATCACTAACAATAGATGAAATTATTTCATATGGTGGACATCAGCATATTCCTAATGGTCAGCAAGTATAGAATAAGATTTCAAATTTCTTATGTTTTTATTTGGATGATTTTTAAAAAATATAATGTAATTATAGGATAGTCTGGCTAAACCCTTTTGGCATTTCAGGGCCAAAACTTGCATTTGTGTCTATCAAACCAGCACCAAGTAATGCTATCTTAATTGTTACAGGCAACTGAGAAAAAGTAAGATGCATATTTTATATAAATGATTCATTGCTACCAAATAAATGTCAAATGACTGGTATCCTCTAAAAGCAAGTGTTACACAGTGGTTCAAATAAAGAAAAGTCGTGGGAGAATTTAGTCCTCACATAGAATGTAGTTTTGTCAGTGGGCCAGATTGAAAACAACCTGTCTTAGCTGTCACTATGGTATTTGTTTTCAGAGTAGTGCTGTAGTTTCATTAAATTATCATCTGTTGGGCATCAGCTACCAGTACTGACATGGTCGCTGGTTTTAGACCACATATCTCACTGAGATTGACTGTTAAGTTAGATTAAAAAAAAAATCTTTGAAGGTATCAGAAAGCAACCACAGCATCCAAGACCTGAGGGGCTAAGAATGAGAAAGAAACAAAAAGCAATTAGATCAGGGTAATACTCCCTACCATTTTCTCTCTTGAGACATTTAATGAATTATAAGCAAAAAGTGCAGGGTCTAGGGCCATGCAGGAAGGTGCAGCTTAGAGAGCTTTTAGGAGTCTTATAAGGCCACAGAGACAAAATGTGGAGTTCAGGGCTAGCAAGAAAACCAGCATTAAAAGGTTAAAGATCCCATAGAAAAGCGAATGGCTGAAAAGTGAGACTGATAGTTTTTTTTCCCCCCATTAAGGCAGTTGCTGGTTCCTAAGTCATTCAAATAAGAGAGATTAAAAAACAAAAAAACAAACAAAAACTACGTAGTGAGAGACAGGTAAGAAGCTAAAAAGTGAAAGTCTCATTGTGCTGAGGAGTCAAAAATTGGAGGTCAGTCTAGCAAAGAGTTGAAGCTTTGAAAAATACCTCCACACTTTCAGCTGAGACTTCTGACAGACTGCAGATAGGAGTAAGGGCAAAGCAGAAATAAACTAGCCTCAAAAAACCTAAAACCCAGCCTCAAAGTATCAAATTACCTAATTGGATTAGGGTGATCTGCCCCTACTCTGTCTGCCAGAAGAAAATTAAATTGTCTTTGAAGAAGGAAAACATCACACAGAGCTTCTATAATTTTTCATATACAATGTCTAGCATCTGAGTAAAAATCTCTAGGTAATGTCAATAAATAGAACCAAGTGACAGAAAATAAAAAGTAAAAAACAGAAACAGATTAGACTTAGAGAAGATTGAGATATTGGTGTTATCAGACACAGGCTATAAAATAATTGTGGTTATTTTATAATCATCCTTAAAAAAGGATAATCATCCTTAAAAAAGATGACAAAATGGAGAATTTCATCAAAGACCTGCAATCTATTCGAATCTATCAGAAACTTTTAGAACTTAGAGATAAATTAATTGACATACAAATGATTCATAAGCACATAAAAATGCTCAACATCATTAGTCATTGGGGAAATGCAAACCAAAACCACAATGAAACACCACTTCACACCCACCAATATGCCTAAAATAAAAAAGGCAGTAACAAAGTTTGGCCAGGATGTGGAAAATTTAAACCCTCGTACCTTGCTGGGGGTGCAAAATTGTGCTGAAACATTGAAAAACAGTTTGGCAGTTTATCAAAATGTTAAACATAGTTACTATATGACCCAGAAATTCCACTCCTTGGTACATACCCACGAGAATTGAAAACATATATCTACACAAAAACTTGTACAGCAATGTTCATAGCAACATTATTCATAATAGCCAAAAAGTAGAAACAACCAAAATGTCCATCAACTTATAAATGGATAAGCAAAATGTGATACATCTATACATGGGAATACTATTCTGCCATAAAAAGGAATGAAGTACCAACACATGCTGCAACATGATTGAGCCTTGGTAACAAATGCCAAGTGAAAGAAGCCAGTCGTAAAAGGCTACCTATTGTATGATTCCATTTATATGAAATGTCCAGAATAGGCAAATCCACACAGACAGAAAGTAGTGTTTAGTGGTTGCCAGGGTCTGGGAGAGGAGAGAATAGGGGATGACTGCTAATGTGCTTGGAGTTTCTTTTGGGGATGATGAAAATGTTCTGAAATTAGATAGTGGTGATGGTTGTATGACTCTAGGACTATACTAAAAAACTACTGAATTATACACTGTAAAAGATTTCATGGTATGTGGATTTAGTTCCCAAACGCTATTATTTAATTAAAAGAAACAATTAATTAATTAAAATTAAGAATTTAGTACATGGGTTTAACAACTGCTGAGAGAATTAGTGAACTGGAAAACTTCTCAGGAAAAAAAAATTCCAATTGAATCACAGAGAAAAAATATAATGGAAAATGTAGGGAAAAAACATAAAAGATACAGGGAACATTGTGAAAAGGTTTACATATGTGTAATTGGAGTCTTCAAGAAAGAGAGAAGGCAGAAGAAGTATTTAAAGAAATACTAACAATTTACAAAAAATTGGTTTAAAAAAACCACAGATTCAAAAATTTCTTTGAACACCAGGCAATTTAAATACAAAACAAAACCACATGTTGATCCATCTAGCGAAACTGCTGACAAACAAAGATCAAAGAGACATTCTTAAAAGAAGCTCTGGGGAAAAAATACACATTGCCTTCAAAGGAGCAATAGAAGGATTGACAGATGCCTTTCTACTAGACAAAGAAGTGACATTGTAATGTGCAGAAAAAAATAAACTGACAACTTATAATACTATACTCAGTGAAAATGTCTTTCAAAAATGAAAGCAAGAAAAAGACATTAAAAAATAAACCAAAGAAACTTGTTTCCAATTGGCTTACAGTAAAATAAATACTAAAGGGAGCTTTTTAAATGGAGGGAAAATGGCCCAAGATGGAAATTTGAAAATAAAGGGGAGGAGAACTGAAGATTATTATGGGAAAGAGTCAATTTATGAGTAAAGTGGGGGAGGGAAGATGGTCCACTAGACACAGCCAGGTAGAACAGCTCCCACCAAGGGACTGAGACAACTGGCATGCTCCTAACAGATCTTCAGAGGGAAGGCACTGAGAGTGGATGGAGGGAAGACACAGAAGCTGGGCTGAAGCAGGAGAAAGCTGGGAATCCTGTATAGGGCCAGGAACACCGGGACTTGTTCCTGGCGCCCAATGGCTCTGGGGAAATGAGTGAGTTGAACTGGCAAGGAGGAACCTGTTCTTGCCATGGGCCTCTGGAACCCTGGCAGGAGAAGATACCTTGACCACCACTGACACTCGAGTTGGCAGGGAGAGCTGCTTAGAGAAGTGGTAGAGGCAGCACACCAGCTGATGTGGAGCCCAGAGGGTTTGATGTGGGAGCGTCTGTAGTGGAGTACAGCTAGGGACGGCTATCCCCCTAGGCTCTCCTTGCTCCCATAGGAGACGTTAGTTCTAGGGGAGCTGTAGAAACTGAACTCTGCAGGGTGATCTTGCCGATCAGATGGAGCCAGTCCAACTTGAGCGCTCCTTGGTATGCTGGCCTCTCCCAGGGCCCCAGCCTGTTCACACCTGCTTGTAGGGCAGTCTAGGGTGCCCTGGGGGGGTATCATACCTTCTGCACTTGTGGACCATGCTTGACCAGTGGAGAGCTACGATGGGGTGGCCTGTACGGCCACACACCAGCCCACACGCTCCCTCCCCATACTGTAGCTTCCTGTGGGCCCACCACATCTCCCAACATAGCTTTGCTGGTGCATGACTGCACACGCAGATTTTGCTTTCCTTGCCCCACCAGCATGGGGGAGTGCAGTCTCTCACCCCCAGCCCCCGCCGTCACCAACCATCATTGCAGATGGAGCCTTGGTGGGCACAAAGCCAGCCAGCCCCACCTCTGTCAGTGCATCACCCTTACGCTAGCATTGCATAGAGAACAGCGGGTCCTCCCCAGCCCTGAGCAACCACTCCTAA
This sequence comes from Homo sapiens, assembly GCF_000001405.40. Lineage (NCBI taxonomy): Eukaryota > Metazoa > Chordata > Mammalia > Primates > Hominidae > Homo > Homo sapiens. Next base: position 88,641,357 of record NC_000002.12, read on the forward strand.
TTGTGGAGCATAGAGAAGGCACCCAGACCTGCGCCCACCAGCGTCCCACCCCCAGCGAACACCACCTCCAGTGCGACTGCCCACACAGTCACCAGCACAACCACCCCCCTACCCTGCCCTCCTGCCCTAGCTGCATTGCCTCTGCCACTGTGTGAACACCCACAGAGGGGCAGGCAACCTGGCACCTGCTAGCACTCTGACACAGCTGCCACTATGAGGTCAAATCTCACTGTCACCCCGCTACGAAACACTTTGGCTGACACCACCTATTGCAGTGTAGTGACGAGTGGTCCAGGGCCACCATGGCCCCTTAGCACAGTGAATTCTTAACCCCAAGGAGTCAGAGAACAAAGCCAGGGCCCAATACAAGTCCTCCAGAGTTAGAGCACACAGTCCAGGAGCTGGGAGCTGAGCATTGACCCTCTAAAATCTTCTGAAAATGAAGCCAGGCCGAGTGTGGTGGATCATGCCAGTAATCCCAACACTTTGGGAGGCCGAGGTGGGCGGATCACTTGAGGAGAGGAATTCGAAACCAGCCTGGCCCACATGGTGAAACCTGTCTCTACTAAAAAATACAAAAAAAAAAAAAAAAAAAACCCAAAAAACAGTTAGCTGGGCGTGGTGGCGGGGCGCACTTTAATCCCAGCTACTTGGGAGGCTGAGGCAGGAGAACTGCTTGAACCCAGGAGGTGGAGGTTGCAGTGAGCCAAGATCACACCACTGCACTCCAACCTGGCTGACACAGCAAGACTCCATCTCAAAAACAAAAACAAAAACAAAAACAAAAACAAAAACAAAAACGAAGCCAGTCAGCTGAATCTACCTTATACAACAATCAAACCCTCAAGGTCATCAAATAGGATAAAAGAAAAAAAATTTAAAGGTCAGCAAACTCAAAGATTGAAGGTAGATAAGCCCACAAAGAAGAGGAAGAACCAGTGCAAAAACTCTGACAACTCAAAAAGCCAGAGTGCTTTCTTTCCTCCAAACAACCACATTGTCTCTTTAGCAAGTGTTCTGAACCAGGCTGAGATGGCTGAAATGTCGGAATATGGATAGGAATGAAGGTCACTGAGCTACAGGAGTTGAAACTCAACTTGAAACCCGATACAAGGAAGCTAAAAATCATGATAAAACAATGCAGGAGCTGACAGAGAAAAGAGCCAGTATAGAAAAGAATGTAATCGACCTAATAAAGATGAAAAACTCACTATGAGAATTTCACAATGCAATCACAAGTATTAATAGCAAGAAGAGACCAAGTGGAGGAAAGCATCTCAGAGTTTGATGACTGGCTTTCTGAAATATGACAGTCAGATAAGAATGAAGAAAAAAGAATAAAAAGAAATGAACAAAACCTCCAAAAAATATGAGATTATGTAAATAGACTAAATCTGTGACTCATTGGTGTACCTGAAAGAGATAGGGAGAATGGAACCAACTTGGAAAACATATTTCAGAACGTCATCCATGAGAACTTCCTCAACCTTGCTAGAGAGGCCAGCATTCCAATTAAAAAAATCCAGAGAACCCCAGTAAGACACTTCATAAGAAGATCATCCCCAAGACACTTGATCATCAGATTCTCTAAGGTCAAAATGAAAGAAAAAATTTTAAAGGCAGCTAGAGAGAAAGGTCAGGTCACCTACAAAGGGAATCCTATCAGCCTAACAGCGATCCTCTCAGCAAAAACCCTACAAGCCAGAAGAGATTGGAGGCCAACATTACATTCTTGAAGAAAAGAAATTCCAACTCAGAATTTCATATCTGGCCCAACTACACTTCATAAGTGAAGGAGAAATAAAATCCTTTTCAGACAAGCAAATGCTGACAGAATTTGTTACCATGAGACTTGCCTGAAGAAAGCACTACATATGGAAAGGAAAGACCATTACTGACCACTACAAAAACACACTGAAGTACACAGACCAGTTACACTATAAAGCAACCACATAAACAAGTCTGCAAAATACCCCACTTACATCATGATGACAGGATCAAGTTCACACATATCAATACTAACCTTCAATGTAAATGTGCTAAATGCCCCAATTAAAAACACAGAGGTCAGGTGCAGTGGCTCACCCTATAATCCCAGAACTTTGGGAGGCCAAGGCAGGCAGATCACTTAAGGCCAGGAGTGTGAGACCAGCCTGGCCAACATGGTGAAATCCCGTGTCTATTAAAATTACAAAAATTAGCTGGGTGTGGTGGTGCACACCTGTAATCCCAGCTACTTGGGAGGCTGAGGCATAAGAATTGCTTGAAGCCAGGAGGTGGAGGTAACAGTGAACCATGATCACACCACTGTACTCCAGCCTGGGTGGCAAAGCAAGACTCTGTCTCAGAAAAATAAAAAAAGACACAGAGTGGCAAGGTGGATAAAGAACCAAACCTGGCTGGGCATGGTGGCTCACACCTGTAATCCCAGCAATTTGGGAGGCTGAGGTGGGCAGATCACTTGAGGTCAGGAGTTTGAGACCAGCCTGGCCAACATGGTGAAACCCTGTCTCTACTAAAAATACAAAAGTTGGCTAGGCATAGTGGCATGCCCCTGTAGTCCCAGCTACTCGGGAGGCTGAGGCAGGAGAATGGCTTGAACCCAGGAGGTAGAGGTTGCAGTGAGCTGAGATTGTGCCACTGCACTCCAGCTTGGGCCACAGAGTGAGACTCTGTATCAAAAAAAAAAACCCACAAAACTTTGGGAGGCTGAGGCAGGTGGATCATGAGGTCAGGAGATCGAGACTATCCTGGCTAACACGGTGAAACCCCGTCTCTACTAAAAATACAAAAAATTAGCCGGGCATGGTGGCGGGTACCTGTAGTCCCAGCTACTTAGGAGGCTAAGGCAGGAGAATGGCATGAACCCGGGAGGTGGAGCTGGCAGTGAGCCAAGATCATGCCACTGCACTCTAGCCTGGGCGACAGAGAGAGACTCCGTCTCAAAAAAAAAAAAAAAAAAAAGTAAGAAACAAGACCCTTTGAGATGCTGTCTTCAAGAGACCCATCTCACATGCAGCAACACACATAGGCTTAAAATAAAGGGATGGAGAAAAATTTACCAAGCAAATGGAAAACAGAAAAAAGCAGAGGTTGCAATCCTAGTTTCAGACAAAACAGATTTTAAACCAACAAAGACTGAAAAAGACAAAGAAGGGCATTATATAATGGTAAAGGGTTCAATTCAACAAGAAGATCTAACTATCCTAAATATATATGCACCCAACACAGGAGCACCCAGATTCATAAAGCAAGTTCTTAGAGATCTTCAAAGAGACTTTAACACCTCACTGACAATATTAGACAGATCAAGACAGAAAATTAACAAAGATATTCAGGACATGAACTAAGCATGGGATCAAATGGACCTGATAAATATCTACAGGACTCTTTACTGAGAAACAAGAGAATATACATTTTTCTCTTTGTCACATGGCACATCTTCTAAAATTGATCACACAATCAGAAGTAAAAACACTCCTCAGCAAATGCAAAATAATTGAAATCATAACAATTCTCAGACCATAGTGCAATCAAATTAGAAATCAAGATTAAGAAATTTACTGAAAACTATACAATTACATGGAAATTGAATACCCTGCTCCTGAATGACATTTGGGTAAGTAATGAAATTAAGGCAAAAATCAGAAGTTCTTTGAAACTAATGAGAACTAAAATACAACATACCAGAATCTCTGGGACACAGCTAAGTCAGGGTTAAAAGGAAAATTTATAGCATTAAATGTCCACATCAAAAAGTTAGAAAGCTCTCAAATCAACAGCCTCACATCACAACTAAAAGAACTAGAGAACCAAGAGCAAACAAATTCCAAAGCTAGCAGAAGACAGGAAATAACCAAAACCATAGCTGAACTAAAGGAAACTGAGACAAAAAAAAAAAACATTCAAAAGATCAGTGAATCCAGGAGCTGGTTTTCTGAAAAGATTTATGACATAGATAGACCACTAGCAAGATTAATGCAGAAGAAAAGAGAGAAGATTCAAATAAACAGAATCAGAAACGACAAGGGGGATATTACCACAGACCCCACAGAAATACAAACAACCATCAGAGAGTATTATGAACACCCATATGCACATAAACTAGAAAAACAAGAAGAAAGGATAAATTCCTACGAACATACACCCTCCCAAGACTGAACCAGGAAGAAATTGAATCCCCAAACAGACCAATAACAAGCTCTGAAATTGAGTCAGGAATAAATAGCCTAACAACAACAAAAAAGCCAAGGACAAGATAGATTCACAGCTGAATTCTACCAGATATACAAAAGGAGCTGGTACCATCCCTGCTTACACTATTCTAAGAAATTGAGGAGGAGAAACTCCTCCCTAACTCATTCTATGAGGCTTAGATCATCCTCATACCAAAACCTGGCAGAGACACAACAAAAAAAGAAAACTTCAGGTCAATATGCTTGATGAACATCAATGCAAAAATTCTCAACAAAATACTGGCAAACTGAATCCAGCAGCACATCAAAAAGCTTATCCACCATGATCAAGTAGGCTTTATTCCCGGGATGCAAGGTTAGTTCAACATATGCAAATCAGTAAATGTGATTTATCACATAAACAGAACTAAAGACAAAAACCACATGATTATCTCAATAGATGCTGTAAAGGCTTTTGATAAAATTCAATCATCCTTCATATTAAAAAATCTCAATAAACTAGTTATTGAGGGAACGTACCTCAAAATAATAAGAGCCATCTATGACAAACCCACAGACAACATGATACTGAATGGGCAAAAGCTGGAAGCATTCCCCTTGAAAACTGGCACAAGACAAGGATGCCCTCTCCCACCACTCCTATTCAACATAGTATTGGAAGTTCTGGCCAGGACAATCAGGCAAGAGAAAGAAATAAAGGGCATCCAGATAGGAAAAGAGGAAGTCAAACTATCCCTGTTTGCAGATGACATGATTCTACATCTAGAATATAGTCTCAACTCAAAACCTTTTTTTTTTTATAGACAGAGTCTCACTCTGTTGCCCAGGCTGGAGTGCAGTGGCACAATCTTGGCTCACTGCAAGCTCTGCCTCCAAGGTTCACACCATTCTCCTGCCCCAGCCTCCCGAGTAGCTGGGGCTACAGGTGCCCACCAACACGCCCGGATAATTTTTTGTATTTTTAGTAGAGATGGGGTTTTACCATGTTAGCCAGGATGGTCTCGATCTCCTGACCTCGTGATCCGCCCGCCTTGGCTTCCTGATGTGCTGGGATTACAGGCATGAGCCACCGCGCCCAGCCCAAAACATTCTTAAGCTGATGAACAACTTTAGCAAAGTCTCAGAACACAAAATCAATGTACGAAAATCACTAACATTTCTGTACACCAACAACAGTCAAGCCAAGAGTCAAATCAGGAATGCAATCCCATTCACAATTCCCACCACAAAAATAAAATACATAAGAATACAGCTAACCGGGAAGGTGAAAGATCTCTACAAGGAGAGCTACAAAACCTTGCTCAAAGAAATCAGAGATGACACAAACAATTGGAAAAACATTCCATGCTCATGGATAGGAAGAACCAATATTGTTAAAATGGCCATACTGCCCAAAACAATATACAGATTCAATGCTGTTCCTATCATTTTTCGCAGAACTAGAAAAAAACTATTTAAAAATTCATATTAAACCAAAAAATAGCCCAAATAACCAAAGCAATCCTAAGCAAAAGGAACAAAGCTGGAGGCATCACAATACGTGACTTCAAACTATACTACGGTAACCAAAATAGCATGGTACTGGTACAAAAACAGACACAGAGACAAATGGAACAGAATAGAGAACCCAGAAATAAATAGAAAACCCATTCCATACATAGGAACAGGCAAAGATTTCATGAGGAAGACACCAACAGCAATTGCAACAAAAGCAGAAATCGACAAATTGGATCTAATTAAACTAAAGAGCTTCTGCACAGCAAAGGAAGCTACCAACAGAGTAAACAGACAACCTATAGAATGGGAGAAAACTTTTGCAAACTATGCATCTGACAAAGGTCAAATATCCAGCATCTATAAGGAACTTAAGCAAATTTATAAGAAAAATACAAACAACCCCATTACAAAGTGGGCAAAGGACATGAACAGACACTATTTTAGAAAGGACATACATGTGGCCAACAAGCATATGAAAAAAAGCTCAACATCACTGATCATTAGATAAATGCAAATCAAAGCCACAATGAGATACTATCTCACACCAGTCAGCTTGGCTACTATTAAAAAATCAAAAAATAACAGATGGGGGTGAGGTTGGGGAGGAAAGGAACGCTTATATACTGTTGGTGGGAGTGTAAATTAGTTCAACCATGTGGAAGACAGTGTGGTGATTCCTAAACACAGGTTTAGCTATAGAACAAACCTGCACATGTACCCCTTAACCTAAAATAAAAGTTAAATTTAAAAAAATTTAGGAGTAAATATAAGGAAAACTTATTGTTTTGTAGAGTACTAATGTCTTTGGGAATTTTAAATATGCATAATATTGAATGTATGTAATCTTAAAATATATAACTATATGCCTGTAATCCCAGCACTTTGGGACACCAAAGTGAGTGGTTCACTGGATCACTGGAGATCGAGATCAGTTTGGCCAACATGGCAAATCCCTATCTGTACTAAAAATACAAAAATTAGCCGGGCGTGGTGGCGTGCGGTTGTAGTCCTAGCTACTTTGGGAGACTGAGGTGAGAGGATCACTTTAACTTGGGAAGTGGAGGTTGCAGTGAGCTGAGATCTCGCCATTGCACTTCAGCCTGGGGGACAGAGTGAGACTGTATCTCAAAAAAAAAAAAAAAAGAAATATATATATAATTACAACACAAAAGGTGGCAGTAGTTAAAGTAGCGAAGATCTTTGTGTTGTCTGGCAAAGTAGAGTACTAATTTATATTATACTGTAACCAGTCAGGAATAGGAATGCATGTTGTAATTCTAGGGTAATCACTTAAAGAATTATAAAGATTGACTGGATACGGTGGCTCACTCCTGTAATCCCAGCACTTTCGGAGGTGGAGGTGGGAGGATCACTTGAGTCCCCAAGTTGAAGACCAGCCTGAACCACATAGTGAGACCCCTGTCTCTATATTTTTAATAAATAAAATTAAAGAAAAAATTATAAAGACTGTATAACTACCAAGCTAGTAGAGTGGAACAATGAAATAATAATAAAATGTAATTTTACCAAAGCAGACAAGAAAGGAGAAAAAAAAGGACAAAAGAGCAGGTGGGATAAGACAAAAAGAATAGTTAGCTGTAGTTTTGCTGTTGTTGTTTGAGATAGGGTCTCACTGTGTCACCCAGGCTGGAGTGTAGTGGCATGATCACGGTTCACTGTAGCCTCAACCTCCCAATGCTCAGGTGATCTTCCTGCCTCAGCACCCCCCGCCCCAAGTAGCTGTAACTACAGGCATGCATCAACATGCCCAGCTAATTTTTGTATTTTTACTAGAGACGTGGTTTCACCATGTTGTCCAGGCTGTTCTCGAACTCCTGGGCCCAAGCAATCCACCTGCCATGGCCTCCCAAAGTTTTAGGATTACGGATGTGAGCCATTGCACCCAGCCATATGTAGATTTAAAACCCTAATGTATCAGTAATTACATTAAACATACATGGAGTAAGTACTCCTCTTAAAAGTCAAAACTTGTCAGACTGGATAAAAGACAAGACATATCTTAATGGTGTATTTGCAAAAAGATGTACATGTAAACAACAGCAAAAAGAAAGCTGATGCAAGCCAGACATGGTGGCTCATGCCTGTAATCCCAGCACTTTGGGAGGCTGAGGTGGGTGGATCACCTGAGGTCAGGAGTTCAAGACCAGCCTGGCCCACATGGTGAAACTCCATCTTTACCAAAAATACAAAAATTACCCGAGCATTGTGGCACACACCCTGTAATCCCAGCTACTCGGGAGGGTAAGGCAGGAGAATGGCTTGAATCCAGGAGGTGGAGGTTGCAGTGAGCTGAGACCACACCACTGCACTCCACCCTGGGCGACAGAGGGAGACCCTGTCTCAAAAAAAAAAAAAAAAAAAAGAAAGAAAGAAAAGAAAAGAAAAGAAAGAAAGCTGATACAATCATAATAATATCTGTCAAAGTTTTGTGTGTTTTTTTTTTCTTTTTAGGTAACAAAGTCTCACTCTGTCTCCTAGGCTGCAGTGCAGTGGCCCAGTCATAGTTCTCTGCAGCCTTGAATTCCTGGGCTCAAGCCATCCTCCCGCCTCGGCCTCTTGAGTAGCTGGGACTACAGGTGTGCACCACCATGCTCGGCTAATTTTTTTTTATCTTTCATAGAGACGGGGTCTTGCTGTGTTGCCCAGGCTGGTCTTCAACTCCTGGACTCAAGCTGATTTTCCCACCTTGGCCTCCCAAAGTGCTGGGAATACAGGCGTGAGCCACTGCACCTGGCCCAAAGTCGATGTTCTAAATGACTCTTCAAAATTTTTTAAATAGACTTTATTTTTAGAGCAGTTTTAGGTTTATAGTAAAATAGAGTTGAAAGTGCAAAGATTTTCCACAGACTTCTTTTCTCCAGCAACCTCCACTATCAACATCCCACACCAGAGTGGTATATTTGTTGCAATTGTTGAACCTACATTGACACATAATTATTATCCAAAGCCCATAGTTTACATGAGTTCACCCTTGGTGTTATACATTTTATGGGTCTGGACAAATGTATAATGACATGTATCTACCATTATAGTATCTATCATACGGAATAGTTTCACTCTCCTATTCATCCCTCCCTTTCCCCTAATCCCTGGGATCCACTGATCTTTTTAGTGTCTCCATGGCTTTGTCTTTCCCAGCATGCCCTACAGTTGGAATTATATACTATGTTGCCTTTTCAGACTGGGTTCTTTCACTTAATAGTATACATTATAGTTTGCTCCATGTCTCTTCATGGCTTGATAGCTAATTCCCTTTTTTTTTTTTTTTTTTTTTTTTCTGAGACAGGATCTCACTCCTGTTGCCCAGGCTAGAGCACAGTGGTGCAATCATAGCCCAGTGAAGCCTGGACTTCCTGGGCTCAGGTGATTCTCCCACCTCAGCCTCCTGAGTAGCTGGGACTTCAGGCATGTGCCACCATTCCTGGCGAATTTTTTGTATTTTTATTAGAGATGAGGTTTTGCCTTGTTCCTCAGGCTGGTCTCAAACTCCCGGGCTCAAACAATGTGCTTGCCTTGGCCTCCTAAAGTCCTAGGATTACAGGTGTGATCCACTGTGCCTGGCTCATTTCCTCTTAATGGTGGGTAATATTCCATTATTCGGATATACCATAGTTTATCTATTCACCTACTAAAGTACATCTTGGTCTCTTCCAAGTCTGGGGAATTATTAATACAGCACACTGCTCTGGCAGCATCTTTAGGCACTCATTACCAAGCGTGATGTTCCAGAAGAGGATCGTGTACAAGGGAGCGATTACATGTTTAGTCTCATAACTCCCTCCAACTTGGCACAAGTCAGAACATTAAAAAAACTAGAGATGGGGTCTTACTGTGTTGCCCAGGTTGGTCTCAGACTCCTGAGCTCAAGCGATCCTCCTGCCTCCACTTCCCAAAGTGCTGGGATTACAGATGTGAGCCACCATGCCTGGCCTTTAGAACATTTAAAAAATGTGTTTATGTTCATCTTCAGTGTCTCTTTTTAATTCACTCTAATTTTCTACAATGAACATACATTACCTGTGTATTTTGAAGTTAAAAATGGGCTGGGCGAGGTAGCTCATGCCTGTAATTCCAGCACTTTGGGAGGCCGAGGTGGGAGGATCATTTGAGGTTAGGAGTTCGAGACCAGCCTAACCAACATGGTGAAACCCCATCTCTGCTAAAAATACAAAAATTAGCCAGGCGTGGTGGCACATGCCTGTAGCCCCAGCTACTTGGGAGGCTGAGGCACAAGAATCGCTTTTACCCGGGAGGCAGAGATTGCAGTGAGCCGAGATCACTCCAGCCTGGGTGACAGAGCGAGACTCCATCTCAAATAAATAAAAAAACAAAAACACAGTATTTGTGGCACCTCCTACAAGAAGTCTTCCTTGACCCTCTCCCCACCTTTCCATGGTAGCTTTGTTCTCTTCTCTTAGTTTCTGTCAAATGCATGCTCACCACTAGCAGAGCACTTACCATAAGGTATTTTATTCACCTACTTAAATACCTGCCTTCTTCTTAGGCTGTGATTTCCTTAGGGCAGGTGCTATGTCTTTCAAAATTGGGTACCTAAGGGCCTAAAGGGGGCCTCGGGCAGGAGCTTTGATCTTTTCATCTCCTTTAAGTTTTCTGACTTTGACACCCAATTTGGTCAACAACCAAGCCCATAAGACCTATTCTCAGAGAACACAAAGAAAGCTTCTTCTCTTCAGTTAACTTACATGCCTTAATAAGCCCTGAATACACAACACCATGAATATGAGAAAACCAGGGCTCCAAAGGGACTTGATTGGCACAGTCATCTCAGGAATGCTGTAGGTCAAGGCAGGTCTTCAGGCAGGTCTACTTAGGTAAGAGGTATATTTCTCTGAAATGAAATGTAAAGAGGGTTGGCAGGGATTAGGACTGGAACTAGACCTCAAGACTAGGAGGCAGGAAGGCTATGAAGGCATGAATGCTTCAGAAGACAGATGGATAGAGGCGGGACAGAGCATCACACAAGTGCTGAACTTACACAAATTCAACTAGATATGTTTGGCAGAGAGGAAGGGTGGATGAGGGGAAAAGCAAAAGTGGGAAGGGTGGAGAAATGAGATCTAAGAGAAATAACCATTTAATGGGCAAGTGGCTCATGCCTGTAGTCCCAGCATCTTGGGAGGCTTAGGCGGATGGATCACTTGAGTCCAGGAGTTCAAGACCAGCCTGGGCAAAATGGCAAAACTCCATCTCTATGAATAATACAAAAAATTAGCTGGGCATAGTGGTGTGCACCTGTAGTTCCAGCTGCTCAGGAGGCTGAAGTGGGAGGAGCACTTGAGCCCAGGAAGTGGAGGTGGCAATGAGCTGAGATTGCACTACTGCACTCCAGCCTGAATGACAGAGTGAGACTCTGTCTCAAAAAGTAAGTAAATAGGCCAGGCATAGTGGCTCATGCCTGTAATCCCTGCACTTTGGGAGGCTGAGGCGGGCGGATCACGAGGTCAGGAGATCAAGACCAGCCTGGCTAACATGGTGAAACCCCGTCTCTACTAAAAATACAAAAAATAAAAAAATAGCCGGGTGTAGTGGCGGGTGCCTGTGGTCCCAGCTACTCAGGAGGCTGAGGCAGGAGAACGGCGTGAACCTGGGAGGCGGAGCTTGCAGTGAGCCGAGATCGCGCCACTGCACTCTAGCCTGGGCGACAGAGCAAGACTCCGTCTCAAACCAAACCAAACCAAACCAAACCAAACCAAACCAAACCAAAACAAAACAAAACAAAATAAAAAATTAGCCAGGAGTGGTGGCACACATCTGTGATCCCAGCTACTCGGGAGGGTGAGGCAGGAGAATCATTTGAACCCGAGAGGCGGAGGTTGCAGTGAGCTGATATCGTGTCACTGCACTCAGGCTGGGTGACAGAGCAAGACTCTGTCTCAAAAAAAAAAAAAAAAAAAAAAGCAAAAAAGTAAGTAAATAAAATAGATTTTTTTAAAAAAGAAATAAGTATGTAAATAATGCAGGTTTCTATATCCTTATTAATGTACAGGTTATTCTACTTAACATTCCACTCAGGGTTGCCTCTGATAAGCTTGAGAAGGAAGAATTAACATCAATTTTACCTTTAGTGTGGTGGGATTCAGCCTTGACTGCACTGGGATGAACAGGTGGGCTTTAAAAAAAAAATGCAGGTGCCTAGAACCCACTGTCAGAAATTCTGATATAATCAGTTAGTTAGAGGTATGGCCTGAGCACCAGGATTGTAAAGGCTTCCCAGGTAATTCTGATATGCAGCTAGAGTTGGGAATCTCTGCAGCTGGTCTTGGGTTCTAACTCACTGTTCCTAGTGTGACTTCATACTGTGCTGAGTGTGATTCTAGTGTTTAAAGATACATATTTGTCACTCAAAATGACCCCCAAACTTAAGCCTGTAACTTCATCTGGTGTTCATCTGAGGAAACAACAATCTGTTTCAACGTGGACCATGTTTGACTTATTAAGAGCTTATATATCTCTATACTGTTTTTGTGGTATTTGAGGGATTTTTCAAAGGTGATTTTTAAATCCATTTATTACTCCTTACTCCTTCCTCCTACCTCCATATAGATACTACTTTTATTAGAGTCTTGTGACATCTCCCAGAACTTCTTTTTTGGGGGAGGCGGGTGTGGAGATGGCATCTCAGTCTGTTGCCCAGACTGGAATGCAGTGGTGTGATCTTGGCTCACTGCGACCTCCGCCTCCCGGGTTCCAGCGATTCTCCTGTTTCAGCCTCTCGAGTAGCTGGGATTACAAGTGTGTGCCACCACAACCAGCTAATTTTTGTATTTTTAGTAGAGACAGGATGTCACCATGTTGGGCCCAGCTGGTCTTGAACTCATGACCTTAAGTCATCCACCTGCCTTGGCCTCCCAAAGTGCTTGGATTACAGGCATGAGCCACCATGCCCAGCCCCCAGAACGTCTTTATACAAGTCCAGCTAATGAAAATATTTTTTATTTTTTCTGCCTCTTTGCACAAATATTAACATATTTTTGCACCTTTTTTTTTTAATGTAAGAATATTTAGGCATCTTAGCACCCAGATTGTAAACATTAAATACCAGTTTTCACTTAAAGGAACCATGAATTCTTGGAGAAACTGCTCATTCCAGATTTGGATAGGAAATACACAAGATGATTCAGGAATAGCTTGTCTCCTAAGAAAGGAAGAAAGCTCTCAAAGACCGGTAGAATCATATGTAAAGATTTCAGGTTTCAAACTGTAGAGGCTCATCATGGGCAGCAACAGCATAACATGGACACTGACAGATTAAAAACCATCAATTATGTTTAGTTTTTAATTTTTTGTTTGTTTGTTTTGAGACAGAGTCTCACTCTGCTGCCCAGGATGGAGTGCAATGGGGTGATCTTTGTTCACTGCAGCCTCTACCTCCTGGGTTCAGTTCAAGCGATACTCGTGCCTCAGCCTCCTGAGTAGATAGGACTATAGGCGCATGCCACCATGCTTGGCTAATTTTTGTATTTTTTGTAGAGACGAGGTTTCACCATGTTGCCCAGGTTGGTCTTGAACTCCTGAGCTCAAGAGATCTGCTGGCATGGGCCTCCCAAAGTGCTGGGATTACAGGCGTGAGCCACTGCGTCCGGCACTCATCAAATATGTCTAAGTCCTTAATTTCGTAATGATATTCAAAAATATGTCATCTTTGGAGGGGTCTAGAGGACATCATTAGTTTCAAAACTGGAAAATAAGAGGGTGAATCAAGCATTTCTATACAAACTATAGCACTGAGTCATCAAGTATTATGTGGTGAGTTTCTCTTTATAGAAATACTCCAGCTAATGAAGAAGGAATGACAGAATATCACTGCTCTGGACCCTCATGAATTAATGGACAAAGGGCTGAGCCAGTGGCATCGCAACAGAGAGGCAGCATGATGCAATAGACCTCTTGAAGTACACAACACCACTTATGAAGTCATCTTACTACCCCCCAAAAAGGAAAAACAGAGAACCCACGTTGGATTACATCTGTAGATACAACTACCAGTTCATGGGAAAGATAGAGAACAGAGGAATATTTTAAACGACTGTACAAAAATGCGTAAACAAAATCCAGACTATGAGAAACAAATAATTACTAAGAGGAAAAAAGCAACGGAGAAGAATCCCATAGATTAAAAGAGATTTAAGAGATACTAACCTGTTGCAGTGTATGCAACTGTGAAGAAAAAAAGTTGACACAGCAGGCCTGAGACTGCTATTCTTGGAAAGGTCCCCTTGTAAGGTTAGCCATTGGCTGGCATATGGAAACTTGGAGTTCATGAAGTTTCCTACCAACCCCTACATGATAAGAGTGGCTCATTGTGCCTAAACCGTTGTGCAATATGGTTTATGGTGAATACCTGCTTTCCTTCTGGACACTAAATCATTAACGAGATTCCCTGGTAGACAATACTTCACACGCTTGTCATGATTTGATGCTAAAGGAATTAAGTGAATCTACTGTGACTCCTCTGGGAGAGGACTCTTGGAAGCTTAAGTCTGGCTTACTCTGGGCTTTACCCCATGCACCTTTTCTCTTTGCTGATTTTGTTTTGTATCCTTTCCTTGTAATAAATCATAGTCATGAATATAGGTCCTGTGAGTGCTTTTAATGACCACCTGAAACTAGGGGTGATCTTGGGGACCCTGGACACAGCACCTTAGTTGGAATTTGAGTCAAACAAATGAAATCATGGAAATTTGAACTCAATATTAATGATACCAAGGAATTGTAATTAATTTTCAAGTGTGATAATAGTATTATGATTATGTTTAAGAGATATGTATATTGAAATTATTGTGGGTAAAATAATATGGCTGAGGGGCCAGGTGTTGTGGCTTATGCCTGTAATCCCAGTACTTTGGGAGGCCAAGATGGGCATATTGCTTGAGATCAGGAATTTGAGAACAGCCTTGGAAACATGGCAAAACACTGTCTCTACAAAAAATACAAAAATTAGCCAAGCATGGTGGCCTGTGCCTGTGGTCCCAACTACTTGGGAGGCTGAGTTGGGAGGATCAGTAAAGTCCAGGTGGCCAAGGCTGCAGTGAGTCATAACTGCACCACTGCCCTCCAGCCTAGGCAACAGAATGAGACTCTCTCTCTCTCTCTCTCAAAAAAAAAAAAAGAAAAAATATATATATATATTTGCATCATATATATCAAAACACATCATCTATATTACATATAGATGATGTTAGAGGTTTGCTTCAAAATAATCTGAAGAGAAGGGTTGGATGTGGGTAAGGGTATAGATGGAAAAAGATTGGCCATGAGTTAATGGCAGTTGAAGCTGGGAGGTGTGTCTATGGGGCTTCATTGTGCTATTTTGGGTTCTTTTGTACATGTTTGGAATTTTCCACAATAAAAAATTTTAAAAAGATAATGTATCTTGGAAATCTTTCAGTTCCAGCTCACAGAAAGCCTCCTCATTTTTTTCACTGCCGTAGAGCATTCCATTGCATAGGGTGGTTTCAGTCCTTCAGTCCTATGTAGGTTTGCCTTAGTTCTGTCTTTAGAATCTTACTCTCATTTCACGTGCGACTCCAGTTGGAACTGATTTTCAGCTGAGCTCCTGGAGGCTTGGCCTAAATTGCTAAAATAAACATTAATCTAAAAGGCCTATAGTGTCAGCCATTCCTGACCAGGTAGAAAATATGGTGATTCCTAGATGGCATCCTACTTGAGGCAAAATGAGCTGGGACAAGCTGTGGTGTAGAGGGAGATTGTTGTTGTCACAAGAGACCCGAGAGAGTCAGAGCCGTCCAGAAGCATTGGTCTGGAGTGGACTGAATGTGAATGTGAGTCAGCAGCACTATCCTGCCAGGGGCTCCAGGCCTTTGAGAAACTGGAGGAGGTGAATTGCCCAGCCGGGGGACAACAAGGCTGTCTTTCCATGGTGTTCTGATTCTGTGGCTGGTCATACTTTGTTCTATCTTAGGATAATTGTCCCTAAGGCTTTGAGGAATATGTCAGTTCAGACTCTTCTGTGGCAAGCCACAGAAACCAACTCTAACCATTTTAAAGAAAAATTTTAGGGATATATTGTTGTTGGAAGGATATGGGATAGCTCACAAAATTAAAGAAAAAGCTAAACAACCAAGCCTCCAAAAGTACAAGAACCAGAGCAGCTTTGGAATATAGGAAGATAAATCTCTCAAGAGTGAATCACCTCAATTTTCTTTCCTGGGGCTACACTATCAAAGTTTACATTCCCTGGAGAGATGGACTGTTGACCTAGCTTGGATTGTGAGTCTATTTCTAGCTAGCGGAGGGCAGGGCCCTTGGTCAATAGTCCCCTCATGACTACACAGAGTGGGTGGGGAGGGGAGTGTTCCTAAGGGAAATTGGGGTTCCTTTATCAGCTAAATTGGGAGATGGATGCTAGGCAGAAAGAAACAACAGATGTCTACTACTGAGAAGAGGAAGAATTCTGGGGCGGGGCCTTAGCATGGGCAGTTATGGAGCTGGGGTTCCAGAAAGACTAGGTGGGCCTTGGAGGGTAACCTGGGCCCTTGACTTTTTTTGGTTGGTGAAGCCTGAGAAGCAAAGGCTACATTAGAGAAATAGAGGACATTTGACTGGCCAGCTTTTTCTGTTCAACAGAGATAAAACTCCTCAGACATTAAAAAATATACTTGAAACTAATAAGACAGAACAACATGAAAGGTTTCTGGACAGGAGGATGTGCAGTAACTCACAATACCTCAAGGCAAGAGAAGAGCTCTGCTACCTGCTCCTGCCAAAGAAGGTTCCATACCTTGGCCTAGTTACAAAGGACTATGTTTTTTGCTTTGTTTTGTTTTTTTGTCCTTCCCATTTCACCTGCACCACCAACTCACTATTTCAGAGGCTCGTGTTGCCCATTGATAATTATTGCATTGTGATGCTGAATTGTGAAAATATAGCATAGTACCACTTCTGATCATAAAACCAGATATATTAGAGAAACATTCGGTGAATGTTAAGGAAGTTACTAAATATTGGAGTAATTTATCCAGAAAGCCACAGAATTTTCTTCTTGGATATCTTTAAATACACAATAAAATAAATTCTAGCTAAATAGCAAATTCAAGATGACTTTTCTGGGTGCCTCCTGTATATTTTTATAATATATACAGGAAAATATACTTATATTTTATTATATTTTTATTTATTTTATATATATTATATGAAATATAATATATTATATTTTCCTAAGGTCCTTTATTCTCTTAAGAGCCAAAATGTAAAAATAGAAAGTATAATGTGCCTTTCATTTATAATTTTGATGCCACTTTGGGCACTTTGCATAATTTCTTGTTTTTGCATTCTGAAGCTTGGTTGCCAAGATCTGGAGAATGGATGGCTGTTATTATTAGTCATCAGTTTTCAGAAAGATCGAAAATCTTTGGCAGAGTGGTTATGAGAAGGCAAGGAGACAGCATTTTAAAATTCCAATCTTGCTTTATTTGCAATCATCCTGAGTCACTGTGGCAAGATCTTGGCTTTTTTAGAAAGCTCAACTTCTTTATCCGTTTCCTCCTTATCTCTTCTCTTCCTATGACATCTACATTTATTTTAATAAGGTCAGAGCACTAATGTTATCAAGAACATGTGTTTAATCCTTAGCTTTGAATGTTTATAGGAACGTTTAACCCCCCTTCACCAGTCTACAGTTACAGAATTTCCATTTAGTGAATCAAAAAGTAATGCAGTTGGTAAAAATAGTTTAAATCAATGCTGATATAGAGCTAGAAAAATTATTCAAAGTGGATATGTTATTGCTTATGAGCCAGTCGTGTCATGTTCATGAGTATAACAGAAGGAATACAGGGCTGGGAATCAGAAAATGGAGAAGTTGAGAGATAATCTTGACAGTCCTTTCTGACACAAAGGTCACATGGCTCTACATTTCCACCTATTTGCATTCCTAAGACCTGCATATCCATTCTTTGTTGGCAGCATGGTGACTGGTTAATACTGCCAATTCTAAAGCCCAGTAAGTCAGGGGTGCACCCTGCCAGGGTATGGCCCACATTCCATTCAGGAAGATAAGGGACTTGATGATTTGGGAGTTCCAGGCTTTCTGAGTCACTGCTGTGTCCTCAGTCCTTATGCACCATCTGGCATATGGTAGGTACTCCTGAAATATTTGACAATATAAATGACAAATGAAGAAATGAATGACTGGAACGAAGAGTTTTTGCCTGGACTTGTTCTGGAATTGAGAATATGGGGCCTCCACTCTTCTCCTAGTGCTGAGCTAAAGGATTTCCAGGAAAAAAAGGAGTTCAGTAAAGGCCAGTACTATCCCACGCTTTAATGCCTTCCTCTACCAACCACATTCTGAGTGAGACGATCAATAAAGGGCCCAGCTGCAGTGGATGGTGGTCGGCTTGCTAAGTTTGCCCCTTATGTCTATCTACAGGAACAAGGGCTTCCCCTCTTGCTGCTGTACTTTAGGTAAGATGTTTATATTCTATCCTTTCCCAGCCGTCTGCAGCTTCCTGAAATCCTTCTTTCACTTTGAAAGCAGCTTCCTTGCAGCTCCTGAATCCCAAAAGCAGGAAACGTGTGCTTATAATAAGCTCTTCTTGATTGGCTTGGAAATTGTGTTTTCAGTAGAGTGACAGTAACCTGACCCTTGAGAGAGGCCAGTAGTGACTCTGATGTGTTTTTCTGAAATGCCTAAGGCAGCTGCGGCTGTGGCCTGCTGCTCATGGGTGGGGTTCAGAGGATCAGATGACTTTATTTACCAGTTTATTCCGGGAGAACTGGCAGAAGCTGGAAAAGTGAGGTCAGAGAGAGGCTGTAAAGTGGAGCCTCCCCCACCTTCTTCCCTTTCTACCTCTCTCTTTGGGGTTGGGGGTAGGGAGAACTGCCATTTGATAGGAAAAATTCTTTGTTCCGAAAAGAAGGCAGAAAGAAAGGCAGTTTCTATACACAGTTCTGGCCTCCCACATTCCTCAGAATTGTTTTTTGTTTGTTTGTTTGTTTGTTTTTTGAGGCAGAGTTTCACTCTTATTGCCCAAGCCGGAGTGCAATGGCATGATCTCGGCTCACGGCAACTTCCACCTCCTGGGTTCAAGTGATTCTCCTGTCTCAGCCTCCCGAGTAGCTGGGATTACAGGTGCATGCCACCATGCCTGGCTAATTTTTGTATTTTTAGTAGAGATGGGGTTTCATCTTATTGGTCAGGCTGGTCTCGAACTCCTGACCTCAGGTGATCCACCGCTTGGCCTCCCAAAGTGCTGGGATTACAGGCGTGAGCCACCATGCCTGGCCAGAATTAAGTCAAAAGGCGACACACATCATGCACTTGAATGAGCTGTGGAGCTATAAGCAGCTCAGCAAGGAAGACAGACATAAATCCCAACTAAGACTCTTTGAGGATGGGAGAATAGAAGAATCTTCTCTCTGAAATGAAACTTTTGAAGCACAGCAACACACTGGCATGCCAGATGTGAGTGATGGAGGAGAACTGGACCTGGAGGAGGGTCTCCTCTGGAATTAGGGTTCTCCAGATAAATGGAACAGAATGTGCATGTATGTGTGTATGCAGGTGGGGGAGGGTGTGTGTGTCAGAGAGAAGGATAGGTTTTAAGGGATTGTCACACATAATTGTTGGGGCTGGTAAGACTGAAATCTGGAGGGCAGGCTGGAAATTTAAGGAATGGTTGATGTTGCAGTGTCAAGTCCAAAGGCAGTGTGGAGGCAGAATTCCATCTTCCTAGGGGGGGCCTCAGTGTTTTCCCTTAAGGCCTTCAACTGATTAGATGAGGCCCACCCCGTAATGGAGGGTAATCTCATTTACTCAACCTCTAATGTTAATCTCATCTAAAATATATGTACCTTCACAGTAACACATAGACTGGTGCTTGACAAAAAGCTGGGTACAGTGGCCTAGCTGAGTGGACATATAAAATTAACCCTCATACCTCCTCAGATGTACTGTAGAGTTGGACCCAATCTGCCAGGCTCCGGGTCACTCAGAGTGACTTTCTTCTCAGGCTGCTTGCCCTTCTCTGTCATCTGACTTCCGTGGAGGTAAGGCCCTAACTAAACACTTAACTCAGGCACAGCCAAGGTGGTATGTAAAGTAGACCAACCTTAGTTGTCATGACATTTTGTAGTTTTGTCTCTAAAGTCCTTGTTTCCAAAGTGTTTCTTCATGCTTGAAACAATACAAGTTTTAATTCTTAAAATCTCAATAGAAAGCCAACATGGAACTGGAGAATAAGTTACTGGCTGCCAGTCAATAGCACAGAGGCAACCGCACCGTCTAATCACTCCAGACTCTAACGAGTGAATGAAAAGACTCATGGAAGGTTTGGGGATGTCAATGTATGCTGGGAAAGGCAGGTGGGACAAAAGGCGAGGGGCAACCTGTATCAAACTCTGGGTCCATATAGGGGCACAGAATATTTTCACCATAGTGATTTGGTTAGACCTACCTTTAGGCTCTCAACCTCAGGTTCATAAAGACTGTCATTTGGTATCTCATAATTTGATCTACCAAATATTCTCCAAATTTTATTTCTTTCTCCTCTTCCCATTCTGAAATCCTAACCTTTCCAGGCCCCTGTCACTAAACGGTGCTTGGTGACTGACGCCCAAACTAATTTTGATACTACTTGTTCACTTTACAAGATAAACTAGCTCAGGCATCTTAGTCCATTGTGAAATGTTAACCTTTCTAATTCTGCCTATTAAACACTGTATAAAGAAGATTAGAGCAGTGAGCCACCTAATTCTACTGTCTGATCAAAAATGACCTCATTATGAACTGTGGAAGGCCATGGTGATGTAAATGCCAGAGAGGTGGAGGGGACATGTCTGTACACTTTGGGAAATGGACAATATTTGTCACCTATGTAGCTGCACCTTTCAGTCTTTGTAGATGCAATCTTACCAGCTTTGAATGAAAAACCAGTCATATCCAAAGCCAGCAAATATTTCTGAGCATCTACACTAGAAAAGACATTGTATAGACGAAGATCCTGTAAAACACATAACACCACATGTTCAATTCAATGAACGTTTCTTGGATGTCATTTTGTTAAAAAATTTTGTTATAATATGGGTCTGTCTTGGAACTAAACCAAGAGTTGAACTGCTGAATGCAATGAACCACACATTTACTGTGCCCCATGACATGGAGCCCAAGAGTCTCATCACAATGAAAGTTTGTTCTAATCCAACTTGTAATTGTACAGTAAATACTCTTATGAATCTGACCAGTGTGGAAGTATTTGTACCAATTAAGAAACATAGTACATTGTCAGTATCCAAAATCACTTCTGTGGCATTTATTTTATTTTATTTTTTTGAGACAGAGTCTTGCTCTGTCACCCAGGCTGGAGTGCAGTGGCACGATTCCAGTTCACTGCAACCTCCACCTCCAGGGTTCAAGCGATTCTCCTACCTCAGCCTCCCAAGTAGGTGGGACTACAGGTGCCTGCCACCATACCCAACTAATTTTTGTATTTTTAGTGAAATATGGGGTTTCACCATATCGGCCAGGCTGGTCTCAAGCTCTTGGCCACAAGTGATCCTCCCACCTTGACCTCCCAAAGTGCTGGGATTATAGGCGTGAGCCACTGTGCCCAGTCTTTTGTGGCATTTAAATGGACATATGTAATGTGCTAGGTGTTGTGTTAAATATACAAGGAGGAGCCTTTAAGAAAAGGGTGTAGTCTTGTTTGCAACTCCTTCGTCTTGGAATTTATTTTTCATGGCAATTTGGAAATTTTAGTTTTCAGCACCTTTCTGATTTCCGTGGTCTCTTAAACTAAATAGAAAATTCTGCGAAGAGTAACATAACTCTGTGATTGCTTGAGACCCTTAGCAGGCTGACAGGGTCCTGGCATTCAAACTCCATGAGACAGTGAAGTGCAAGCACGGTGAACACTCAGCACCGAGGTTAGTGTGCAAAGCCCAAAGCAAGGGTTTCTGTTTTCTTAGGCTAGTAGTTCTCTAACTTTGAGCATATCATATTTTAAAAAGCTGATGCTCAGACTACCCCAGACCAATAAAATTAGATGCTCTGAAGATGGGAAACAGGCATTGGTAGTTTTTAAACTTTCCCCAGTGATTCCAATGTGAAGTCAAGTTTGAGAACCAAACTGTTACTTCTCAAGCTTTAATATCATAAAAATCACCTGAAGATCTTACTAAAATGCAGATTCTAATGAAGTAGGGATGGGGCCCGGGTGTCTGCATTTCTAAAAGCTCCCAAGAGGTGTTTAATTTACTAGTCCACAGATCACACTGGATTAGCAAAGTCCCAGAAAATCTGGGTAGGATTCCAAGACCTCCAATCAGGGGTAAAGTCAAGATGAAGGGTGTCTACATGCAGGAGATTCTGTGCTTTTGCTCCCCGACTTCTGTTTCAGCCTCTTCCTGTGTGCTTTCCTGTATTGCAGAGGCAAGGAGCCTAAAAACATTTCCCCTTGCATGTAGGGCTCTGAATCTCATTCTCATTCCACTAATCCTAAGCACGTATGTGACATTTGAATTCAGAACTGAGTTAAGTGGGAAAGGCGGCAAAATTAGAAGTGCTAGCACTGGCTGGAATGGGAGGAGGGCTGTGTGACAGCCCCCCAGTGGAGCAGAGCCCCTGGCCACCTATTTGATTAATTCAAATTTGGGAGTTGTTTCTGAATGCTCCATCTAGACTCTATGTCTTTAAACCTTCCAACAATGCTGTAAGCTTTTAAATACCCTGAATTAAATACTTTCTGCATAAGCTAGTGATACGGTTTGGATGTTTCCTCCAAATCTCATGTCGAAATGTAATCTCCCAGTGTTGGAGGTGGGCCTAGTGGGAGTTGTTTGGGTCATGTGGATGGATCCCTCATCCCTTTAGTGATGAGTGAGCTCTCATTCTATTAGTTCACATGAGAGCTAGTTGTTTAAAAGAGGCTGGCACCTCCCTGCTCTCTTGCTCCCTCTTGCCATGTGATGTGCTGGCTCCCCTTTTGTTTTCCACCATGATTGTAAGCTTCCTGAGGCCTCAGCAGAAGCTGAGTAGATGCTGGCACCATGCTCGTATGGCCTGCAGAACCGTGAGTCAAATAAACTTCTTTTCTTTATAAATTACCCAGTCTCGAATATTCATTTATACAGCTAGTTAATACAGGACTAATATAGCTAGTTAGAGTGGATTCTGTTTTCTGAAGCTTCTTGACCAATACACCAGGTGTCATAACAAGAGATAGCAAACCAGTAACATTGAATAAGTCAAAAGTAACATCTGGAATAAAGGTAAAACTGAGGTCAAAATAGAAGTAGCTTACAAGGAGAAAAGTAGCAGAGGAATTCTTATGGACATGCATGACAATATCTAGGGGTTGTTTGTTTGTTTGTTTGTTTGTTTTCAGATGGAGTTTCACTCTTGTTGACCAGGTTGGAGTGCAATGGCACGATCTCAGCTCACCGCAAACCACCTGCTGGGTTCAAGTGATTCTCCTGCCTCAGCCTCCTGAGTAGCTAGGATTACAGGCATGTGCCACCATGCTCGGCTAATTTTGTATTTTTAGTAGAGATGGGGTTTCTCCATGTTGGTCAAGCTGGTCTCGAACTCCTGACCTCAGGTGATCTGCCCGGCTTGGCCTCCCAAAGTGCTGGGATTACAGGTGTGAGCCACTGCGGCTAGAGTTTTTTAAAGAATGTGGAACTCTCCCTATATGAGAAAGTCCTCATCTTTTATTTTGCTTAGTTTTATTTTATATTAGACTGTCTTTTACTAAGACCTTGGGGCTGGCATCCAACCCCTAAGAACTACTGAAGTTATTAAATATGTCTTTGGGGGATCCTGAAAGAACACCTTTCTGGAAGGGTTGGGAGATCCAGGGCTGATACTGAAGAATGAAGAGTTGAGAGGTGAAGAAGGGAAGCTTCCTGAGTGGTATTATTTTCCTAGAATCTCATATAAATGGGGGTCTCCTGAGTTTGGAGTCAAGCCTTACCTTTTAGGCAAGCTACCTTCTTTTTTATAACTCTGTGGTCCCTTAGGTTGGGATTCAAGGGACCAGAGTTATCAGGATATGAAGTTTGGAGAGGGAAAAGGCTTTGGAAAACCCACAGGATCACCAAGCTTTTGGCTATGGGCTGAATAAACAATATATCTCACACATACATATGACAATCAATCTAATGAATCTAGAAATAGCATGATTAATAAAATGCAAATATGTTTTAAATCATTGGGGAACTTATTAATTTTTCATTATGAGTTTTATTAGTCAACAAATACTAGAAGAACAATTACTAGGCCGGGTGCAGTGGCTTACGCCTGTAATCCCAGCACTTTTGGAGGCCAAGGTGGGTGGATCACTTGAGGTCAGGAGTCTGAGACCAGCCTGGCCAATATGGTGAAACCCCATGTCTACTAAAAATACAAAAATTAGCTGAGCATGGTGGTGCATACCTGTAATCCCAGCTACTCAGGAGCCTGAGGCAGGAGAATCGCTTGAACCCAGGAGGTAGAGGTTGCAGTGAGCCAAGATCGTGCCATTGCACTCCAGTCTGGACGACAGAGTGAGACAACAACAACAACAAACCAATTACTAACAAGTAGATATTGGCAAGTTTTTTTTTTTTTACATAAATGAATAAAGCGTCCTCATAACTAAGTATCGGGTATGATTGTCCAGTCCTTCTTGAAGTTGGG
The DNA here is from genome assembly GCF_000001405.40 of Homo sapiens. Lineage (NCBI taxonomy): Eukaryota > Metazoa > Chordata > Mammalia > Primates > Hominidae > Homo > Homo sapiens. Next base: position 88,665,729 of record NC_000002.12, read on the forward strand.
TTTGCATGTTTCAGCTGTGATATAAGGTGTAGGAAGGAGAGCTTGTTCACAGCTGGGCAAGCAGGAACTAGACCAAAGGGTCTGAGCAAAGGTGCAACCTCATGGCCCACATGCCCCCACGTCACATGGAGATCCTTTGGTCTAGTGTCCAGTTTGGAGGACCTGGGCTTTGTTCTTATTAAGAAGGCTCCATTGAGTCTCTGACTCAGGATTATGAGAGGAGAAAATAAATTCTCACTTGGAAGCAGTCCATGATAGCAGCATAAAGGTAAAAAACAGAAAGTCCTGGACTAGGATATAGTCATTGACTTATACAACAATCATTTGGTATTTATTATGTGCCAAGCAGAGTGCTAGGTTCCAGAGATGTTTGACATCATCCTTTGGCCCTCAAAAAGCTCACAGGTGAGTGGGAAGGGAGAGACATATAAATATATTGGTGATCAAATTTAATGGCAGAAATATCATGATGGGGTGTTATCAATTGGGAACATGTTGGAAGTGACAGTGGCCTATAAATCAAAAGGAAGATTCAATAATTTATCCACTATCTTTTACACAAACTTTATGTCAGGCTAACCTCCACCTCCCAGGTTCAAATGATTCTCGTGCCTCAGCTACTCAAGTAGCTGGGATTACAGGTGTGTGCCACCATGCCCTGCTAATTTTTGTATTTTTAGTAGAGACAGGGTTCACTATGTTGGCCAGACTGGTCTCAAACTCCTGGCCTCAAGTGACTCGCCTACCTCGGCCTCCCAAAGTGCTGGTATTACAGGCATGAGCCATGGTGCCTGGCCAGAAGTCTTATCTTTATAGACCTAAGTATCACAGGTAAGATAACCTTACCCCAGTGAGGATGGAGGAAAGAATGACTCTGTCCAACAATACCTTGTGATTAGTCCAGTCCAGATCTAGGTTCTCCAAAGGTGGTTGGGTGGCAGCCCTCCTGCCCTCCCCAACTGCTGCTCCTCTCAGGGGCCCTCATTCTCAGGTGCTGTCAATAGCAGAGGTATGAGTCATGCTCACGGGATGCCTGTGTCTGTTCCCACCCTGGTCCCTGCCAGATCAAACATACTAGCCACAGATGCAGTTGGCCATGAGTCTTGCTTACCTTGGAACCTTGGCCCAGTCTCCGCAGCAAATCCATTGTTAAGGTACAGGCTGTGCGTGGACACACTCACTGGACCCCATGCTGAGGGCTTATTGCCTCCTCGGCCTCACTGTCCCTGAATTCCCACACTCCTAGCACTCCTACCAGACATCACCCAGGAGAGCCTCTTGGCGCAGGTGAATCACTTTTCCTCAATCACCCTAACTCATTCCAAGCATTTATTTGGTGGCAGCTCTTAACCAAGCTTAACTCAGCACTCTTTATAGCAGAAAGCAGAGCTGTGTGGTTCACAAACTTCTTGGCCTTGGAGGGGTGGAGTATTGAAGACCAACAATGTGTATAGTTGAGTGTTTTTATTAACACGAGCTGACCAGTTCATCTCCTCTTTCCTCTCACCCACAAGTTTCATTCCTGAATCAATGACTATGTCCAATCCAAGGGTAAAATGGGGTGCCCAGAAGAGCAGGTGGTATGATCATTTGAGGACCTGCTGAAGATCTCTCTCTATTTATCTATCTATCTACCTCTCTCTCTCAGAGATCTTGCCTTTGCCACCAGAATTCTCACTAATGCCCCCTACCTGGGGCAGCCGGTGTCACCATTTTTACTCTTCTTTAAAACTTGACACCCCAATAGCCTGGCATGTCAGGATGTGCCCATGCTGCTGCTAGAGGAGGCTGGCTGATCTCGCATTCACATTCCTATTCATTTCAAGAATGATAGTAGATGCATTCTGAGATCCTGCAAGACACTTCCAATAGTCTTCTACTCAGCTCCAGCATCAGATGGATGGAAGAGGAAAACTAGTGGGATGAGGCAGTGAGTGTGTATTGCAGGGCATTTCAGGATGAAGAGCACTAAAGAGTGCTCATTCTTTTACAGTTTCTCTCATTTTTTGACCACATCTCCTTACTACTCTCTCATCTCTCCCTCTTCTGCATGCTTTCAGGGTAAAGACATATAGACAGTAGTGTCCAAGGAGCTTCGTGGCTGTCTCTGGGGAGTCATCCCTTGCTCTTGGTGAGGCCTAATGCTGGGTGACTGAGCTGCTTCTTGGCTCTAAAGCAGGGTGTGGGAAACTGGGGTGAGATTCTGGTTGGGTAGCTGTTCTTAGTGGCAGCCTTCTTTCCTTGTTGATACTTATGAGGTTCAGGACACGCTACTACAAAATGTGGCACCTTGGCATTTGAGAAAACAGTAAAAGCAAGAAGCCCACTCTTACTTTCCCCTCACCTCTTATCCTCTGAAGCAGATCAGGAAACTAAGCTGAGCTTCTCCTGAAGCAGGTCCTAACATCCCCATGTGAGAGGTGCCCATCCTACACTTGGAGAAAAGGAATGTTACACAGGAGAGCCAAGAAGAATCTGAACAAACTAACCTTGCTAAGTTTTCCCTCAGTTTGTTACTATCAGCTCATACACTTTGGTTCTCTAATCATACTTCTGCATGGCTGTTCATAAAAATACAGTTGTCTTCATTTCTTTGCATCTTCATTTCTGAAGGCTCTCATACAAAACTTATATGAAATACACTTGTATGCTTTTCTCCTGTTAATCTGTCTTTTGTCATGGGAGGATCAGTCATGAACCTTGTGATGGGTGAGGAAAAGCTGTTACCTTCTCTCCCCTACAGCAGCATGTCCTCTCAGATGATGGCGCAGGGGTTCTCACCAGTCTGATACCATGAGTTTGATTCCAACAGTGGGTGCCTCTTGAATGGTTTACCTGTCCCCACATTAGCCCCATGGGATCTTTTTACAACATAAACTTGATCATGTCCTTCCCTCTCTTAAGATCTCCAGTGGCTTCTCTTCACTAAGAACAAAATCCAAACTCCTTACCAAGACCCACAAGACCTTCCATGGACCAGTTGCTGCCTGCCCTGACAAATTCACCTCCTACCCTTCTTCTCCTTCTCGTTCTGCTCTAGCCACACTCCACACTGAGCATTTTTTTGGTTCCACCAACATCTTACATTTCTTCCCATTGCATGGCCTTGGCACTTGCTACTTCTGTTTGCAATGCCTTCCCCTACAGAACTTTGGATATCTGTCTCCTTCCCTTCCTTCAGGGCTCAGCTCAAATGTCACTTCCTCAGAGTAGCCTTCTGATGACCCAAACTAAAGCCCCCCCACCCCAATGTATTCTCCACTTTATCACCAGAGTTTTCCAGGCTTTACTGACTCATATTTGCTCTGGATGCTGTCCCAAGATTCAAAGGGCAGCGTTAGGTCTGCCTGATGGTTAGACATGGTGTCCTGATTGGCAGGCCCCATGACAAGACAGGTTTAGTGAAAGGACAGGACAAGATCATTCTGAAATCCACTCCCATTTCTCCTTCTGATACTCCTTGGACTGGGAGAAAAAGAGAGGCTATCTTTCGGTAGAGTGACCAACTGTCCCAGATTCCCAAGGTTTTATAGGATATGGGGTTTTCAAATAAAAAACTGGGAAAGTCTCAGGAAAACTAGGACAAGTTGGTTACCCTATGATCTGAGATCTTTTGAGGAAGTTCAACAGTGAAAAACCAATTGAATCACCTTTGACCATTCAATTTAATTCTCTTTAGCTTTGTCTAAGTCATAGAAGTTGGATACCAAAGAAAAACAAATACTTTTTGCAATACCTTGGATGACATTATGTAGGAGGATTTGTTAGAAGAATACCTTGCAAGACACACACACACACACACACCCTAAAGGCAAAAGTGACGCACATACTGAACATTTAATATGGTTTTGACTCCAAATCCTTTGTACAGCACCTGTTGTCTGAGCTTGATAAAGATTTGATAAACTGTTGAGCTGAGTTTAGCTGAGTATATTATGAGATCACTTTTAAAGCTTCAGGGCCAGAAAATCTGAAGAAATTGGGCTGTTCCAGAAATTCCTCACAGCAGGAAACAGAAAGACTTCATAATCTAAGTATAGGTGGTTACCATTACCTCTGTTGACCAAATTGATCGGCCAATAGGGAGGATGGTCTGCCACCTGATGGTAACTCATAACATTGCTCCCTGGTAAAGCACAATTCCTGTGTTGGGTGAATTAATTGGGCATAGAATTATAAGAGCTGGAGGCGCCTTAGATTTTGACTGTATTTTTAACCACTAAAATAAATAAACTTCACAAATAATATTTTAAAATTGTTTGTGAATTATTGTACATGAGAAATCTCACAATAGGGTGAGGTAAAGGGAAAAGAGAACTAAAATCTGCAGAATATTCATGGGAACTAGACGTCTACATAGATTTCTCCCACAACCTTGTAACATGGATAATATTATATAAATTTTACAGATGCTAACATGGATACTCAGAGAGGTTAAGGTGTTTCTCCGAGATTAAACAAGAAAATAAAGGGCACAGTTGATTCGACCTCAGTTCTTTCTGGCTCCAAAGTATGATCTCAGGCTGTTACACTGCATTTTGTCACATATTTAACAGATCACTTTATAACAAATAACTTTATTGCAGTATAGTTTACATGCAATATACCTGTATGTTTTAAACTTGCTATGTTGAGATAATTATACATTCACAGGAAGTTGCAAAAATGGTTACATCTTATATAACTAGAGTGTAATACCAAAACCTGACATTGATATTGGCACAGGATATATGTATAGTTCTATGCTATTTTATCACACGGGTAAATCCACGTAACCATCACTGTGATCAAGATACAGAACTGGGGCTGGGAGCTGTGGCTTACATCTGTAATCTCAGCACTTCAGGAAGCTGAGGTGGGTGGATCGCTTAAATTCAAGAGTTCGAGACCACCCTGGGCAACATGGCAAAACCCCCTCTCGACAAAAAATACAAAAATTAGTGCCTGTACTATGCGCCTGTAGTCCCAGCTACCTGGAAGGCTGAGGTGGTAGGATCCCCTGAGCCCAGGAGGTCGAGGTTGTCATGAGCCAAGATTACACCACTGTACCCCAGCCTGGGCAACAGAGCAAGACCCTGTCTCATAAATAAATAAATCTGTGATCCATTTTGAGTTAATTTTTGTATAAAGTGTGAGGTTTAAGTGGTTTTTAAAATTATTTATTTATTTATTTATTTTTGAGACAGAGTTTCGCCCTGTTGCCCAGGCTAGAGTGCAGTGGCGCAGTCACTGCTCAATGCAGCCTTGATCTTGACCTCCTGACCTCAAATGATCTGCCCACCTCAGCTTCCCAAAGTGCTGGAATTATAGGCATGAGCCACCGCACCCAACCTTTTGTTTTGTTTAGTTTTGCCTGTACTTATCAATGGCAAGCTGAATAATGTCTATGTCCTAATATCTGGAACCCGCGAATGTTACCTTATATGGCAAAGGGGCCTTTGCTGGTGTGATTAACTTTAAGGTTCTTGAGATGGAGAAGTGATCCTGGATTATCCATGTGGGCTGGGTGTCATCATAAGGACACTTGTGAGAGGGAACCAGGAGATCAGAGTGAGTAGAAGATGTGACCGCGGAACCAAGATGTTGGAGTGATGCAGAGAAAGAGCCATGAGCCAAGAAATGTAGGCAACCTCTACCAGTCTGTGACCAAGAGAGGACTAAAAATTGGTTCTTCTAACTCAATTCTTTATTTTCCATTATCTATTATACCATGCACTTTTATACCATTATACTATACAACCATTAAATCGTATCTTAATAAACTGTAAGCAATTATACAATTTCTGGGTTGTACTGGGATTTTATTTTATTTATTTATTATTATTTTTTGAAATGGAGTCTCACTCTGTTGCCCAGGCTGGAGTGCAGTGGCATGATCTCGGCTCATTGCAACCTTTGCCTCCTGTGTTCAAGTGATTCTCATCCCCCAGCCTCCTGAGCAGCTGGGATCACAGGTATGTACCACCACAGCTGGGTAATTTTCGTATTAATATTAAATATTTTTAGTGGAGACGGGGTTTCACCATGTTGGCCAGGCTGGTCTTGAGCTTACGGTCTCAAGCGATCCGCCTGCCTTCGCTTCCCAAAGTGCTGGGATTACAGGCGTGAGCCATCACGCTGTACTGGGATTTTTAACATGATGATTTTATCTATTCGTCATCTATCCATCCATGCATGCATCCATCCAGTAACCTCATACTGGTGCCAGTGTAAAGCCCTGAGGATACAGACGTAAAAAATAATAGATGCAGGCTCTGCACGCAAGGAGCTTGCCCTCTAGTGGGCAAAAATAGGCATAGCAATTATTTCTTTTTCCACCTCGTACCCTGGTGCAGCAATTACATACATATATACATATATATTTGTCTGCCTTAGAAGATGGCTTAGCCAGATGAAGATGAAGACTGGGAGGATGAGGGGTTATAGTGAGGACATTCTGTGCGGAGGCACTGGTTCTTGCAAAGGCATGAAGACATAATAAAACATGGTACGTACAGAAACTTTGAGTGGCTGGCTATAATTGGAGTTTAGGTGGTAAAAGGGGGCTGGTGGAGGAGGATGCTGCTGAGGGAAAAAGAGGTCAGCTCATGGAAAAGCCCCTGCATGCCTTGTTAAGAAGCTTGGACTTTAACCTTAAAACAGTGAGATGCATTGTAAGATTAAACAAGGATAACATGATCAGATTTTTTTTTAAAAAATCGCTCTGATGGCTGAAGAAGGACATTGAAATTGGAGGAAAGGAGAAAAATTATGAAGATGTAGTAATAATCTAGAATTGATGGCTGGGTGCAGTGGCTCACGCCTGTAATCCCAGCACTTTGGGAGGCCGAGGTGGGTGGATCCCTTGAGGTCATGAGTTCAAGACCAGCCTGGCCAACATGGTGAAACCCTGTCTCTACTAAAAATACAAAAATTAGGCAGGCATGGGGGTGGTGCGTGTCTGTAATCCCAGCTACTTGGGAGGCTGAGGCAGGAGAATCGCTTGAACCCAGGAGGCAGAGGTTGCAGTGAGCCGAGATTGTGCCACTGCACTCCAGCCTGGGCGACAGAGTGAGACTTCACCTCAAAAAAAAAAAAAAAAAAAAAAGAAAAGAAAAAAGAAAAATGAATTGATAAATGCCTGCACTGAGCAGCTGGAGTTGGACATAAATACAAGGGCTGGGTCTGAGGGTTATAAAGGAGGTAGATTGTGTAGGTAGAATGTGATTAATGGAATATAGTGAAAGAGAGGACTATTCCTAGAACCCTGGCTTGGAATTTGTACATTCATTCACTGCAAACAGTTTTTGCTTGTTCGTTACCTAAATCTATCATCTTCAAAGAAATACAGATATTTCCAAGGAATTGATGTAGTTTGGGATAAACTTTAACTAGAATAACATCATAAATCAGCTTTCATTTGTTTACTGTAAAATACCAGCTGAGGCAGGAGGATCCCTTCCACCCAGGAGTTTGAGGCCAGTCTGGGCAACACAGTGAGATCTTGTCTCAAAAAAAAAAAGTCTTTTTAATTAAAAAAAAGGATTATCTTGCTCAAAATGTCCGTACTGCTGAGTTTGTGAAATCCTCTAATAGCTTCCTGCAGCTTTGAAGAGATAGGTACATGGGAATCTTGAAGTTGGCATTGTAGGGAAAATTTCATACTTCAGTAGAAAACTTTGCCTTATCTGAACTGTGCAGGACAGCCTTCCAGGTTATCTGATTCCATGAAAGCTATTTTTCAGTTTTGTAAATTATGAACAAATAACAGCAATATGAAATAATTTTTATCTAAAGACGTGCAACATCTGCTTTGTATGGCAGAGGTTCAGTTGAATTCCTTGTCTTATTGTGGAGTGATATGGTTTGGCTCTCTGTCCCCACCCAAATCTCATCTCAAATTGTAATCCCCACATGTCAAGGGAAGGACCTGATGGGAGGTGATTGGATCATGGGGGAGGTTCCCCCATGCTGTTCTCATGAGAGTGAGTGAGTTCTCACAAGAGCTGATGATGTTAAAGTGTGGCACTTCCTTGGTCTTTCTCTCTCCTGCCACCTTGTGAGGAAGGTACTTGCTTCTCCTTTGCCTTCCATGTGAATGTAAGTTTCCTGAGGCCTCCCCAGCCATGTGGAACAGTGAGTCAATTAAATCTCTTTTCTTTATAAGTTGCCTAGTCTCAGGTAGTATTTTTATAGCAGTGTGGAAACAGACTAATACAGGGAGCAAGCTTGCTTTGTTTCCCCAATTGGCACATTCATTTCAACATTTCTTTACTCCATATAATTTGTGATTTTTTAGAACTTCTTTAAACTAGTTGAAACACCTCACCAGATTCCTTATTAATGAGTTCAATAAAGTATTAACATGTGTTTATTTTTTATCTGTATGAGAGTTATATTTTGTCTTAAAGAAATTCTCTTTCAATAGCATTATCCACCATTGAGGTAGTGAGGGAACAGAATCATTTCCACTGGAAGGTGCCTGGGCCATGGCAACTGAGGCACGGAACTGAATGTGAGCTTTAAAATCGGCTGCATTTGTCTCTGTGGCCCCCTGCTGTATTCCTGGAAGCTGGAGCTGCACCCAGCATGTAGTAAGTGCTCCACAAATGTTTGTTGAATGAATAGATGAGGCAACTGAATGAAAACCTTCTGCTTAGGCTGTGTAGATTGAGGAGGAAAAGAGAGAGAGAGAGAGAGAGAAGACATTGTTCTCTATGGGAACAAGGAAGGGGAGATTTCCTTAAGGAGAGGGAACAATGGACTTTATAACGGGCAGAAACTTGTGTTCAGCTTCCAAGGGCCAGCATACCTGGGGCCCTTCCCCTACTGGTGGCTGTATCATTTGTTATCTAGAGCATATCACATGAGCCAGCCTGGGCAGTTGAGCATATTTAGAAGAACAGATAGTTTTTAGAAGAAAAATGAGGATTACAGAATTGTCTTGAGATAATTATCCTTGGCTACAAGGATCAATAACAACAATGAGGTGGGACAGACAGTTGCTGGGCACACACACACAAAATACTTCTGTGAAAGTTTGCAATGGCCCTTTTGCAAAGTTGTGCTTTTTTCAGGGTTATTTTGTGAGAGTTCTTGTTATCTGGCATTTGTATGTGAGAACCCTCCTTTCGCGGCCTTCCCTGGCTCCATTTCTCAGGGTTTTTAACACAAGTGACTCTATTTTGATTCTGACAACTTTTACAGTGACAGAAAATAACTGGAATCGAACTGCTATTGAAGATGGCAGCAGGAGCAATAAAGGACATAGAGTACAGCCTTTTTTTTTTTTGAGCTGGAGTCTCGCTCTATTGCCCAGGCTGGAGTGCAGTGGCAAGATCTCAGCTCACTGCAACCTCTGACTCCCGGGTTCAAGCAATTCTCCTGCCTCAGCCTCTTGAGTAGCTGGGAGTACAGACATTTGCCACCATGCCTGGCTAATAGTAGAGCCTCATTTTAACCAGGGTTTAAGTTCTAATTTCAGTGCAGATAATGAAATTCAACTATCAGGAAAATTAATATTGAAAATTCCCCTGAAAATAGCATGCTGGAGAGTCCTGTTGAGCCCCTCCTTAGGTCCACAGCAGCCAGTTTTTCTTCCAGGTACTAACACACTGCCAGCACCAAGTGAAGTTGTTGGCTCATGCATTAGGGATCAGGTTGAACATGAGACTCACATTTGGGGCCTCAAAATGTTCAAACTGAGTCTCATGGGAATTGAAGCTGGCTGAGAGCATTAAAAGGAATGATGGTGGGATCTCCTACACTCTATCATTTTTTTTCTTTCTTGCAGGGAATAGCCATTGTTACACTTGTATTAGTCTTTTAAGTTTTTTAAAGTTTACTGTATACATTTTTATTCCTGGGTAATATTCAGCAGAATGGGCTGTGGGAACCCCATCTGGAGTCCTGCAGAATTTGCAGAATTATGTCACAGGTAAGGAGTCAGTGATGAATTCTTCTGACTGGGGAAAGCAGGATCCCCTATAGCTCAGAGATGGGACTTAGGGTACACTCTGCCTTTACATCTCACCCTATGCTTTATCCTCTGTAAATATGGGTTAAATGGAATGATCTATCAGAAACAGTTGTGTAAAATGTTAATGTTGGAAGAGACCGTAGAGATAATTTACTTCAACTTTCATTCCCCCATACCCCACTCCCCACCACCCTTGAACTCTATGTTTGTATGAGTTCAACTCTCATTTAATAGGAGGAAGGTGAGGTTTAGAGAGATGAAGGGCTTTCACTAAGGTCACAAAGCCAGTCAGTAGCTGTGCTGAAAATAAAAACATCTAGGTCCTCTCTCTTTCTCAGACTTCATTTGTTATTCCTTTTACAACCTAAACCACCCTGAAGTACCTCCACCATGTTCTGTGCTCTAACTAAACATATTATAATAATCAACTGAGATGGTTAATAAAAAGTTCCTCGACCACTTGGCTTCCTTATTCTCCCTGATATTTTCCAAAAGTTAAAAACAGACTGTCCTGAGGCAATAGCATTTACAAAGACTCTATCCTTTGACCAAAACTTTATTGAGGCTCCTAGAGTCCTTTTTGACTAGGTTTGACCTTGGGCTTTTTCCTCTGTGCTTATAGAATCCAGTTTGAGCAAGAAACTTTCCAAGTCAGTTTAGCAAAACTATGCACCCTTGGTATCTGACCAGCCTCAATATCTTATCACCCTAGCCTGCCTTCAGCAATAATCCTATCAAGTCAGTTTAGCCAGAAACCCTTATCCTTGATGTTTCCCCTTAGTAATTTTCTATCCACTGGCTCCCACCCTGCTCCTTTTTTTTTTTTTTTTTTTTTAGAGACAGGGTCTCACTGTCACCCAGGCTGGAGTGCAGTGGCTTGATCATAGCTCACTGCAGCCTCAACCTCCTGGGCTCAAGTGATCCTCTCACCTCAGCCTCCTGAGAAGCTGGGACTACAGGTATGCTCCATCATGCCGGGCTAATTTTTTATTTTTTTGTAGAGACAGCATCTCACTGTGTTGCCCAGGATAGTCTTGAACTCCTCGGTTCAAGGGATCCTCCTGCTTTGGCCTTCCAAAGTGCTGGGATTACAAGCATGAGCCACTATGCTCGGGCCCTGCTCCTTGATTATAAATCCCTGCTTGTCCTTTTTGGAGTTGGAATTGAGTCCAGTCTCCCTCTCCCACTGCAAGACCCATTTGCAGTGGTCCCTATACCTATCACCATGGCTCCTCTTGAAAAAGTCTGCCTTACCATTCTTCACAAGTGGCATGAGTAATTTTTTTCCTTAACAGCATTAAATGTTTAGACACTTAGCCTTATTGCTAACAAACGTTTGGTCATTAAAAAAATGTACAAAGTCATGGTGGGAAGTTGACATAAAAATTGAAGGCTGAGAGAGCCTGAACTTTCTAAACAACATAAGAAAAACATCCTGAGAGAGCTAGCAATTTGTTTTGCTTTTATCCTCCCTGAAATAATAAAAACAATTTTCATTTCCTGAATCTTCCTTTTCCATGAGTAGTACTATATGTCAGTCCATATCTAAATGGCAATCAAGACTTGCCCTGCTTTTCTAGTGAAGAGAACAAAGATAGCTGACCTCAGGTCTGTTCCTCTCTAACTTGCACCTGCCTTTGTGTGATGTTGCCCTAGGCCCAGTGGCCTTAGCAACTCCTTCCCTATAAGCTCTCACTGGGCGTGACGTTGGGGAGACCAGCAAGAAAATAGTTGCTGTAAAAGATATCAGAAACACTGTATAGAGCACCCAATAGATTCAATGGTGTGCTTTATAAATGGCAAACTGTTCCAGAAATGCAGAAGGAGAAGCATGTTGGATGGAGTTATCTCGGTCCAGTTTTTAAAATCATAGTTTCTTGGTAGGATTATTAAATGTGAAATTGCTTGTGAGCTAGAAAGAGCGAGAAATTCCAGGCTGACTGAGGTAGCACGAGGCTGAAGGTGGGGAGTTGGAGGATGAAAGAAAGGAGGTGTTAAGGGCTGGTACCCTGAGTTCATTCATTCTGCAAATGCTGGGATCCAGGTGAGTTTTCTGCTTATATTTTAGAATGGCAAAGTATAGGCAATAAACAAACAAACAAAAGATTACATAATGTCAGCCAGGCATGGTGGCTCACACCTGTAGTCCCAGCATTTTGGGAGGCTGAGGTGGGTGGATCGCTTGAGTTCAGAAGTTTGAGACCAGCCTAGGCATCATGGTAAAGCTCCATCTCTACAAAGAAAATACAAAAATTAGCCAGGCATGGTGGTATGCACCTGTAGTGCCAACTACTAGGGAAGCTGAGGTGGAGGATCACTTGAGCCCAGGAGGTAGAGGCTGCAATGAGCCATGATTGTGCCACTACACTCCAGCCTTGGCAACAGAGTGAAACCATGTGTCAAAAATAAATAAATAAGTAAATAAATAAAAACATAATGTTGATTTAAAGCAAGAAGGTGAGGCACAAAATGTCATTTTAAAGAGCTTACTTGAGCCATGAGGAGGAGAGCTGCCCAGAAGACTCAGACCCAAGTAACCTTGGATGTGAGCTCCATCCAACCTTTGTTAACAGGCAGGTTTTTATAGACCTAAAGGAGGGATAAGGAGTGGACTGATAGGAAGTTGTTTGTCAAGGATTCTCATTGGTTTACAGAAATAATGTTGATTGGTGATTGCCTATATGTTGTTCTTTGTATGACAAGTTCCAGGAATATGAAGATAATGGGTGAGGGTTACATTATGAAACTACAGGAAAGGAAAGAAAAAACAAAATGCTTTTAAACAATTGCCTCTGGGAATGGGTGCAGGAGAAGATGGGAAGACTGAAGTCCCATACTCTCTGGGCCTGATACATTTTACATACCTCACATTCCTCAGAGAGCTCTAAGCTATTTTTCTTTCTTGATAACAAGATGATGACAGAGCACAATAGGATAATTTGATGGGAGTGAGGGGGAGATGGGAGGGCTGAGGATTGGGGCAGTGGTACTTTATTAGTAAATCAGGGAAGACCTCTGTGGCTAAACCTGAATAAGGTAAGGGAGCCAGCCTTGTGAAGGTTTTAAGGGCCCAGAGAAAGCTTCCCTTTCACCCTCTGAAGGGTCACTGAAAATCAACAGACACAAGACAGATTAATGGGAGAAAAGGAGTACAAATGTATTTGATCATCATTTTACACGACATGGGAGCCTTCAGAATGAAGACTCAAAAATACAGAGGAAACTGCCCATTTTTATGCTTAGGTTCAAGAACTATGGATAGCCATGTAGAAATATGATCGTACATAAAGGTTATGATCTAATGCTAACAGACTGAGTGGGGAAACCCAGCAAGGCCTGTCTGCTTAGATGACTCTTGGTCTCTCTGTGGAGCATTCCTTCCTTCTGGGTATGGGGCAGGAACCTCTCTGGAATGGTTATCCCTAACATGGTAGGTCAGGTAATTTCTTTATGGCCAATTTTTCACACAGAAAGGTGGGGGAAAGTTGGAGTAATATTTTTAGGCTTTATGGCTTGCTTTTGGGGAAAGGGGTTCTGGTTTCTATGACCTGCCTTGGGGAAGAGGGATTCTAGTTTCTGTGACTATCCTGGGGGAGAATGAGCAGCCAGAGATTGGAGGGCAGGGGAAGGTCAGAGAAAACTTTTCTTCTGCAACCTTTATCTTGGTGTATCATTTTCGCAGACTCAACAAGGTCCATGGATGTGTGGTCCAGTCTTAGAAAGTGCCCCTCTGACTTTTCTACAGAATGTATATACTCAAGTGGCAGAATAGTCTGTTTTCTTCCTCTCACCTCCTCCTTGAGGTGGGATGCACATCCATTCCCTCTTTTCAGGGCTTGGTAACTGGTAAGTTAGGCTGATGCTCAAGACTGAACAGAGATGGAGCCCTTTGGCAACAGTGCAGGCATCAGGGCTAGAGCTGATTCCTCTGCCAGCGTGGAAAGGAATGATCTTTTTTGTGAATGTCTGCTCCTCACCCCTACCTCACCAAACTGGCAAAGCTTGGTTTCCTTCATCTTTCTCCTCTTCTGCCCATATGGATCTGAAGTTTCCTCCAGCTCCATCCAGAGAAAACAAATGGATGGAACTAAATGACAACACTGACAAACAGGTGAGCTCCAGAGAGTGCTTTGGCAAACAAGGAACAACCAATGTGGGTGGGGGTACTGAGAGCTAGGGAGTTCCTTGGGGGTAAGATAGGTCTGGAGAAGGTGATCACTTGGGAGTTCTGGGAATGGATGAAACAGATGAAACAAGCTGCACAAGATAGATGAGGTGTTATAGTGGGTAGCTAGTCAGGCATGAGCGGGGCAAGAGAGGGCTCCCCACAACCCCCACCAAAAATGTCAGGGGCTCATCAGGTGATGTTCAGGCAGTGCTGTTTCTCTAAAATAATTGGTTGCAGCCAATGCCAGGGAAAGGCAGTCTCCCAACAGACAGAAAAAACCTGAAACTGGTGATCAGCAGCTTCATGATAAGATATTAGGAGTTGGGCGACTGGGCTCAAGCATGCACATTGAGGCAAAATGGTGTAGTTGAACTGGTATATGACCTCCTAGGGACATCTGACTGGTAAGGGAAGAATTCCTCAAGTGAGCATGCCTACAACTCCAGTAACACACTGTGCATGCTCCCCTCCCAAGCGCTAGCAGGCCACCATACATGCAGACAGCCCACCCCAAGGGAAGAATCAGGGGAGAACGAACGCAAGACCCTGGAATTATGCAAACATATAAAACCCTAAGTCAAAAGGTCAAACCACGCACTGATATTTCAAGTCACCCACTTGGCCCTCTTCCAAGTGGACTTTCCTTCCCTTTGTAACTTCTCTAAAGCTTTTAAACAAACTTTCATTCCTGTTCCAAAACTTGCCTTGATCTCTCCTGCCTTCCATCTCCTCAGTCAAATTCTTCCTTCTGAGGAGGCAAGAACTGAGGTTGCTGTAGACCTGTATGAATTTGCCACTGCTAACATACTTTGGTGCTATATGACTCGGATAAGTTCCCTAGTAGTACAAGACCTATACACCTTGCCTGCTTCAGCTGGAGGCATTCAACCCGTCTACATGGTTTCCTCCTCCTTTTTGCTCTCTTGCTTACTAACCAACCCCACAAACAATTCCTCTCAGCTACAGTGGCTCTACTCCCCCCAGCTGATCTCTCAGCTTACCCTGATGGGTAGCTCACGGGAGTGGGAAGGACCTTGGGGTCCACACTGAGTAGAACTAATGGCCCTCCTGGGCAGGAGGCTCATGAAAGTGGTAGGGCTAAAGTCTAAAACTGTGCAATGTCTGGGTTTTCCTCTGCTTTTTCAACTAAAATCAGCTTTTCCCCAAGAACCTGCACTGCCTATTCTTCTATTTTCTCTGTGTGTTCTGAAATGGCCTTGAACACCCAGCCAGACAGTCTGCCTTGGGGGCAAGTCTGGCTCTTTGCTTTCACTTCACATGCCACATGACTTCTTAAACACACACTCCCTGTTATTCATGTGTCCGCGGCTCTTGCTGAATTTTCATGGCAGAAAAGACACAGGCTCCTTTGCAGATAGCCCCTGAGATTTATACTTGTTTTTATCCTACCAGCTCAGATGACCTCCAACCCTTCCCCTGTCTGCTGGCACATTGCTGGGACAGACACTAATTGGAACTGTAGCTCTGCCAGCTCCTTATAACTTACTATATGCTTTTTGTTCCTGTTACACCCCAGGGCCAAGTTTTCCAGTGGCTTTTGAAGCAATTTGTCTGCCTACATAGGACCTCACTCTGGCCCTTTAAGGATCCCACCTACTTGCCTACTTGCTTTTTTTTTTTTTTTTTTTTTTTTTTTTTTTTTTTTTTTAGTAAGCACCCACTGGGAGGAGGATAAATTCTTCCTTTGCCATTTGCGAGTTCTTACCCCAAGCCCCAAGTCCCCTGGAGTTTACTCCTTTATGTCAAGAGGGCAAATAAATGTTGCCCCCTTGAATCCAAGGGCTGCTGTTTTTGTGAGGATATGAAGGCTTTCCATGAGTATTCCTCTTGCTTCCTCCCACTTCCTCCTGTAGCTTCCATTTCTCTAACCACTTCCATGCCCTTATTAACATACATCAAGACCTTCAAGGTCATATTTGCAGGGAGGGAAGTCTAGCCCCTTGGGGCAGTTAACTGAAAAACAGGCTTCTCATCTACTTAAAGAACATGGAAATGGGAATATAAGAAAATAGATAATCATTTTGTTGCTAAATGCTGAAGTGAGAGTCACTATAGGGTCATGGAGACAAGGATATAGGCTGGCCCAAGGCAGCAGGTGCAAGAGACCCATTGGACAGAGATGAAGTTTAGCCCTAGGCTAACAGATTACCATTAGAACAGAGATGAAGGCAAGGTTAGGGGTACACAGTAAGACCAGTTCATTCCAGAACCTTAGGGACGAACAGAGGGCCCACTTTTCACTCCAGTATCTCTTCTGTTTTCAAGTGGGTAATTGTGATGAGATGGACCAAGGGTACATGGTAAGACTGGTTTATTCTGGAACCCTAAGGACAATGGAGGATGCCTCATTCAGAATAATAGGAAAGTGGAGGAAAAATTTTACCCCCCTTTTTCTCCTCTGTTTGCCTTTTGCAGATGGGTAATAGCATCTCCAAATTAAAGATCATGCTCCTTGGAGGCGCCCCCTCAAACTGGGAAAAGTCTGATTCCCCCAAACCTTAAAACAAAAAACTAGTTTTCCTTTGTAATACTATTTGGCTTAAGAATGAACTGGGAGGAAATTGCAAAAGTCAGCCTTAGAACTCAGTACCCCTGTGCAGGAGGTCCTCAGATTAGCCTCCTCAGTCTTTTATAACTGACAGCAGAATAAGGAGGACAAGGCTAAGAAAAAGGAGAAACACAGAGAAAGGAGGTGGGCTCAAGTACTGGCTGCTCTGCAAGCCCACCAACTCCCTCCAGGTTGCCCTAAGGGCACTCCTCCAGGTAACTGCCATTGGTGTGGGAAGCCAGGCCACTGGAAGGCAAAGTGCCCTAATGGGATAAATGGGAAAAAGCCTCTAATGGCTTGCCTCTCTGCCACAAGCTTGGCCACTGGAAATGAGACCGCCCTGACGGGCCAAAGGGCCCTTGGGACAGAATCCCAACCCCTGATAACCTTGAGCTGAAGGTGGTCTCTGCTCTAGTTGCCTTCCAAATCACACATCATCATCAACAGGACAAAGCTGAGGGCAACTCTGCAGGTGGCAAGTAAAATTATAAATTTCCCTTTTGGATTCAAGAGCTGCCTACTCTGTGCTAATATCTTTCTCTGAGAAACTCTCTTCCAAATCCTGTCAGGCAATAGGGGCAAATGGCACCCCCCTCCAAAAGAAAAGATTCACACCCCTTTATATTAGTTAAGGGACCAATTACTATTCTCCCACCAGTCCCTGGCAATGTCCTCTCACCTCTTTGGGGCAAAAATATACTTTCCAAAATGGGTGCTCACTCAATATTTATCCAGCCTCTGAATTCATCTTTCTCTCTGATAGTCCTATCTCTCCCCTCAAAATTAAGTAATTCTTTAACAAATAACTTTAACCGGTACAGTCCTACCTCAGGGGTTTAGAAATAGCCCACATTTATTCAGACAAGTTCTAGTGAAAATCTAACTGAGCAAACTCTTGAGCGGGGGATAACTTCTGCAGTAGGTAGATAACCCCCTTATCTGCTCCCCCTCCACAGGACTCACATAGCAACATGTGGTACAAACCTTAACTTTCTAAAAGAAGGAAAATGACTTTTGTCTAATTCAAAGGTTATAAAGGTAAAGTGGTATTTCTGGTAAGGAAGGCTATAAAGAAGAGATATTGTAGAACAAAAAAAAATCTTGTATGGTAAATTCTTGTCCTAAAGTAAAATGACTGGTGGTTTAAAAAGAGGGATGTTTAGGACAAGTAAAAAAGTCCAAGCATGTTGTAGGTGGTCTGTGTAAGTTGTTAAAAAAGATTTGTGAAAGGGAATTTATGAAAGAACTACTACACAATTTTAAAGGTTACTATGCCATCTAAATGCTTCACAAACTGCCACTATAGCTCTTAACAGTACAAATTCCCTGCTTTAAAGCTAGGTAAGGCCTGGGAACATACAGAGTTAGCCATGCCCCCTAGCTATGCTGAAAACAGTCAGACCTTATCTGGACTTCTGTCTGGTGTCCTAGGCTCCAAACCTAGCACATAATTAAAATCACTTACTCACCAGGTTTTTCACCAAAAGTAAAAATTGCTAAGACTTAATAGTGTAACATGTACTTGAGGCTATGGGAAACATAGTTTTACATGGAAGGTGTGTAAGGAAGGTAGAATGTGCTTTTGGGAAAAAGTTATAAGAACTCATGGGAATATGGATTTTTTTGCCTACTTTAGATGGTTAAAGGATTGTTTTAGAAGGCAGTTTATAATCAGCTATGGGAATCTAACAGGTGCTCTTAAATGCAGGTTTCTGATAACTTTGGATATTGTGACATTAGAATAGAGGAAAAATCTTTCAGGACCCTCATGGAGAGCTAAAATGTTTGTGAATATCAAGCAGAATAGGAGTTAACTACATGGACTGAACTAATAAAAAACTAGAACAATCCTCTTATTACTTTTTGCTTAAAACATGGCTGCTCCTTTGTTTTTCAAAGCCTAGAAAGCTTTTCTTTTGAGCCATTTACAATTTTTAACAAATGAGCAAAGTATACCCCTGTAAACAAAATTTGCAGCATATTTCTCTCTTCCAGATTCCCCAGAATTTGGAAACAATTTGTGAGTATTCTTAACTTATGGCAAGATAGTAATTTGCATAAGTGCAATAAGAATCTGTTTTCTTTTGCAATGACAAAATTGAAGCCACTGGTTATTTTACCAAGGCTTTAACTGTAATGGTGTGCTTTCCTTCAGGGAATCAAATTTGACTTATAGAGCCAATAAAAGCCCCCCCTAGGAAAACATACCTTATCTACACGGTCCCTGTACAGGGTTCCTGACCTGTGGTAAGTAAAGAATACCAGTTTCTGACAGGCCCAGGAGCCCCAGGTTATCTGGGGACCTCAAGAGGAAAGGAATTTATTCAATTCATACAGGTATTTGATGGCACCAACCCATGGCTGGGCTTAAGGCTTTAAAAACGTCTTATCTGAGATTCCTTATGGAACAAAGTTGCATCAAAGCCAATTTAAAAAGGAGCCTATAAGGGAAATAATTATTCTTGCTGTGCTTTGTGCAAATAATTAGGCCAAGTATAAGAAGACTAAAGTTTATTTTGCAAACAAATCTGTCCTGTCATGATTTGTTTTTAATAAAAATGAGGACTGGAGAGAAAAATTCTATTTATTTCTTATTTTTTTTCTTTTTTCTTTTTTTTTTTTGAGATGGAGTCTCTCACTCTATTGCCCAGGCTGGAGTGCAGAAGCATGATCTCGACTCCCTGCAACCTCTTTCACCTGGGTTCAAGCGATTCTCCTGCCATGGCCTTCTGAGTAGCTGGGATTACAGGCACCCACCACCACGCCCAGCTCATTTTTGTATTTTTAGTAGAGATGGGGTTTCACCATGTTGGCCAGGCTGGTCTCAAACTCCTGAACTCAAGTGATCTGCCCACCTTGGCCTCCCAAAGTGCTGGGATTACAGGCATGAGCCACCATGTCTGGAAAATTATGTTTCAAGAACTATGGTATACCTGTTCTTAGATTCTAGTCTCATCAGCTGTTTTTGAATTTTTCTCTGCAATTTAGACTAACCCTTATTCCTGTGAACCAGCTAGTGATCTCTGGCTGCAGCTCAGAAGAAACAAAAGGGATGGGTAACATACAAATCTGGATCAATATTCTAATTCTGGGCACATACTGGAACTGGCTAGCAACCCAATAAACCCAAGTCTTGGCAGGCATGACTATGGCCACCAGTTACATGGGTGTGCCGGCAGGCTTGGGGTTTTTTGGAGCTGTCCTCACCTCCTTATTTCATTTTAACATTCTACTAAATCTAATAACTCAATTTGTCTATTTTCATCTTCAGGCCATCAAGCTCCAGATAATCCTGAGAGAGGGATACCATCCTCTCAATATTCAAGAGTCACCCTCTTACAGGGGACCCCTAGATGTCCATCAGGGATACATGATGGAGATAAAATTCTGCCCCTGCCTCCCTTGGACCTGGCTGGATAGTGCTCTCATCAACCCATGGAGCCACTCTCCTTCTCTGACAGCTAGCAACAGGCCAAGACCCACAGAACAACCACCACTGCCCCACCATCAGCAGGAGGGATTTACAGAAGACTGATCATCCATTTTTCCCAAAGAATTGGGGTCTTGGAATCTTGAGGGGAGAAATGCTACAGTGGGTAGCTAGTCGGTCATGAACAGGGCAGGAGAGCACTTGCCCAAACCCCTAAAAGGAATGTCAGGTGACCATCAGGTGATGGTCAGGCAGCTGTTAATTGCCTCTCTAAAATAATAATTGTTTGCTGCCAGTGCCAGGGAAAGGAAGTCTCCCAACAGATAGAAAAAACCTGAAACTGGTAATCAACAGCTTCCCAATAAGATCTCAGGAGTTGCACTAGTGGGCTCAAGCATGTGCATTAAGAGACAAAATGGCAGAGCTGAACTGGTATCTGGCCTCCTAGGGACATTCAACTGGTAAGGGAAGAACGCCTCAAGTGAGCATGTGTACAACTCCGGTAAACACACCATGCATGCTCCCCTTGCAAGGGCTAGCAGGCAACTGCACATACAGACAGCCCACCCCAAAGGAAGAATGAGGGGAGAATAAAATGCAAGCCCTGGAAGTTTGTTAACATATAAAAACCTAAGTCAAAAGGTCAAACCACTCGTCTTTCAAGTCACCTGCTTGGCCCTCTTCCAAGTGGACTTTCCTTCCTTTTGTTCTTTCTCTAAAGCTTTTAAACAAACTTTTATTCCTGTTCTAAAACTTGCATTGGTCTTTCCTATTGCCTAATGCCTCCTTGGTTGAATTCTTTCTTCTGAGGAGGCAAGAATTGAGGTTGCTGCAGACCTGTATGGATTCGCTACTGCTAACAGAACCTCCCATGTAGTCTCACCTGAAGATTCTTTAAGGCAGTTTCTCAATATCAGCACTATTGACCTTTGGTTGGGAAAATTCTTTGTGTATGTGGCTGTCTGTGCACTGAAGGATGTTTAGCAGTATCCTTGGCCCCAACCTATTAGACGCCAGTAGAATTCTCCCAATTGTGACAATAAAAAATGTGTCCAGACATTGTCAAATATCCCCATGAGGGGAGGGGCAAAAATCATTCCAAGTTGACAATCACTGGTGTAAAGATATCAAAAGTCAGGTGATCCTTAAGCAAGGAATGGTTTTATACAGCAGTAAGGGGTTGTTCTATACACATTTTTCTCAGTACCACATGGTGTTGGTCAACTAGCAGTAAGATTTGGTTTTGGTAAATGGACTGCACTATGCTGTTTTCCAGCGTTACATGCATAGCAAGGTAGTAACACTGATGTATTAACAATGACTTGTTTTGATCACTAGACCACTGTGAATAAGGTCCAATCCTCTTCCAAGGCCCTAGTCAAGATTGCCAGTAGACAATAAACCTGCCCTTGTGAAAAGGGGATGGAGCAAGGCAGGTCAAAAGTTGAGGCTCCAAAGGGTCATTCTAACGGTGTGAGAGTGGAGGGTGTGAGGTTGGGTTGCTAGGTCTAAATGAGTGAAGCTGTTGAATGAAAGTAGGGAGAGCCAAACTCTATTCTGAGATATATCTGAGCCAGCATCTTCAGTCTCTGGCAGGATCCTCAAATCCATTCCAACATCTAGTTTGTAGCTCTGTACAGTCTTCCATGGAAATCATCTTCAAAATGTACAAACTTTGAAGAAAGTAAGAGTGAGAAAGGAGAGGAAATGGAAATGAGGAAGTGGAAAAAGCAAGAGTTTTTCCTGCTTCACTGAAGCCTGGGCAGGAACACAATGATGGCTATGTATCTTCCTGGTGGTGCCTACATCCCAGCTGATATGGTTTGCTCTGTGTCCCCACCCAAATCTCATCTTGTAGCTCCCATAATTCCCATGTATTGTGGGAGGGACCTGGTGGGAGATAATTGAATTATGGGGGTGGGTATTTCCTGTGCTGTCCTTGTGATAGTAAGTCTCATGAGATCTGATGGTTTTAAAAATGGGAGTTTCCCTGCACAAGCTCTCTCTCTTTGCCTGCTGCCATTCATGTAAGATGTGACTTGCTTCTCCTTGTCTTCTGCCATGATTGTGAGGCTTCCCTAGCCATGTGGAACTATAAGTCCATTAAAGCTCTTTCTTTTGTAAATTGCCCAATCTCAGGTATGCCTTTATCAGCAGCATGAAAACGGACTAATACACCAGCATTAAGTGAATTGCCATGGTGCCCATTGCCTCTGTTTCCTCTAAGGCTGGACCACACTGGGACTATCATGGGAGTGAATACTTAAAGCCCATGCAGGTGCAGGCCTTACCTTTCACCACTATAAATAGAGTAGAACGGTGGGCTCTGCCTCTAGGATCTTTCATTCTGGCACTGATAACTCTTTTCCAGGAGTTCCTTGGAATCTCAGCCCAATTTCATTAGGTTTCTTGAAAGAGGGAAGAATAAACCCCATGTGGTTCTTTCTAGTGCAATCTAGTTAAAAAAAAAAAGACTTTTTAGTGCTTGCTTTGGCAGCACATATACTAAAACTGGCAAGATACAGAGATTAGTATGGCCCTTATAATTTAAAAAAGGCTTTTTAGTGGGTTATTAAGTTATAAAGTAGATTGATCTTACTTTTATCAGACCCTGAATCTGGTCCATCATCCAAAACCTGTGCACTTCCCTTCATTTAGTACTTCCTCATTTATAGTTTTTTCCCCCTCTTAACCATTTCATCTTAAGATTTGCTGCTATTACATGTGGCTTTAAAGAGAAAAGGCATTACCTGTGTGGTTTATACAAAGTTCATGGCTATATTGGGGGTGGGGTGGGGCAATTAATAAATCCCCATCTAGGTGATTCTATTAGGTCAGTGTTTGGTCCTAGAATCACTGAAGGTTCGTATCCCAGCTTCGCTTACAAGCAGTGTGACCTTGAGTAAGTGAGGACTTTTTTTTTTTTTTAAGATGGAGTCTTACCCTGTCACCCAGGCTGGAGTGCAATGGCGTGATCTCGGCTCACTGCAACCTCCGCCTCCTGGGTTCAACTGATTCTCCTGCCTCAGCCTCTCAAGTAGCTGGGATTACAGGCACCTGCCACCATTCCCAGCTTGTTTTTGTATTTTCAGTAGAGACGGGGTTCACCATGTTGGCCAGGCTGGACTTGAACTCCTGACCTCATGATCTGCCTGCCTTGGCCTCCCAAAGTGAGGACTTCTTTTATGCCAATGAGGATAACAGTATCCACTTTTTTTTTTTTTTTTTTTTGAGATAGAGTCTCACTACGTCTTGCCCAGGCTGACAGTGGTGCCATCTCAGCTCACTGCAGCCTCTACCTCCCGGGTTCAAGTGATTCTCCTGTCTCAGCCTCCTGAGTAGCTGGGACTACAGGTGTGTGCCACCACACCCAGCTAATTTTATATTTTTAGTAGAGACGGGGTTTCACCATGTTGGCCAGGCTGGTCTCGAACTCTTGACCTCAGGTGATCCACCTGCCTTGGCCTCCCAAAGTGCTAAGATTACAGGTGAGAGCTGCTGTGCCTGGCCAGGAGTTAACAGTATCCACTTCTTGAAGTCAGGATTAAATGTGATAAAGTCTGCAAAGCACTTAGCATTGTACCTGGCACTATTATCAATAATTATGCAAATGAAGTATCATCAGAATGCGATACTCATATTATTTCAAAGATCAGCATAGTCTTCAGCCCTAAGAACCGGGATTTCGGAATGTCCATGAGAATCACTAGGCATGAATAACAACCTAAGGAAAGGATTAAAAGGGTTGCAGAAATGGAAAGACAAGTACAACATGGAGAAAAGAGAGAAGGAAAGAGAACGCAAAGAGGCACAGACAGACTTTGTCACCCCAAAACAGTAATTGAACAATGCACTGTCCATGTTATGAGCAACAGTCTCTGCCATCAAGGGACACGTCGTTTGAGTGAGACAGTCAAATGAATAGAGTGAGATGGTTATGACAGAGAGGTTACAGGTAATTGTGAGCACCGAAGAGCAGCCAACTCAACTAAGAGTGGGGTTTAGAGTTGCAGAGTAACAAGTAACAGAATGAAGTCTTGAAGAATATCTGAGAGTTAGAACGGTACAGAGTGTACAAAACCACGGAGGTAAGAGCATGGACGCAGGGACTAAAATTCTGTATGGCCGAAGGTGGAGTGTAGGGTTAAAGCATGACATCTATTTGTTATTTAAAATGTTTTAGATATTTGTTGAGGACCATCTACAGGTAAAGCAGTTTTAGGAATGGAGGATTTTGTAGAAAGACACCCAAAGTCCGTCTTCTCAGAATGTTCTGTTCTACAGAGGATATATGATAAACAAGTACAAAACGAAGGACACGAATGATGGACGGAAGTTCTGTGATAGAAATACAACCATGCGCAAAGTGATAGAGGAGGGGTGGGCAGGAAACCCAATTTAGATGAGGTGGTCACTTAGACTTCTTTGGGAAGGTGGTATTTCAGCTGAGTCAGAAGGGTGGATGGAGCAAGCAATGCACAGATGGCCAGGCTGGCAGGTAGAGCATTTAAAATGGTTCAAAGGTCCTCAGGCCGGGGGTAATGGGGTAAAGCAGAGACTAGGTAACATTTACTTCATGAATCTTTTGGTGTGGGTGCTGAGGAGCATGAATAAGGTGAAAGACTCCTCCTAAGGAGATACATTAAAGGTGACATATTTGCCTAGAGTAGCCTTCAACTTTGCAGACCAACAGTAGTGGGAGTCCAGACATACTGTTCTGCATGTTAGCCAGAACCTTTTGCTATGTTCTGAATTTGGCCTAAAATGAAGGATTCAAATATCATCTCAAACAACTTTTCCTCCTACAGACTAAGGTGAAGATTCAAGAGCTCACGGCCTCAGAGGGCAAAGCATAGTTAAGAAAATCTAGGTGATAACCGGCAGTTAACAGTGGCCCATACCAGTGACTTGCGCTCACGGAAGAGTTCTGAAGGCCTGGAATGCGTTTGAAGATGAGTTCATGAGCAGACAGAAAGGATTCCACTAACAGCCGAGAAACACAAAGGTCATGTGTTTTTAGGGACCTCCAAGTGGTCGGTAAGGTTGGGGTCAGCATTAGTTTCTTTGCCTGTAAAATGGGGGCAATAAGAATTCCTCGTCCCTTAACTATTCTCAACAGCAAGAAACCTTAAAGGTAGAGAAGAAAAGATAAATCTGTTTTCACAGAAAGTCCTTGTTAGTCACGAAGGATTGCAGGATCGCTGCAGGGCACACTCATATGTGCAGAACCAGTCTCCAAATGGGCGGAGCAAGGTGCAGCTCCACCTGCTTCACCACTAGGTGCAGAAGAATGTCCACGGCAGGGGGTTCTCAACTTGTGACCTTGGGTCTGCGGGGGTCTAGATGGACTTCAGCTGGCGCCGTGTCGCATGTGAGTTTCCTGGGCTGTAGTAACCCCAAAAGGGCCGCGTCGTCTACAGAAGTGCCACTACTTGGAATTCTTGTCCATGGCCACGTTCTCACTGCTGGGAGAAACAACAGGGTCAGGTCTAACACTCCTTTCTCGGATGCATGGGCGAACAGAAATATCCCTGGGCTTCACCTAGCCGTGGCCTAAGTACACTTCCCCAGGGTAAGGAGTCACCATACTGATATTCCCGCGGCTAATGGTACTTCACAGAGCGAAGTGCCGGAGCCCGTCGCCGGCGATTGCGCATTCCGTCGCGGAGAGCATTATGGGATTGGTAGTCCAGACTGAGGCGCAGATAGGGGTTCCTCGAAGCCACAGAACTACATTTCCCAGCAAGACCCGCGCAGCAGGGCACGCAGACTGTGTGCGTAAGCGACCAGATTTCCGGGGGAGCCGGGGGCGGGACTTCAGCGGAGGCCGGAGCGAGGCGTCGGGATGCAGCGCCCCGGGCCCTTCAGCACCCTCTACGGGCGGGTCTTGGCCCCGCTGCCCGGGAGGGCCGGGGGCGCGGCCTCCGGCGGAGGAGGGAACAGCTGGGACCTCCCGGGTTCCCACGTGCGGCTGCCGGGGCGTGCACAGTCTGGGACCCGTGGCGGTGCTGGCAACACAAGCACCAGCTGCGGGGACTCCAACAGCATCTGCCCGGCCCCCTCCACGATGTCCAAGGCCGAGGAGGCCAAGAAGCTGGCGGGCCGCGCGGCTGTGGAGAACCACGTGAGGGTGAGCACTTCGAAACGTGGGGCGCGGGGCGCATGTCCTTGGCGTGATGGGCTACTGTTGCGCGTTGTGGGTGCTGCCGGGGCGCGCCTAGCTCCTGGCAGGGCGGGAGCTGAGTGAGAGGGTAGAGGGTGTGCACTTTACCCGAGTTTAGACCCCTCTTCCCTGCTCCTTAAAGACCTTTTAGATGTGGAATCGGTTGGGGGCGAATCTTCTAATACTTGAGCTTTCTAAAGACTCCTTGTCCAGCTGGAACAGTTTGCAAAGTGGAGCCTGGTGCTGTCTGATGTTTGGAATGGGGGCTAGAGGCACTTGCCTTGTGGCCTCCTTATCAATAAATGGAAAATGGTGGGCTTTGGGGCTGCGGAGAGGTTTTCATTTCTCTTTACTGACCCGGAAGCCGGCGGAGAGTTGGTTTGCTAGTGCTTTGAAATTTCAGTCGAAGGAGGTTCTGGGCTTGGTGCGCGCCGGCCCCTGAGTGTACTCTTGGAGGGAAGGGAAGACCCGGGGCTTCAAACTTCCTTCTTTCCATAGGGCTGGGTGGACTAAGTCTGGAGGATGCTGGTTTATTTTTTAAGGCGGGTCTGCAGAGATGTTTAGCTGTTATTCAGTCAGGTCGTGGTCCCTACTTGTTTGTTAAGTGGCAGGTGTGGTGCTGTTAGTGGAGTTTTTTTAATCCAAGTGGTTTTGCTGTCACCAATCAAGTATCTTAATTATAATAAGGAAGCCAAGTGGAGTATGTCTGCCCTGTGGTGTAGTTTCCTTGGTCTTATTGGCTTTTTATCTCTCGTTTCTACTTATTAGAAAGTGGTATTAGAGTCTCTTTTCTTCTCCGATAATAGTTCTTTACATTTGTTAATGCTTTACAAAATTATTTTGCTTAGATGATGTTGGATGAGCTTCACCACAGCCTGTTTGAGTGGGAGTGGACAATGTGGTAACCTGTGGCTCAGCCAGTTCTGTAGAAGGGATGTTCCAGTGTGACCTTCTACTCTTTCCACTGCTACCCTGTTCTGGTGTAGCTTGTTGTAAGTCTGATTGGCAATAGGATTTTCTATGGGGATTAACAGAGATAATGTAAAATGTGTTAATTTGACCCTACCTTTGGGATTCAGTGCCTCCGTTGTAAAATTGAGACAATAAGCTGAAATTTCAAAATATCTGCATACAGTGAATAGCTAATAGATAAATGTAATCCACATGAGAATACAATTAGAAAAGCCCCATATCTAAGTTGTCCTGTTAATGAATTTACATTAATATTTGGTGGCGCATCTCCCTGACCTTTGTGTTATAGTCATGTATTTGATTAAATAAAAATCTGCAAGCCCTGACCTTAGGCTAGAGCCCCAAAACACTGGATTCTGACCACATCATTTCATGAAGTTAGGTAATTTTGGGGAGATCTACAGTGACCTTTTGGGGGCACCTGTTAAAATCATATATGCCCTTCAGGGTTTGGCTTAAAGGCCATTTCCTCCTTTCAGTTTTTCCTTAGCATCCTAAGGAGAGGAAGATTTCTCTTCCGTGATTCTGTAGCACTTCATGCCTCTTATGTGCTTTATGTTGTATCTCATGTTTTGGTCATCTGTGTGTTCGTTTCTTCCAGCCCCTTAAAGGGTAAGCTCCTGGAGGGTAGTTAACCTTCATTTAGCATTGGTCACAGTGGGTCCTGCCCAGTACATGTTTGTTCAATTGTGTGCAGTGTGGACACAAATACGAAAGTGTTGGGGTTATTGGAGGTTCTTTGTGTAGAATCTCTGGGGAGTAGGGCTTCCTGTTCTCTAGTCCATTGGAGTTCCAATATGGTGACCACTTCCGTGTCTGAGTGGATGGAAAACATGGAGAGTTCTCAGGTGAATCCTTTGTATAGCCACCTTGGGCCCAGCTCTGTCTGTTTCTGTGGGTGTAGCCACCCAGGATGGGTCGACATGCAGAACTAGGCTCTTCTGAATGTCTGTAGCCTCATCCCTTTGTTCTCTTTGGAGCCTGGGCTTTGTTTTTTTACTAGCTTGGTTGAGGAAGCTGATGGGCAGTGGTTCTAGTTGGTTAGCAGAAGTAGTATTTCCAAAGTTACTCCATTCGACAAGCTGAGTGAAGTTCTGATGTTGCACATACATGTGGTTTAATATTGCCCATTAGAATGGGGCCACTCCTCTAGCAGGGCCTGCTTGGCAGTCTTCTGCTGTTGGGCCACCTCATAGGCAGCCTTTGGTCACCTCTGGTTGGCTTTGGCAAGGGCACTGATTTCCTGGGCCAGTCATTTGATTCCAAGGCAGCAGGGATCACATGGGTGAAGAGCTTTAGGTCTGGCAGGGCCTTGCAATTCCTGGTCTCTTTCAAAAGGCAAAGAACGAGCCTTATACAGAGCTTGTCTGATTCATCCGAATTCACCTCTGTGCCACCTGCCTGCTGGGGACTGTGAGTGACATGAATGTATGGCTAAGCTTGGTAACCAGGAATTTGGTGATTGAATTACTGTAAAGCTAGAGTTCCTAGCTTCAGGTCATATGTGAAGGTCAGGTTAAGTCTATCTAGTGTGATATTTTAAACACACACACACAATGTTTTTATCCATGGCTCTTGGTTCATAACACTCATAGCCCTTGCTACAGTCTTTTGTTATATTTGGGGTGCTTTAGGGCCCAAAGCAGGCCTCAGAAAACAGAATCTCCCTCTCTTACCTTCTCCTTCCCTCCTTCCACTTGCTCCTTTCTCTCCCCAATGCTTTTCTGTCTTGGAGCTGGCTGTAAAGAAATTCTGTGACCTATGTTGTCTGTTTGTACGTCATAAGATCCCCATTTCAGAAGGGTTCCTGTTCCATACCCTGGAGGAAGGAATGCTGCAGGTGAAGAAGAATCTGAACAGACAGCCGTTGCAGGGTTTCCCCAGTCAGTCTGCTAGTATTGGATCATGCCCTTTTTGTTCAGTCACATTTCTAGGCCCTTGCAATTCCTGGTCTTTTCCAAGAGCCAATCATACCTATTCAATAAAGTCTCAAAAAAAAAAAAAAAAGAAAAAGAAAAAGAAAAGCTCGAGAGGACAGGGTTTGGAAGCTTCTGGAGAGCAGAACATGTGAAGGTCCCTGGAGGATGGTGTGCCTAGAGAGAGCATGGAAGCTCTGTGCTCCTTCTTACATGCCTTTACCTATGCATCTCTTCATCCATATCCTTCATCATAGCCTTTATAAGCTGGTAAACATGTTTTCCCTGAGTTCTGTGAGCCACTCTAGCAAGTTAATCAAACCCAAAGAGAGTGTTGTGGAAACTCCAACTTGAAGCTGTCAAGTCAGAAGTTCTGGAGGCCTGGACTTGCATTTGGTAGGAAGGAGGAGGCAATCTTGGGAGCTGAGCCCTCAACCAGTGGAACCTTATGGTATCTCCAGGTAGAGAGTGTTGAAATTGAATTGGAGGATACCCAGCTGGTGTCTGCTGCAGAGTAGATTGCTTGCTTGGGATACGGGGAGAAATCCCCATACATTTGATCACAGAAGTCTTCTGTGTTGATGATTGTTGTGGTGTGAGAGCAGAGGAAAAAGTTTGAGTTTTTCCACACTCAGACATAGGCCTTGATAAGACATTTTCTCATTCCTTGAAGATTTTTATATGTGAGATATTTAGCCATTTTGAATGTTTCTGTACTGTGATGTATCATTTACTTGTCTTGAAGTCCTTGCCTTTGGGGATTGTCCAGGTAGCTAAACAACTTTACTACACACATTGCCTTCTTGAGAGCATTGGTATAGGTGGAATCCTGACCTAGTGCGAGCCCTGTTCTGACAGCCCAAGCCCCTGATGTATTCAGTGCCTTTGGAACTGTGAGCTAGTAAAAGCAGTTTCCACCAGGTCAATAACACAAAAGTTGTTGGATAAAGTCTTCTGTAGGTAGGAGAGGCTATAGTAGCATTTTTAGTATATATGTATATGGTTGTGGGGACATTAGTATTTGATTTTTTTTTTTTTGGTAACTCTACTTGTTGGTCATTCTTTCTAATCTTTTCTAGTTATAGATGTAGTCAGGCTTTGAGAAGGACCATATCTAATGTGAGGCCTAGGGGCTGACTTTAAGTATTCCTATGGCCTTTGTCCTGTGGGGAATGAAGGATTTTAGTTGTGGCCCTGCTTGTCCTGAGGGCCCTTCAGGACTTGTCTTCTTCCTAAAAAGAAGGTTTTACTATGGGCTTTCCTTTGTCAAATAAATTAATTGTTAATCAGTTGTTGGAAATCTTAAGAAATTTGAAATAGATTGATGTTTCAGCGAATTGAACTTCCTGAAGTTGCTTATTCGATTGAAATGGCTCATCCTGTAATCCCAGCACTTTGGGAGGCAGAGGTGAGATGATCACTTGAGGCCAGGAGTTCGAGACTAGCCTGGTTGGCAGAGTGAGACTGTGTCTTTTAAAAGAATTAAAAAAATTAGCTGGGCATGGTGGCATGTTCCCATAGTACTAGCTATGTGGGAAGCTGAGGCAGTAGGATTGTATGAGCCCAGGAGTTTGAAGATGAGTTTGTGTGTGTGTGGGGGGGCATTGATAGTTTATATATATTATAAACATATATACAAGATATATTGTATATCTTGTATATATATTTAAAACAGGTAAAATCACACATATATAAAACAAATATATGTCAAAGATTTTATTTAACTCACTAAATTAATGAGGGAACTGGAAAGGTTATTAGAACCTGTTCATAGGTGTCTTAGTCCATTTTGTGCTGCTATAATAGAATACCTGAGAATGAGTAATTTATAATGAACAGAAATGTTTTGGCTTATACTTCTGGAGGCTACGAAGTCCAATATCAAGGCGTTGGCATCTGGTGAGAGAGACAGATGTTGAAGTGCTATGGGTGGGCACCAATCCTACCCATGAGGGTGGAGCCCTCTGACCTAATCACCTCTTAAAGGTCCCACTTCTTAATATTGTTATAATGGCAATTAAATTTCAACGTGAGTTTTGGTGGAGATGTTCAAAGCATAACAGGAGAAGTCAACTGTAAGCTCATATGTAGTAAAAAAATCTTAAAATGAATTTAGAAGATCTGTTAATAATTGTGTCTCACAGAACACTATTAATTTGCATTTCAATGAACAAAACTTACTTGCTTTGTTAACAGTTTTCTGCAAGTTAAAGTGTATCTCTATACAGTCGTCATATATCTTAAAGACAAAGGCACATACCTTCTTAGAGTCAGACAATACAAGCAGGTTCCAGCATCCCATTGGAAGGATATCCAGTAGTCTCTTTTGCTCATTTCAAAGTCTTAAGTTTTTCCTTACAATATTGAACTCATCTATAAAGTGGAAATAGTGGCTCTGTAGGTCATAAGTGATTGTTGTGAGATTTGGCTTTATATTAACATTTATAAGTCTTCTTGGTAGGTGCTTAATAAATGGTAGCTGCCGCTTTGGTGTTCACTTGGCTTTGCCTTGCAAAGGCAGGAGATAGATGTCAGGAAGTTGCTTAGGCACTGAGCTGCATATTAGTTCCTGACTGTTAGTACCCTGGCCTCGTTTTGCTCTTTGTGGTCTAGTAGACTCAGCTGAGCTTTTACTCTTTGGTCTGCTTGCAGGTACCTTCTTTGTTTCTTCTTGTTTGGTCTGCTTGTAGGTACCTTCTTTGTTTCTTCTTGTTTGGTCTGCTTGTAGGTAGGCTCCGTATTGTGATGTCTGCCTGTACTTTGTACTCAGGAAGTGCTCTGCATTTATTATGATCCTTTCTATTGCAGATGAAGACTATTTTTCATGTTCTTAACTAAGCCTTTGCCCTCTTTCCATTTTCTCTGAGGCAGGCTCATGCAAAATGAGCACCCCTTGGTGTCACCTAGGCAGATGCTGACATACTTTATTATTTTGAGGTTACTTCAGGCCCTCCCTTTATCTGCTGACTTTGGGAGAGCTCTAGATGGTGGGCCTGATGTGTCTTGTGGTGCTACCAACTTGAAGGTGCCTATGGAAGACACTGAAGCCAGAAGCCTTAGCTTTCCTCCCTTACCCAGGCTCCAGGCTCTATTGTTTTTTCTTAGGTGTTTTTCTAATTGCCTCCCTGGGATTGGCCAGGAATCTTTTTCTTTTCTTTCTTCTTCTTCTTTCTTTCTTTCTTTTTTTTTTTTTTTTAAACACACTGTTGCTGGCTTGAAATGTCAGGAATCTTTAAGTGTTTATATGCAGGCCATTTCTGTGAGGGTGACGCAAGTTGCTATTCAGTTGCAAGTAATTGCACCAATTATTTGGTAGAATGTAGGGAGGAAGCGGTGGTGTTGACAGTGTCAGAAATGAAGAGAGGAGGGCCTTGTTGAACATTTGTCCACCATGGATTGGCTAAAGTACAGCATTGAGGTTCATTGTTTATGTTCCTATAAAATAGGCACAGTACCTGTCTTGTACCTGTGTTGGTGGATTGCTGTTCATAATAATTTTATAGCTTTAGGAAGTAGGCTGACAAAGGAGTAAAATATGATATTAATAAGTTTTGTTTTTTCTTCCCCGTTTTTTGGCAGAATAACCAAGTGCTGGGAATTGGAAGTGGTTCTACAATTGTCCATGCTGTGCAGCGAATAGGTATGCTCTCTCACTGTCTACTGGATGTTTTGTGTGTGATGATGGGGTAGGGAGGTAGAGGAGAGGGAGGAAGTGGCACACAGGTTTGGCATTGCCCTTTTGGCTTCAGCAGTACAGAGCTGGAGAGAGGGACTACCTGAGGTCAGTTGAGTGTTTCTGCTCTTTTGTGGAGAGAGGGAATCTTGGGCCTCTTCATCCAACTTTGAAGGACGCCCTTGCCTTTGTTTACTCTGCTCAGCTGGAGGGGAGGAGCTGACTTAGCTTGAGGTCCCAATATAATTTTAATCATGTTGATGGCATTCTACCATTGAGTTCTTTGCGTGAGCTCAGACTTCCTCAGGCAGATAATTGAGGCCATAGTGGGTTTGCCCTGTCCATGACCCTGGAGTGGATGTGGGACTCCTGCCATTGATGGCTGGTTCCTGCAGGTGCTCATTTCACACTGATTAGGGTGTCTCTATGCTTAGGAAAGACTCAGGAATTATCAGCCCCTATGGCTGCTCAACAGGTTTTACTTCCCTGCTCTTTGTTTGTAAGAACAAAGCCCAGAGGAGAGGCCTGCCTGAATGCTGAATTCTTCTAGGTGCCAAGGGGCAGAGCCCAGGAGGTAAAGTCCAGGAACACTTTGTTATCAAGGAGTGGTTTTAGTGCTGGTGTGATGGCTTCTGGAAGCCTTCTCACTGGCCAAATAGGAGCTTTTGTGTTATATACCTTTCAATCTTAACCAAGTATCTGGAGAATACTTTCAGGGCACAGGAGTTACTATGGATTTTATAATAGTGGCACCCAAACCTCCCAAGATGCACTCAGTGATTAAAAAGACTTGAAATTTTAATACGAATTTTTTCCTGAAGTCTTTTTTTTTTTTTTAAATCAAACTTTCCTGAAAGGTACAAATCCAAATTGAAAAAATAAATCTCCTTTAGCTACTCTCTGGGGCCTACAAATAAGTATGTTTTTTACTAAAATGCAAAAGTAAAGTTCTGGCTTTTTCCTAGAAGAGGCAATATAGGGGAGTTAAGACTGTGTGGCTACATGGCCTGGGATCATGTCCCAGCTGTGTCCCTTATTAGCAGTATAACTACCGAGTTACATTACCTCTCTGAACCTCAGTTGCCTTATCTGCAAAATGCGGAAAATAATTTAACTTACCTTTTGGGTTGTTAGGATTAAGAGTTCATATATACAAAGTTCTTAGAATATTGTCAGGCACATAACAATGGCAAACACTGACACTGCTTTCTGTGGTCAGTACTTACCTCTCCAGGCTTTCTTGTGTCCCTATCTTCTGATGTGTGAGGTACAGTCACCAACTTTCCCACCAAGGAGGGGGACACAGGATGAAAGGCAGCTGTCTTTGGGAAATAGACCTTCCCTTGTCTGTTGGTTTCGAGCAAACACATATGACAAGAAGAATAAAGTAAGGAGAGTGAAAAACTGCCAATATGGCTTTTGTTTCCACAGCTGAAAGGGTGAAGCAAGAGAATCTGAACCTCGTCTGTATTCCCACTTCCTTCCAGGTATGTCCTGCTTTCCATCTGCATCGTGACAGCTTCTGCTGTATCTTCTGGTTCCCCGGGGTTGTGGACCTATGGCCTTGTCTTGTACCTCAAGGTTGTTCTAGGTCAGAGAGTCCAGGAATAGGAGAGTTTATTGACCAAGGATTCCTTCTTGGAATTGTAGTTTTAGGTGCATTTGTTTAATCACTTGGTGAATATTTCAGTGCATGTTGAGTTTAGGCACTACGGAGAATGCAGAGATGGCCCGGTAGTCTCTCTCCTCAAGGAATATTACTCCTATTTATAGGTGAAAAAAATCAGGCTAGGCCAGGTGTGGTGGCTCATGCCTGTAATCTCAAGTACTTTGGGAGGCCAAGGTAGGCAGATCACTTGAGCACAGGAGTTCAAGACCAGCCTGGGCATTATGGTGAAAGCCTGCCTCTACAAAAAATACAAAAATTAGCTGGGTGTGGTGGCTTGTACCTGTAGTTCCAACTATGTAGGAGGCTGAGGCGGGAGGATCTCCCTTGAGCCCAGGAGGTCCAAGCTGCAGTGAGCTGTGATTGTGCCAGTGCACTCCAGCCTGGGCAACAGAGTGAGACCCTGTCTCAAGAAAAAAAAAATCAGGCTAAAAGGAATTAAGCAATGTGTTGGTAATGCAAGTACATCATAAAATAGTAGGAGCTGATGGAGGAAAGCAGTGGAGCCAGTTAAATATAGGGAGAGATAAGGGAAGAGAGGTTTTGGGAAGTGGAAGGGAAGACAGTTGCTCAGATGGAGCCAATTGTCATCCCTCATCTGGCCATTGCAGGGAGGAGTATGTGTATAATCTCTCGCTGGATTAGTCAAGATGATACTATGCACTGGGGTAGGAGATGAGATTTATGAGTGACTGATGCTCCTGGGACTTTATGGACTTAGGCTTGGATAGCTGGGTTTCTTAGGAAACCCTCCCAATCCTGGAGACACAGGATGCTGGCAGCCTGCAACCAGCTCTGGTGAAGGGAGAGAGGTTAAGGTTCCTTCTAAACCAGACTGGCCTCAGCTTAACAGTAGGGTGTAAGGCAGAGATTCCAGGTAGACAGGTTAGGGAGTTGGATAGTGCATACTGTTGGAGCTTCCTTGATGTTAAATCTCTTGGAGACCTTAAACAAGGTGGATGGCCACCCAGGGGACTGAAGGCAATATCTTAAGTGTTTTATATAGCTTTTTTTTTTTTTTTTTAAATCCTGCTTTCTTGAGGCAATGCTTTTAAAGCCTCAGTGGCTTGTGATGGATTTTCTTAGTCTTTTGAAAAGCTAAGTATCTAATTTTTCCAACTGGCTTGATCATCAAGTATTTTTATTTCTTAGTTAATAAATTACATTGGTGTTTATTTTTAAAGTTATATATGCACGTGGATTGAAGAAACAAATAATTCAAGTCTTTTTATTTAAAAGAAAAAAAAGCACACTACCCTCACTTTCCCCTAGATGACCACTACCTAGAAAGCACACTCTTATTACCTCCCACCCCTGACCTCCACTATTTCTTGCTCTTTACATGGACATACTTTTAGCTCTTTTAGGTGATTGGATATTCTAACAGCCACTATAGATTTAAGTCAAAGTTAATTTTATTCTGAGCCAAGTTTGAGGACTATAGATCAGGGACACAGACTCAGAGCAAACTGGGAGCGTGTCCCTTTCTGTTGTAATTCAGTAGGTCAGAATTAGAGGAAAGAGTATGTTGGATAAAACAGACAATAGAGGACCACCCTTACATACATTCTGTGGCTGTAGTTCAAATTGATGAGCTAACATAATTTTGGCTGGAGTTTTATTCTTTTGGTAACATTTTTGCAGTATTGATAATATTTGTAATGTAGGAATATTAGAAAGATAATCAACAATATGATGAGCAACTTAGAGGTCCACTGAAGTAAAGAAACACTTATCATAGAAAAGAATCTTGAACATAGATTTTGATAGTCTGTGACTAATTAGATAAATTTCCTCCCTTTGTATTTGTACTTTATGATATCTTTGCATTTATAACTGTAATTAGCTGATGATTTATAATGTCTAATTGCTTGTCCATTTTCTGCTGGGAGTACAATTTGAGGAGGGTTGAGTTCCAATTTTCCAATTTTTATTATCAAAAGTATTACTTCATCGTAAAAGTAACTTTCCTGTTAACCCAGTATTGTACCAAATGGCAGTATAATTTAAATCAAATGTTGTCTGGTTGCAAGTAAGATCTAAAACAGCTACAGTCTCATTTTTCCTCCCTTTCTAATGTAAGCAACCTTTTCCTATTGTGTTAGTCCATTTTCATGCTGCTGATAAAGACATACCTGAGACTGGGCAATTTACAAAAGAATGAGGTTTAATTGGACTTACAGTTCCACGTGCTGGGGAAGCCTCACAATCATGGCAGAAAGCAAGGAGGAACAAGTCTCGTTTTACGTGGATGGCAGCAGACAAAGAGAGAATGAGGAAGACACAAAAGCAACCTTGATAAAACCATCAGATCTCGTGAGACTTGCTCACTACTATGAGAACAGCGTGGAGGAAACCACGCTCATGATTCAATTATCTCCCACCAGGTCACTCCCACAACACATGGGAATTATGGGAGTACAATTCAAGATGAGCTTTGGGTGGGGACAGAATGCTGGCAGCCTGCAGCCAGCTCTGGAGCCTGCCAAATCTCATGTCCTTGCATTTCAAAACCAATTATGCCTTCCCAATAGTCCCCAAAGTCTTAGCTCATTTCAGCATTAACTCAAAAGTCCACAGTCCAAAGTCTCATCTGAGACAAGGCAAGTCACTTCAGCTTGTAAGCCTATAAAATCAAAAGCAAGCTAGTTATTTCCCAGATACACTGGGGGTACAGGTATTGGGTGAATACACTCATTCCAGATGGGAAAAATTGGCCAGAACACAGGGGCTACAGGTCCCACGCAAGTCTGAAATCCAGGATGGGCAGTCAAATCTTAAAGCGCCAAAATGATCTCCTTTGTCTCCATGTCTCACATCCAGGTCATGCTGATGCTAGAGGTGGGTGCCCATGGTCTTGGGCAGTTCCCTTCCTGTGGCTTTGCAGGGCACAGCCTTCCTCCTGGCTGCTTTCATGGGCTGGCATTGAGTGTCTGCAGCTTTTCCAGGTGCATGGTGCAAGCTGTCAGTGGATCTACCATTCTGGGGTCTGGAGGACAGTGGCCCTTTTCTCACAGCTCCACTAGGCAGTGCCCCAGTAGAGACTCTGTGCAGGGGCTCCAACCCCACATTTTCCATCCGCACTGCCCTAGCAGAAGTTCTCCATGAGAGCCCCACTCCTGCAGCAAACTTCTGCCTGGGCATCCAGGTGTTTCCATACATCTTCTGAAATCTAGACAGAGGTTCCCAAACCTCAATTCTTGACTTCTGTGCTCCTGCAGGCTCAACACCACATGGAAGCTGCCAAGGCTTGGGGCTTGCACCATCTGAAGCTACAGCCCGAGCTCTACATTGGCCCCTTTCAGCCAGGGGTGGAGTGGCTAGGACGCAGGGCATCAAGTCCCTAGGCTGCACACAGCTTGGGGACCCTGGGCCTGGCCCACAAAACCACTTTTTTCTCCTAGGCCTCCAGGTGTGTGATGGGAGGGGCTTCCATGAAGACCTCTGACATGCCCTGGTGACATTTTCCCCACTGTCTTGGGGATTAACATTTGGCTCTTCCTTACTTATTCAGATGTCTGCAGCCGGCTTGAATTTCTCCTCAGAAAATAGGATTTTCTTTTCTATCGGATTCAGGCTGCAAATTTTTCAAACTTTTATACTCTGTTTCCCTTTTAAAACTGAATGCTTTTAACAGCACCCAAGTCACCTCTCGAATGCTTTGCTGCTTAGAAATTTCTTCTGCCAGATATCTTAAATCATCTCTCTCAAGGTCAAAGTTCCACAAATCTCTGGGGCAGGGGCAAAATGCTGCCAGTCTCTTTGCTAAAACAACGAGTCACCTTTGCTCCATTTCCCAACAAGTTTTTCATCTCCATCTGGACCTTATTTTCCATATCGCTATCAGCATTTTGGGCAAGGCCATTCAACAAGTCTCCAAACTTAACCACATTTTTCTGTCTTCTGAGC
This sequence comes from Homo sapiens, assembly GCF_000001405.40. Lineage (NCBI taxonomy): Eukaryota > Metazoa > Chordata > Mammalia > Primates > Hominidae > Homo > Homo sapiens. The sequence continues at coordinate 88,704,153 of NC_000002.12, forward strand.
CCTCCAAACTGTTCCAACCTCTGCCTGTTACCCAGTTCTAAAGTCACTTCCATATTTTCGGATATCTTCTCAGCAGCGCCTCACTCTGCTGGTACCAACATACTGTGTTAGTCTGTTTTCACGCAGCTGATAAAGACATACCTGAGACTGGGCAATTTACAAAAGAAAGAGGTTTAATTGGACTTGCAGTTCCACGTGGCTGGGGAAGCCTCACAATCATGGCGGAAGGCAGGGAGGAGCAAGTCCCATCTTACATGGATGGCAGCAAGCAGAGAATGAAGAAGATGCAAAAGCAGAAACCCCTGATAAAACCATCAGATCTCATGAGACTTATTCACTACCACAAGAAGAGTATGGAGGAAACTGCCCTCATGATTCAATTGTCTCCCACCAGGTTTCTCCCACAACACATGGGAATTATGGGAGTGCAATTCAAGATGAGATTTGGGTGGGGACACAGAGCCAAACCATATCACTTCTGTACCATATATTATATTGAGCAGGGTATAGAAATTAAGGGTCATCTCTCTCACCGCTCCCGTTCAACATAGTACTGGAAGTTCTGGCCGGGGCCATCAGGCAAGAGAAAGAAAGGGTATTCACATAGGAAGAGAGAAAGTCAAACTGTCTCTGTTTGCAGATGACATGATTCTGTATCTAGAAAACCCCATCATCTCAGCCCAAAAGCTCCTTAAGCTGATAAGCAACTTTAGCAAAGTCTCAGGATACAAAATCAATGTGCAAAAATCACAAGCATTCCTATACACCAACAATAGACAAGCAGAGAGCCAAATCATGAATGAACTCTCATTCACAATTGCTACAAAGATAATAAAATACCTAGGAATACAGCTAACAAGGAAAGTGAAGGATCTCTTCAAGGAGGACTACAAACCACTGCTTAAGGAAATGAGAGGACACAAATGGGAAAACATTCCATGCCCATGGATAGGAAGAATCAATATCATGAAAACGGCCAAATTACTGCCCAAAGTAATTTATAAATTCAATGCTATTCCCATTAAACTACCATTGACATTCTTCACATAATTAGAAAAAACTACCCTAAAATTCATATGGAACCAAAAAAGAGCCTGTATGGCCAAGACAATCCTAAGCAAAAAGAACAAAGCTGGAGGCATCACGCTACTGGACTTCAAACTATAGTAACCAAAACAATAACTAAAACAGCATGGTACTGGTACAGCAGACACACAGACCAATGGAACAGAGTAGAGATCTCAGAAATAAGACTGCACATCTACAATCATCTGATCTTCGACAAACCTGACAAAAGCGATGGGGAAAGGAATCCCTATTTAATAAATGGTGCCAGGAGAACTGGCTAACCATATGCAAAAATTGAAACTGGACCTTTTCCTTACAACTTATATGAAAATTAACTCAAGATGGATTAAGGAACTTAAATGTAAAACCCTAGAAAATGAAAAACACTATAAAAACCCTAGAAGAAAATACCATTCAGGACATAGGCACAGGCAATGATTTCATGACAAAAACATCAAAAACAATTGCAACAAAAACCAATATTGACAAATGGGATCTAATTAAAGAGCTTCTGCGCAGCAAAAGAAACTATCATCAGAGTGAACAGACAGTCTACAGAATGGGAGAAAATTTTTGCAATCTATCCATCTGACAAAGTTCTAATATCTAGAATCTACAAGGAACTTAAACAAATTTATAAGAAAAAAACAAACAGTCCTGTTAAAAAATGGGCAAAGGACATGAACAGACACTTCTCAAAAGAAGACATTTATGTGGCTAGCAAACATGAAAAAAAGCTCAACATCACTAATCATTAGAGAAATGCAAATCAAAAGTGCAATGAGATACCATCTCATGCTGGTCAGAATGGCGATTATTAAAAAGTCAAGAAACAACAGATGCTGAGGAGGCTGTGGAGACAGGAATGCTTTTACATTGTTGGTAGGAATGTAAATTAGTTCAGCCATTGTGGAAGATGGTGCGGCGATTTCTCAAAGACCTAGAGCCAGAAATATCATTTGACTCAGCAATCCCATTGCTGAGTATATACCCAAAAGAATATAAATCATTCTATTCTAAAGATACATGCACATGTATGTTCATTGCAGCACTATTCATAATATCGAAGACATGGAATCAACCCAAATGCCACCAATGATAGACTGGATGAAGAAAATATGGTACATATGCACCATAGAATACTATGCAGCCATAAAAAGGAACGATATCATGTCCTTGGCAGGGACATGGATAGAGCTGGAAGCCATTATCCTCAGCAAACTAACACAGGAACGGAAAACCAAACATTGCATGTTCTCACTTATAAGTTGGAGCTGAACAGTGAGAACACATGGAGGCAGGGAGGGGAACAACACATACTGGGGCCTGTCTGGGGGGTGTGGGGGGAGGGAGAGCATCAGGGTAAATAGCTAATGCATGCAGGGCTTAATATCTAGGTGATGGGTTGATAGATGCAGCAAACCACCATGGCACACATTTACCTATGTAACAAACCTGCACATGTATCCTGGAATTTTAAATTAAAAAAAAAAAAGAAATTAAGGGTCATATTTATATGATTTCAGGATTCCAAACATTTTGGGGACAGCACCAACTTCCTGAATTTGTTTACGATGTAGAACTGAAATTGGACTCCAAGTATTATTTAATATGGCCTTTCAACTCCCCATTGGGAAAAATGGGTATTACTTAAAAAAATCTCTATTCCTACTAACACTATGTTATATGTCTAGTTATTATCTATGTGGGGTGCTAATGCTGTAAGAGTACAGTGAATTAAGCTACATATTCTTGGTAGTAATTTTCCAGGAAGAAGAGGGTTCATATGTTTGTGCATAAATGTATACCTTGTGTTTCTGCATCCAAAATGGAGGGCACATTTTAGAGGCCACTTCAGTTTCCATTTGGATTAGCATGGTCAGTAAACCTTGTTGAGTTTGGACGCATGCAATTTTCCATCACTGGGTTTTGGCATGGCTCCTTGTTAGTTGAGTAGTTGATTTACCTTCTTAACAATAGTGTCATTATCTTTTTGTGTAGCTTCCCAACCCATACCTTCCTTCTGAAAGAATATTTCTTTTAATCTGTTTAGACTGGTAAATATTGACTTTTCTTGTGATTTTCTTTTTTTTTTGTCGTTGTTAAATACACTTTTAGCTTGTCCTAACATCTCAAGTCCTGCCTTTATTGGACCTAAGGTTCTTTTTGCTTTAGTTGGCTAGTGCTGTTTTATCCACCAAACATGTTGTTGCCATTGAGCATTTATAATGGAAGTGCAATTTGAGTACCGGTTACAAACCCAATAATGTTGGGTGCTCCAAGTTAAGGTGAGAGGAGCAGCAGTTACCCCTAGATACAGTTTAGTTTGAGTACACTGTAAGGCTTCTCACATTCTCCCTGGTAACATTCCCAAGTATCCTCTGGTGGTACTCTTGTCCACCAAGTAGCTCTCATTATTTGATTTCCAGTTTCATTAGAATTGTGTAGACCAGTCACAAAAACAAGGTCCCTGACTCCTAGGACAAGAGATGCTATGGCAAGGCACATAAGCTGCAGCTAAATGTCTTCCAGGAGTTTGTATAGTAAGTGTATAGTAAGTGATCATCTGTATTCACAGTAACATAGTGATCTATTTGTAAAGTGTTAAAAATTGCCAGACCAGGCATGGAATTGGGAAGAACTTCCTGGATATCTTTCCCTAAGTGGGGGCCTCTTGATAGTTTATTATGCCTGAAAAACTGGTGCCATGGGCTATCGGAACATTGGACTGATTCTAAGAAATTGATGTCAGGGTTCCAGTATCTTCTTGATATTGAAAAAATGTTTGTCCTACTTTCACATCAGTTAGATTAGCAGTTTCCCTTAAGAGGAATGGGGATCAAACACATGAGGGAGTGTTAGTAAAAATTCAGTCATCATGCAGGAAAATACAAAAACAAAAGATATATGCAGAAGAAATTCATTGTCAGTTCAGGCCTGGTCTGGTAATTTGGGCAATGTTGTCTATCAGGTCTTGTCTGCTTTCCATAATCAGAGGTGTCAGGAATCTCAGAAATCTTTAACTGGAGGTCTCCAGTGGACTTATAAGTTCATTTAGTTGTTGGAGCTTTCTTTAAATGAGAAATGTGAATCCAGGAGTCAGCTCCTTCAAGTTTTGCTGCACAGCAATTAGTTAACAATACCTGATAGAGTCCTTTCCAGTGAGGTTCAAGTGAGTCTTTTAGTGAGGTTCAAGTGAGTTTTTTAGTTGATGTTGTTTCCAAAAAAAAGGTCCCTTGGCTAGACATTATGGTATTTAAGATCTTCGTCTCCAAGGAGTACACCGTAAAAAGAATCTTTTATTAATTTATTTTGGGGAAAGAAGTTTAGTTAAGCCTTGACAATAACTGAGTATAGCACCTTTCAATAAAGTTGGTTCATATAAATTGCTGTCCTGTTTCATAGGTTGACTTGTAATTGTCTCGTAAGTGGGTAATTGATGTTATCCAAGAGAAGTTGCTCTTGGGTTAAGCAAAACCAATGGAAGAGCCTTTGGCCCAGTATGAAAAGCTTTTGTTAATTTTGCCAAATGGATTTTTTTTTTTTTTTTTTTTGAGACGGAGTCTCGCTCTGTCGCCCAGGCTGGAGTGCAGTGGCACGATCTTGGCTCACTGCAAGCTCCACCTCCTGGGTTCATGCCGTACTCCTGCGTCAGCCTCCTGAGTAGCTGGGACTCCAGGTACCCGCCACCATGCCTGGCTAATTTTTTGTATATTTAGTAGAGACGGGGTTTCACCCTGTTGGCCAGGATGGTCTCCATCTCTTGACCTTGTGATCCACCCGCCTGGGCCTCCCAAAGTGCTGGGGTTACAGGCGTGAGCCACCGCGCCCGGCCAGCCAGCTGGATCTTTACTATTCCGTTTATTTGTTCCACCGATCCAGAAGACTAAGGATGGTATACACAATGAAAATGTTGGAAAATGGGCCAGATTTTACAAATTGAGTGGACTGTCTTTCTAGTAAAATGAGTTCTTCTATCGCTATGTAATTTGGAAGGAGTTCCCCAAGAGGGAATTATTTGCTTCGACGATATTTTCCTCCTGCGTGTGCTATGACTCTTCTGCAAGGAAATGTTTCAACTCAGTGAGAGAACATTCAAATCATAACCAGTATCTATTTATAATCCTGGGCTGGAGGTAATTGGATAAAATCCACTTGCCAGATATCAGAAGGTCTGGTGGGCAAAGGAAAATGCCCTTGATATCCATGAAGAGGCTGTCCTGGATTATGTTTAGGACAAACTGCACATTTAGCATAAGTCTTATGAGCCAATTGTGGGTGACTGTTTCCAGTAATATTGTTTTTCTTAGGCAGTCATTTTCTGAGGTCCCTAGTGAGTGAGCTGATAGAAATGTTGTAATACAGGAAATTGAAATAAATTCCAAAGGCAAAACAAGTCTGTTGTTGAGTCCATACTATAATTTGCAAGTGGGGGAAAGGTGTGTCTCCTTTGTTAGCCATATCTGCTTTTTCTTCTCTGAACCCTTTTCTTGAGCCACTTGGAGTTGTTTTTCAATGGAACTCATTTAAAAAAAATATAGCCACCTGTATAGTTTCATCTGCTATTAGTGTTAGAGCAGCCTTTGGCTGCTGCGTCAACAAAATACTTTTTCTCTGAAGGGCTGAGTTTGGAGTGTCCAGGAATCTTAATAATAGCCCCCCTTTTTTTTCTGGAAATTCCTTAGTAGGGGCTCTAAGTTCTGCCTCGTCCTGGGGGACTAAACTACTGAAGGTTCTCCCTTTGGGTCAGGATTTTCTCTAAAAGGTGCTATCAAAACTTCTGTGGGTAGAGGAGGGAGTAAGGAACATCTGATCTGGGCAAGGCAGTTCTTTTGTTTTTTTTTGAGACAGGGTCTTGCTCTGTCACCCAGGCTGGAGTACAGTGGCATGATCACAGCTCACTGCAGCCTCGGCCTCCTGGGCTCAAGCGATCCTCCTGCCTCAGCCTCCTGAGTAGCTGGGACTACAGGTGCATGCCACCATGCCTAGCTTTTTAAAAATTTTTTGTAGAGACGATGTCTCACTATGTTGTGCAGGCTGTTCTCGAACTCCTGGGCTCAAGTGATCCACCCACCTCAGCCTCCCAAAGTGCTGAGATTACAGATGTGAGCCACTGCGCCCAGCCAAGGCAGTTCTGAAAGGAAAGAATAAGAGGGTTCTGAAGGAGCAGTTGGAGGGGAGGAGGTGAGACAGTGGAAACATGAGACGATTTTTTCAGTGGAGAAAGTTTCCAGGATCTTTTGGTTCACCTCCTGTATGGAAGCAATTTTATCATTACTTCTTTTAGAAGCTTTTAAAAACCATTGTAGTAACTATCCCATTCTTTGTGTTTAATTTTTAAGCCACTCCTCCCAGTTGTGCACGTAAATAATTCAATTTTGGGGTCTTGAATGAGCCCCATTTTGGCCAAGTTAAGCTAATTTAATTTTTAGTGATGTTGGTTCAATGAGTCAAAAAATTTATAAGATGAGGTGCTATAATTTTTAGTCACAAGCCTAGCTGGTGTCTTGGAAGATGGTAACTCTCCTTCAATAGCTTCAACTTCAGATGTCTTGTTTTAAATGTCTCTCCTCCCTTCTCCCTTGTCTGCACCAGATTAAGAATGTGTTCAGGGTCAAAAATGTGTTGCTTATGAGCTTCACTCCTCGAGCTCTTACCCCTGAGGTGGTCTGCTCACCCCTGAGCTGGTCTGCTCTCTTAGGTGTTTCAGGAGAAACTCGCCTGCTGAAGCAGTGAGGTGCCCTGAACGCTAGGCGACCAGCCTATTATGAGAGTTCCCTGGAGGAGCTATTACAACTTAAGTGTTTTCCTGTTGATGGTGAAGCTCTTTGGAACCACTACATGTCATGAGGAATCTCCTCTGACCCTTCCGCAAGATTCTTTGTCACTTAAAAATACCTGAGGTCCGGGCTGGTGGGCGCAAGCATCCTTTATATTTGGAGCAATTTTTATCTCTGTTGCTCTTATATAGAATGTAAAGGATTGGTGCAGACAAAGGAGTTTTGAAAAGAAAAACACTCAGCTAGTCAAAGAAACCACCGCAAGGTGGTCAAGCTATAGCTTGGTTTTATACGTTTTAGGGAAACATAAGACATCTGTCAGTACATGTAACATGTACTTTGGATCAGTCTAGAAAGGTGGGACAACTTGAAGCTCCAGGGCAGAGTTGGGACTTCCAGGTCATAGCTGCATTCAAAGATTTTCTGACTGGCAATTGGTTGAAATAATTATTATCTACAGACCTGGAATCAATAGAAGGGAATGTTTGGGTGAAGATAAGGGGTTATGGAGACCAAGGTTCTTATTTATGCAGATGAAGCTTTTAGGTAGCAGGTGTCAGAATAGATTGTAAATGTTTCTTATCAGACTTAAAAAGTGCCAGAGTCTTAATTAATTCTCCCCTGGGTCAAGGAAAAGACCTGGAAAGGGAAGGGGATTCTTTACAGAATGTAGATTTTTTTCCCTACAAGAGACAGCTTTACTGGGCTATTTCAAAATATGTCAAAGAAATACATTTTAGGGTAAAATACAGTTTCTTTCAGGACCTGCTGTCATGTGATTCTATACTAGGATCAGGTTGGAATTTGGTGTCTTATTGCTACAAATAGTTTGTTTTGTTCATCTTAAGATCTGTTTTAGCTGGGAGTGGTGGCTCATGCCAGTAATCTTAACACTTTGGGAGGCTGAGGTGTGAGGATTGCTTGAGCTCAGTTCGAGACCAGCCTGAGCAACATAGTGAGACCCTATTTCTAAAAAAAGATTAAGAACAAAAATCTGTTTTAATGTTAATGCTTGTCAGTTGTGCCTGAATTCCAAAGGGAAGATGGTATAATGAGGCATATCTGACTCCCCTTTCCCATCATGACCTGAACTTGATTTTCAGGTTTTCTTTGGAATGCACCTGGCTGAGAGTAGAGGTCCATCAGTCAGTTGGGAGGCATAGAATTTTGTTTTTGGTTTACAATGAATATAGGGTAAAAAGTTAACCAGTATGCAGGTGTCTCAGGATCTGGAGAGAAATGATTGATTTTCTCCTGCATTTGTGCTTCATCTGATAGGCAAGAAGGTTACAATCAGCACATGTTAGTGAAATGTTTGGCAAATTCCAGCCTTGCAAGTGAGAGTTCATCTTTAATTCATAGGCCTAGTTTCTTTTACCTGTGTGTTCAACCTGCAGCTATCTTGAGCTGCTTTTAAAATTCTTTCAGATTTTCTTTTTCTGACAACTTTAGGTAATTGTAATTCTGAATGGATAAATGGAAGATGAACATTTGCTTATTCTTTACCTTGCTCTCACAGTTCACCCTCCCTCTCCTCTCCTAATTGTCCCAGTACAGTTACTTTTTAGTTAGGTTTTACTTGTTTTTTACAGAATTGTAACTGTGCAAGAACCACACAGTGTGTTATGTATGATTACTTTTCCTTGCCTGCCCAATATTTTGTTTTCCCCAAAGTGGTGAAATCTGTTTTTTCCAGCACAGTGGGTATCCCACTTCATCAATTTCATCTGCTTTGTGAAGGCTGTTTGGGTCATCCGGGATGGTCAACTGTAAGCCGCTATACTTGGCTGCACTCTTGGGGTCTCCCTTCACAGTCAGGAAATTTCCTTCTCTTTTCTCTTGTTTTGGGTTGCCCTTGCTTCTTCTTCTTCTTCTTTTCTTTTTTTAGACGGTGTCTTGCTGTTGTCATCCAGGCTGGAGTGCAATGGCATGATCTCACCTCACTGCAACCTCCGCCTCCCGTGTTCAAGTGATTCTCCTGCCTCAGCCTCCCAAGTAGCTGGGAGTACAGGTGCCCGCCACCACGCCCAGCTGATTTTTTTGTATTTTTAGTAGAGACGAGGTTTCACTATGTTGGCCATGACGTTTTGGATGTCTGAATATATATATATATATATATATTTTTTTTTTTTTTTTCAAGCTACGAGTAGGCCTTTTTTTTTTTTTTTTTTTTTTTTTGAGACAGTGTCTTCTCACTGTCACCCACGCTGGAGTGCAGTGGTGCAATCTCAGTTCACTGCAGCCTTGACCCCTTGGCCTCTAGCCATCCTCCCACCTCAGCCTCCTGAATAGCTGGAATACAAATGTGTGCCTCCACACCTGGCTAAGAAAATATCTTTATGCGACTTTTCCTCAGTCATCATTTGACTCTACAGAGCACTATGTTAAATACTTTCTCAGGAATTTTGTAGGCATTTCTCTGTTGTCTTCTGGTTTTTAATTTGCTGTTGAGGAGGTAGATACCCTTCTGATTTGTGATCCTTTGTATGAAATCTATTTTTAATTCTCTAAGGACTCACGTACCGTTTTATTATCATGTTTTTCTCCAGCATTCTGAAAACACCATGATGTGTCTCTTGGTATGGATCTATTTTCGTCCAGTGTGCTGGGCACTTGCTGGGACAGCTCATCATGCGTATTCACACTCTGCAATTTTGGGAATATTTTCCCTATTGTTTATTTCATTTTTCTTCCCTCTGTTTTTTCTGGTTCATCTTTCTGGGACCCTTCTTGTGACTTTGGTGCTTGTGGACAGTCTTATTTTGTCCCTTTGCTTCATTTTTAGCTTTGCCTTTTTCTGACCCTTTTATTGAGCTTTCTTTGTTCTCATGTGTTCAGTTTCTAATAGCTCTTTTTTGTTTGTTTTCTGAAAATTTTTCGTAGTAGGATCTTGTTCTTGTTTTATGGTTAATTTTTTTTTTTTTCAATTTCTTCACTGAGGATGTTAATGATTTTTTGTTTAAGGGACTTCTTCTTGTACAGGTTTCCTCAGTTGTTTTTTCCAGTTCATGGGAGGTACACTTCACAGTAAAATTCACTCCTTTTAAGTACAATTTTTAGTTTTGACAAGCACAGTCATGTAACAACCAACACAATGAAAATATTGTTGGATTGTTTGGTCTATTAAATTATGTCTGTTTTCTATCTGCTCATTTTTTGTTTTTTTGTTTGTTTGTTTGTTTGTTTTTTAGATGGAGTTTCACTCTGTCGCCCAGGATGGAGTGCAGTGGCGCGATCTGGGCTCACTGCAACCTCCGCCTCCTGGGTTCAAGTGATTCTCTTGTCTCAGCCTCCAAGTAGCTGGGATTACAGGCACCTGCCACCACACCCGGCTAATTTTTTTGTATTTCTAGTAGAGACAGTGTTTCACCATGTTGGCCAGGCTGGTCTCGAACTCCTGGCCTCAAGTGATCTGCCCGCCTTGGCTTCCCAAAATGCTGGGATTACAGATGTGAGCCACTGTGCCTGGCCCCTGTCTGCTCCTTTGAAGAGTGCTGGGCTACCTGATGGTCAGCCAGCTCTCAAGATGAGGATTGTCTGTCAGGCCATTACCTTGGGGAACTCCTGATGTCAGATCATTTGTCTTTCCCCTGGCTGGTCAGATGTCCTAGAGAAGGCTGCCCCATTTCTTTTTGGGAGGGGTATGCATGGCTACCCATGGCCTGGGAGTCAAGTAGGTAAAGAGGACTAGAAGATGTCTGTCAGTATTCTGGATGTAAACTTGCTTTTAATTCTCTTGTTTTCAACACAATACCTGTGGTAGATGAGAGAAAGTGCAGCATCTCCTGAACCTGGGCATGAACATGTGACTTGTTTGTCAGCCACCGAGTTCTGGGATAGCTGCTGTTCAGCAATAGCTCACTGATAGGGTACCCTTGTCCTCAAATGTGCTTGGCCACTCAATCCTAAGACCAGCGTTTGACCTTCTCTAGAGAATCAGCATGCTGTTTTGGGAGTACAGAGGGAGGATTAGAGGTATAACAAGTTTTAAATTAGCCTTTCAACCAGTCTTCTCTTTTTTTTACTCCTACTGTAACCACACAATAGGTTCGTCACTTAATGCACACAGCAAGTCAATACGCAGAGACACTGGTTTGTAGCAGAGAAAGGTTTAACCATAGGGCCACCAATCAAGGAGACAAGAGGAATCCTCAAATCCGTCTCCCTGAGTAGTTGGGGGCTGGGGATTTTAAGGGTTTTGGAATGGGTTGAAGTGTGGAGATGATTGGAAAGAGTGCAGGGTGAAGTCAAGGGACAGGAGAGGAAGAAACAGTATTCTCATGCTGATTTTGTTCCTCTTCGGGGGGAAGGGAGGCTTCAAACTGGTTGATGTCAACTCTTCAGCTGGAATTCAGGATCTGAAAAAATCATAAGCAATTCTTAAAAGCCTTATGATTCTAATTAATGTCAGAGATCCCATCTATAAGAACAATGGGGGATGCAATTAATTCTTAAAAGCCCATGACTCTAATGTCAGAAATTCTATCTATAGGAACAGTGAGGATACAAGTGATCAGTATCTAGAGCTACATGACTTTTGGTTACAAGGAAGTGGGCCAAAGTGCAGCCTGATTAATGCTTAATTATAACTATATTTTTGTTCAGAATTCTTGTTAACCCTGTGAGGTTGGCTTCACATCCTGGACTTGAAAATATCACTGCTTCCTGAAACTTTTGGGACGTTCTGTGGTATTTTAGTTACTTCTTAGCTTTCTTTAGTACTGGCCTAGGTTTTTTGTTTCTTATTCCTGCATTTACCGTTGTCCATCAGTGTTCCAGCTTTTAAAATTCGTTGCTATTTTCTCCTCTTTCATGAGGTTTATTCCTTTAAGAAAAAATCCTTTATTGTAGTTTCAGAGAGGTTTTGAGAAGGAGCTGTGAAAGGAAAATAAATCTTGGGCCCCCAAATCACTAAGCCAAGGGAAAAGTCAAGCTGGGAACTATGTCAGGCAAATCTGCCTCCTATTTTCTTTCCAAATAAGAGCTACAAAATTAAAAAGCTACATACCTCCCTCAAAATTTGCCCACAAGGAACTTCCTTGTGGACAAAAGACAGAACTCAAAGTCATCCCTCTGAGGCTCACCTGAGACAAATCCATATCTGATTGCTTCCTCTACCCTATTGTTTATGTACAAATGCAGATACTGAGCTAGACTAAATTGTGTATTCAGTGGATAGCCGCTTGAGGACTCAAAAGAATGCAGTCTTTTGTCTATTATCTACTTATGACCCGGAAGACCCCTTCCCCGCCTCAAGTTGTCCTGCCTTATCAGACTGAACCTAGGTACATCTGATACATATTGATTGATGTCTCATGTCTCCCTAAAACGTGTAAAAGCAAGCTGTACCCCAACCACCTTGGGACACATATCAGGACCTCCTGAGTCTCTGTCACAGGCACATCCTTAACCTTGGCAAAATAAACTTTCTAAATTGATTGTGACCTGTCTCAGATACAGGTTTACAGAGCTGAGCTAAATGCAGGTGTTCAAACTGCCATCTTTACCTGGAAGTTTGATCCTGTGTTTTTAAAATAGCACTCCTCACCCAACTGAGTTTTATGGTGATAATTGATAACAGTGTATCCAGACTGGAAAATGCTGGCCCATTCCGGTTAACTGTGTGGAGGAGTCATTGAGAGTTCACAGGGCCTTTTAAAATTCACTTGTTCAGGTTACTTTTTTTCCCACTCAAACGTAAACTTATTTTTGTGTTAAGTTTAGCCAGATACAGTCTCTGGAAATGGTTGAAAGGAAGTCAAAATATTTTTTGGGGGCCAAGAGAAAAACTCCCCCTTTGCCCTCTGAAGATTCACTGAAAATTACTGACAAAAGGCATACAAATGTGTTTGATCATTGTTTTATGTGGCACAAATGCCTTCAGAATGCAGATCCAAAGATCAGAGGAAACTCTCCATTTTTATGCTTAGGTTCAGCAAAGTATGGACAGCCATGTAGAGATACGATTGGACAAAAAGGATATGATTTAATGCTAGTAGATACAGACTGAGTTGAGAAACCCAGCAAGACCCTCGGTTTAGATCCTTCCTGGTCTCTCTGCAGCACTCCCTCCTTGGTATGGGGCAGAATGGTCTTTGGAATGGGGGTCTTATGACCTACAGTCAGACAAAATAGGCGAGATAATTTCTTTATGTCCAGTTTTGGCATAGAAAGATTAGGGAGGGAGGAGGTTAGAGTAATATTGTTAAATTTTGTGAACCCCCAAAATGTGAGATAGGTCCCAGGTAATTTAGAAAGTTTATATTGCCAAAGTTGAGGACATGTGCCTGTGACACACCTCAGGAGGTCCTGACGATATGTGCCCAAGGTGGTCAGAGCACAGTTTGGTTTTATACCTTTTAGGGAGACATGAGACATCAGTCAACATATGCAAGATGAACATTGGTTTGGTCTGGAAAGGCGGGACAACTCGAAGCAAAGGCGGGAAGACTTGAAGCAGGGAGGGAGCTTCCAGGTCATAGGTAAATAAGAGACAAATGGTTGCATTCTTTTGAGTTTCTGATTAGCCTCTCCAAAAGAGGCAATCAGATATGCATTTATCGCAGTGAGCAGAGGGGTGACTTTGAATAGAATGAGAGGCAGGTTTGCCCTAAGCAGTTCCCAGCTTGAGTGATTTTGGGGCCCCAAGATTTATTTTCCTTTTACATTTCCCCCCTTTCTTTTAAAAAATCTTTTGGAGAAAGTATTTTAGAAGAAAATGAGTCTCTGGCTTCAGGTTTCTTCTGATCTCTCATGGCTAGGATTGTTTATTCCTAGACAGGTAGTTCCTGAGTTATTAGGAAAGTTCATTTTTAGCAGGTCGTGAAGTCTCATGTCCTGTGAAGAGAAAATAGGGGGAGGAAGGGAGAAAAGCAACAACAAACAAAAGAACAATCCTGGAAAATTGATATAGGCCACATTACTCTAAAGTCCATACATTAGTAGACAGGTATGAAAGTGGCTTATGTATGTAAATAGGTTGCTGTTGTTTGCTTCTGAAGTTTAAGTTGTCTAGCTTCAGTTTGCAGGGCTTTGTGAAAGCACAGCTTAGTTTTTGGTGACTCCAAATTCGGAACAGTGGGGAAAAAAGAAGGAAAAAAACCCCTGAAAACATTATTTTGCAGGGTTGTAGCCAAGAAAAATTAGAATTTGGTTCAAATTTTAGAAAATAATAAAATTGAAAAACATAGGCAAGACTAGAATCTAACAACAGGTGTGCTATAGTTTTTGAAACAATTTTTCTCTAGTTTCCCATTTTTACTAAAGACAAATCATGGTAGGACTGATTTGCTTTATCATACTTGGCCTTATTATTTGTATACAGTGCAGCAAGAATAATAATTACTTTTTTTACACAGGCTTTTAAATTGGCTTTGATGGAACTTTGTTCCATAGAAGGAATCTCAGATAAGACTCCTTTTTTAAAGCCGAGCCCAGCCATTATGGATTTGTACCATCAAATACTATGAGTTGGGTGAATTCCTTTCCTCTTGAGGTTCCAAGATAAACTTGGGCCTCCTAGGCCTGTCAGAAAGTGACATTCTTTACTTACCACAGCTCAGGAATCCTGTACAGGGACTGCATAGACAAAGGTGTAAGGTCAGTTTTTCCAAGGGGCTCCATAAGTCAGTTTGATTTCTTTATGGAAGACACACCATTCAAGTTAAAGCCTTGGTAAAATAACCAGTTTCTTTAATTGTGCCCCATTACGAATGAAAACAGATTCTTATTGCACTTATGCAAATAACTGTATTGTCATAAGGTAAGAATAGTCACAAATACTCCCCAAGTTTTATAGAAATCAGGTAGAGAAAAACAAATATGCCCCAAATTTGGTTCATAAGAGTATACTTTACTAAATTGTTAAAAGCTATAAATAGCTTAAAAGAAGTTTTTTTGACTCTGAAAAATAAAAGAAAGGATCAGCAACGTCTTAAGCAAAACGTTAAAAAGATTACTTCAGACTTCTATTAGTTTAGTCCCTGCAGTTAATTACTGTTCTGCTTGATATTCATGAATATTTCAGCTCTCTGAGTCCTGAAAGTTTTTCCTTTATTCTGATGTTACAATCTCTAAAGTTGTGAGAAACTTGTATTCAAGAGCACCTGTTAAGAGTTTTATAGCTGATTATAAAGCCACCTTCTAAAGAGGACCAAACAAGACAACAATTGTCATGGATGACAAAAAGTTTTAGGGCAGCTATAGTCAAGACACAGTTGACAAGGAGATTTGTTACCTCTGTAGCACATAGTAATTTAACATAACAATTATAATTATTACTGATAACATACATTAAGTCATATCAGAATTATAGGAGTTTCCCATAATTTTGGAACACATACCAATAACATTTATACAAATACAGCCCAGAGAAAAGCAAACACCATTTCATATTTGACAATGCTTCCTGTATAATTTTTATACCAAATAAGCCAAATTATGTCATTGTTTTAGATTTTAGGGAACCTGGTATCTTAAAGGATTAATTAGGTCAGAAAAAGACATAATTTATAATTTGATTTTGGAAATATTGTCAAATATCAAAGGTTTAAAACACTTGATATCACAAAAGAGGATCACAGGTCATTGTAAAATAAGTCATTCATTTAACCAAAGTGATAACCTAAGGATTTAAAAAAGAAAAAGTCAAAAACCTTCATTTTTTGAGAGAGGAGACTTAATTTGCCAAACAATAAGCCCTAATCAAAACATGAAGCTAATTAAATTTGTTTTCCAAAATGTATAAACAATTTATAAAATTTTAATCTTGAACATAAGATATAACTTCCATAAGTCTTTTATAGACTTTATAACCTTTATTAAGGAGTCGGTTAATGCCTCAAGATAACCTTGTTAATCTGACCCAGGTGCCCATATGCTGGTCTTGCATCAGTGTGCTTTTGACATTAAT